>NC_000002.12:109004769-109307799 GCF_000001405.40 Homo sapiens
CATTTAAATCTGCGGAGCCTATCACTGCTTCAAATCAGAAATATCTAAAACAAAACTCACCATCTTCTCCCAGTTTTATTCATCTGACTCCCTGTGGTCATGATTCCCTCCCTCTCCTAATTATTGAACAAGGGCATGCTCTGTGCTGGGAGAGTCTCTATTGTCCACGCTATCACTAATTCTCACTCACATATGTTCAGAGCCCGGTGGTTATTTTCTCTTCTCCCTCTTCCACAGGCCCAGTCTGATGGGTTTTCATATAATCTCTCACACCTGTTCTTTCTTTCCCAGGCCCCTGGCCTCTTCACTAGTCAAGACCCTCTTCATCCTAATCCAACTCAAGACATATGTATTTGGTACCTAGAAGCTAGAATACCCTGTGTGCCAGGCCCCACTGTAACAAAACAGACTATTAACATGGGCCTTGCTCAGGAGGAATCTGGTTCCTGAAGCACTGCAGCAATCTATTAATTAACCTTCCTCCAGACTAATCTTTCTAAAATACTGGGAATTCATTCCCCTGTCCTAAGTTTTCTATAATGCATCTCCATGTTGCACAGAAGGTCAAGTCCAAATTCCTGATCTCCACAAGTAGACCTTCCACAGCCTGGATCTCCCTCTCCAAGCTGACTTTCCAGAACTCCCCAAACTGCCCTCCAAGTCTCAGGGTCATTCCTGCCTCTGGTTCTTTGACCTCCCATCCTTCTGCCTGGTATGCCATCTTCCCTTCCACCCTGTCTGCAGAAGCAGTTTGCCTTTCCCTACCTCTCTGAAGCCTTCCTGGGCAGTCGCAGTGTGCAACACTCTCTTCCCCCTCGTCTGGCACGTAGTACATACTGGTCTTTGCTATTAATTGCCTTTCAATATGTATTCATGTTCCCTAAATTAAACTGCGGGCACACAGCTCTTACAACCAGCGTTTTGTTCCACCTCGAGGAGCCCAGCTTCCATCTGGCAATGACAGCTGGAGCATGGGGCACTGGGCCACAAAACTTTGCTTACCCTTCCATGCTCTGGCTTTTGGCCGTTATCCCTGTATTTTCCTGGAAATCAGCTGTAACCACTTCACATTTCAACAGCTGACGTCGTTCTCAACCACAGCCCAGTTCAGCCTGGGGAATGGTGCCCACCGCCTTTATCCAATTCCCAGGGCTTCGGAGTCGTGGAGCTGCCCATGTGTTCAGCTGAAAAGAGGAGAGGAAGCACAGAGGTCACATGAGCCAGTGGGTCACGTGAGAGGTTCCTACGGCCAGCCCGGAAGTGGCGGTGTTGCTTCCGTGGGTTCCATTGGCCCACCGGCAGTCACGTGGCTGCCCATAGCAGAAACGTGTGTGGGGTTGCGGGGGAACAATGTGAACGCGTGTGGAGTGACGCTACTGGCTGAAACACTTAGCAATTATTTGGGGGTAATTTTCTTTTTCTTTTTCTTTTTTTTTAATTTTTAGACAGAGTCTCGCACTGTCGCCTAGGCTGGAGTGCAATGGCGCGATCTCGGCTCGCTGCAACCTCCGCCTCCTGGATTCAAGCAATTCTCCTGCCTCAGCCTCCCAAGTAGCTGGGATTACAGGCGCTTGCCAACACGCTTGGCTAATTTTTTGTATTTTTATTAGAGACGGGGGTTTCACTATGTTGGCCAGGCTGGTCTTGAACTCCTGACCTCATGATCCGCCCGCCTCGGCCTCCCAAAGTGCTGGGATTACAGGCATGAGCCACCGCGCCGGCCCTATTTGGGGGTAATTTTCTTAAGGCCAAACACACACAGGATAATTTCACGTGTATTTTCAGGTTAAAATACACTTGCGAGTCGTGGCAGCCCAAGGGAGTGACCTCAGTGGGATGTGGGGTTCTGCTTTTGGCCTAGCTGTGTGTACCCTGGGAACAAAGACTAAATCCCCGAAGTCCACAGAGCTTTTGGTGGGCGGCTAAGTGAGAGCGGAGGCCCCTCGGGCTGCGCAGAGGCCCAACAGCCCTGGCTGGAAGGTATTTTCTAGCGCATCCCAGGCACTGCCCGTCCTCCAAGCATTGGGTGGATTTCCTCCTAAACCTTCTTAGGGCAGCTATTGCAATTATTTGAAACTTTAAATCTAATTGATGTTATACAAACATGAGGAAGACGGGTTATGAGTGAAAAATACATTTTTAAATAATAAAATAAATTTGATTACTTTGGAAAACTTGGCTAGGGTGAATTGATTAAAAATGATTGTTAAATTGGTTGGTTGTGAGACAATTGTAGGGGAACGGGCTGGGGAGTTAACAAAAATACAGAAGACTCTGTACTCTGATTGCTTCAAGGTGTCTTAAAACCTAACTACACTGTAAAGAAGCCCGACCTGGAAATCAGCTTTGACGCATTGCATATGTGGATTTTGCAGAAGGAACCGCAGAGACTCAGGAAAGGGCCTTGGCCCAAGTTCAAAAGATTGGCAAATATGTGTTTTAAGTTAAAGGGGTTATGTATGTATTTTTTTAGAATGATTCCCCACTTTTACTATTTTGATCAAACCACCAGCTAGCTCTCTTTCTAGCAGATCAGATAGACACATACCATATTGGGAACACACCTCCATCAGTAGTGTGCTAAAGTTGCTGGGTGTATGGCTGTTTGACTTAGCTCTGCAATTTCTGGGAACACTCTTCCTGGCTAAACAACATGTACCTATAGCTTTTAGTACTTTCAGGGTGAGGTTGTGACCACTTTCAAACTAACTCATCCCATATTTACTGCCACCTCTAATTTAGTAAAGGCATACTGCTGCCCTGGAGGTCTGAGAGTAGCCTGCCTGGGGCTGTTCCACAGATATCAGGAGCAGATGGCAGAGCTCCCCTCTGACTCCCTCTCACATAGCACAGCCTTGGTGTGGGGGACAGGAGAGGCAGGGAAGAAGGAGAGTAATCTTCAGAAGCATGGGCCCTTCACCCACTACTTTGTGGGTAGAAAGATAAATCCCTGTTAGTAACAGATATTTTACTGGAATGAATATGGGTAGAAATGGACATCTTTTCTGTGCGTTCTTAGAGATAAAGATTGGTACTCTGATCTGTTGGAAATAGCAAAAACAAAACAAAACAAAAAACAGCCTTCTTGCATGCTCACATAATCAAGAAACCACAAGAAATCTAAACCTGTTAGCAGCTTGCTGGGAGAACCACGTTGGGGCCAGAGTTATTAATACATTTCAGGGTAAGCCGACCATAGCAGGATGATTTCTTCTTCTATGTTTAAACACCATGCTTTTAAAGAGTCGATTTTTGTGAAATGGTAAATTATGCAGGGAATGAGCAACCCTTCAACATGAGAGCATTTTACGGAACTGGCCCCACACTGACACACGAAGAGTTGAGAGTTTGTATTTCCCTCCATTCCTTTGGAAACCTCATGTACCTTGCTTATGCCCTTGCCAAATTTGATCCTGTGTTATAGTTACCTATGTGCTTCTGTATTTTCACTGCTAGAGAGTAAGCTCCTTGAGGTCAGGATAGATCTGAGCCCCCAGACTGTGTAGCAGAGAATGTAAGTGCATGGTAGATGCACAATTCGTGTTTGTGGAATGAATGGATGAATGAATGAATGAGATGGAAGTGGTAAGGAGATACCATAGATGAAGGAGACTGAACTGTAGCCAACTTCCAAATCACAACCAGCAAACACTGCACCCCAAAAACAAGCTCAATATTTTAACAGAAACAATTTTGCCCTTTCCTGTGACCCATGGCAGACACCAGGGCAGGGACAGAGACCTGGGCACTTGGTACATGCCCTGTCTCCCAAGTCAGAATGTGGTGCTAATGAATGGTTGAGCAGCTGCTAAGAAAAGGGTAAAAAAAAAAAAAAAAAAAATCCATGGATAGGCTGGGTGCGGTGGCTCACATCTGTAATCCCAGCATTTTGAGAGGCCGAGATGGGCGGATCACGAGGTCAGGAGATCGAGACCATCCTGGCTAACACAGTGAAACCCCGTCTTTACTAAAAATATAAAAAATTAGCTGGGTGTGGTGGCGGGCGCCTGTAGTCCCAGCTACTCAAGAGGCTGACGCAGAATAGTATGAACCCAGGAGACGGAGCTTGCAGTGAGCCAAGATCGCACCACTGCACTCCAGCCTGGGTGACAGAGCAAGATTCCATCTCAAAAAAAAAAAAGAAAAGAAAAGAAAAGAAAAATTCCATGGATAGTTACCTCTCCTTTATATCTAATACTATTTATATTTTATATACTTAGATAAAAAGATACCTAATTAATTTCAGTGGGGAATTTTTGTTATAGGAGACCTTAAAAATAATAACATAGGCTGGGCATGGTGGCTCGAGCCTATAATCCCAGCACTTTGGGAGGCCGAGGTGGGCGGATCACGAGGTCAGGAGATCAAGACCATCCTGCCTAACATGGTGAAACCCCGTCTCTACTAAAAATACAAAAAAATTAGCCTGGCATGGTGGCAGGTGCCTGTAGTCCCAGTTACTCTGGAGGCTGAGGCAGGAGAATGGCATCAACCCAGGAGGCAGAGCTTGTAGTGAGCCGAGATGGTGCCACTGCACTCCAGCCTGGGCGACAGAGTGAGACTGTCTCAAAAATATATATATAAATAAATAAATAATAGTAATAATAACATATTTTTTCCTTCCACTTATAAGAGCAGTCTGGACTTCTGAAGAAAATTTGGCCAATATGGAATAATATAAAAAAGAAATCAAAGTTCATCATCTTACCACCCAAGATTACCACGGTTAACATGCATCTTTTTTTGTTGCGTTTGTTTGTTTGTTTTGTTTTTTGAGACAGGCTCTGTCACTCTCACCCAGGGTAGAGTGCAGTGCTGCCATCCTAGCTCACCACAGCCTCCAACTCCAGGGCTCAAGCTATCCTCCCACCTGAGCCTCCCGAATAGCCTCCACTACAGGCATGTACCACTACGCCTGGCTGACATTTTTACCTTTTTTTTGTTTTTTTTTTTTTTGCAGGGACAAGGATCTCTCTATGTTTACCCAGGCTGGTCTCAAAGTCTTGGGCTCAAGCCATTCTCCCACCTCGGCCTCCCAAGGCATGAGCTACCACAGCAGCTTAATATCTTGATAACATGGATTTCAGTCTTTCGTCTCTGCGCTGTTTGGTTTCATAATTGGGATCACACTATACATGCAACTTTGTGTGCTGCCCTCTTTATTTACCTGCTCTATATTTTCAGCATTTCCCATGCCATGATAGTCCTTGGAAACATAATTCTAACAGTTGGCTAATGTTCTGTCACTGGATGTACTGTAAAGTATTTAACAGTTCTTCTAAGTTTGTACATTGTAAATGGATACTTCCGTTAAAAAAAATTTTATGTATATATTTACATAGTGGGCATTGTGTTCTTTATGGCTTCTTATGAGGGTGGCAATCCCTTCCCTCTTCCTTTTGATCCTTTGAGGCAACCACTTTTTAGCCGATGATTATGAATCATGTCTTTTAATAACATGCTTATATTGCTGTATCTGAAAGCTTCAGTTTTAGATACTATTGGCATCCTCTACGGAAGGTAAGCATTTAGCTCTTTAACTGCCCCACCCCCACCCCCCCAGCCTTCAACACCCACACACTCTTCCCATCCTGCTTTCTCCCCAGTTCAGCTGTCTAGTAACTTTGATGCAACCAGCATTCAGCATTTACATCATCATGTGCATGCATCTTAGTCAGCTTGGGCTGCTATGATAAAATACGACGGACAGAGTGGCTTATTACTCATGGTTCTGGAGTCTAGAAGTCTGAGATCAAGGTGCTGGCCGATTCAGTTCCCGGTGAGGCTTGCAGATGGCTGTCTTCTTGCTGTGTCTTCACGTGGTGGCGAGAGGGAGCTCTGGGGTCTCTTCTCTAATGACCTCATCCAAACCTAATCACCTCCCAAAGACCCCACCTCCTAATACCATCACACTGGAGGTGAGTGCTTCAACATATGAATTTGCAGGGAGATACAAACATTTACCATGTAAATTCTATTCACTGCTAAGACACATGATATATTGTGATGGCATTTCTCTTCTTGCCCATCTTTTTGTTTCCATAGAGTTAAAAATTGCTCAGGATTCCAAGGAATCTATGGAGGAGGCTCAGCAGCAGCTGGATGGCAGAGGCCCGGCTGCTACAGGTGAGCCTACAGGTTGCTGACGATGTGTGTGAGCTGCAACCACTCCTGGTTCCCTGCACCCACCTTTCCACTGTACATGGCTGCTGCTTCACCTTCACCTTCTCAGTCTCATGCAAGGTGTCTCTTTGGCCAAGGCTAGTCTGGAACCATTAAGGGAGGAAGTTCTGGGGGACTAGTCATACTCTGTACCCAGTGCACTGTGTCATCTTAGGGTCACCTTTCATCACTCAGATGAGTTCTTTTGCCTTTTTTCTTTTGCGTTAGATCCCATTTTCTGGGAAGCCCATGTTTTCCTTTTTATTAGCTTATATTCTTGTTTCTGTTGAGCACATCTTCAGGAACAATTACAGAACAACTGGAATTCATAGGCTGTGAATGTTTTGAGGTCTTGAATGTCTGAAAATGTCTCCATTCCATACCCTTCTTTATTCATAGTTTGGATGGGCATAAAATTCTAGGTTAGCGATCATGTTCTTTAAGATTTCTAGCCTTCAGTGTTGCCATTGGGAAGTGCCAAGCCATCCTGATTCCTGGTCTTTGTATGTAATCTGTTTTCTGTTTGTTCTTTTCTCCATAAGCTAATAGGGTCTTTGTTCTCAAATTTCTGAAATTTTATGATGATGTAGCACAGTGTGGTTCAACTTTCACCCATTGTGTTGGGCGCTCAGTGGGCCCAAATTTTATTGACGAGATACCCACCTTCATTTGCTGCGTCCTCTCTCTATGGAACTGCTGTTATGAGGATATTGGAGCTCTGGAGCTGGATCTTCTCATTTTTTCCTCTGCTATTTTCTGTTTTTGTTTGTTAGTCTTTTTCCCTCCTCTACTTTCTGGGAAACTTCCTCACTCACCTTTACTTGAATTCAAAACCCATCTATTGAATCTTTAATTTCTGCTGTAATTTCTTAATTTCCCAAAGCTCTTTTAATTCTCTAGTCATTCCTTGAAAATAGTGAGTGTGCATGTATATGTGTGTGCGTGTATGTGTGCATGTGTGTGTGCCATGTGTATGTGCATATGTGTGTGTGTGTGTGATTTTACTCTTTTCTTTTAGATGCAACATCTTCCCGTACCTTTCTGAGGACACTAATGCCAGTGTGATTGCAAGTCACTTTCTTCTGTTTTTCGATTCGTCTGTTTTTGTTTCTGTGTTTCACATTTGAATGTTTACCCAGATATTGGGTTATCTCCCATCATCTTCTCATATTTAAGAGCGGAAGATTAAAAATCTCTTTGGCAGCTCTGAGGTTTGCTGACTTCAAGCTCTATTTTAGGGTGACACAGCAGAGCCACATCTTTGGGAACTCACATCATTGGTGTCCTCAGGATTTTCCTCTTGGGCTGGACAGTTTGCTCCCCTGGAGGGTATGAGCCTGACTGCTAGTGGGCCAAGAGCTGCCTGGGAGGAAAGGGTGGGGGGTCTCCACACTTGGGGTGCCAACATTCCTACCGCCCCTGATTCCCAGCGGTGGCTCTGTCTTCAGGCGTACCTGGCATCCTTCGGTCTTGAGAGCCCCCACAGAATCTACCTTGAATCTCCTCCCACGCTCCTTTTCCCCCCAGCCCTGGGATTGCAAAGCAGAAGGAACGGCGGAGAGGGTCAGGGACTCTTGCTTCTTCAGTGGCCCCTCCGGCACTTCACAGAATGACAATGAAGCCCAAGCTTCTGCTTTTAGCCCCTCCTCCACCCTGCTTTCTCCTCTTTTCCTTAGAAAAAAAAATTTTTAAACTTCATTCGGCCAGGCGCGGTGGCTCACGCCTGTAATCCCAGCACTTTGGGAGGCCGAGGCGGGTGGATCACGAGGTCAGGAGATCGAGACCATCCTGGCCAACACGGTGAAACCCCATCTCTACTAAAGATACAAAAAATTAGCCGGGCGTGTTGGCGGGAGCCTGTAATCCCAGCTACTCGGGAGGCTGAGGCAGGAGAATGGCGTGGACCTGGGAGGCGGAGCTTGCAGTGAGCAGAGACCAGGCCACTGCACTCCAGCCTGGGCGACAGAGCGAGACTCCATCTCAGAAAACAACAACAACAAAAAAAACTTCATTCAGAGAGAGGAACTTTGTATATTCCGGAGGAAAAGTGGCTACAACCTGCCAGGACTCTTTAAAGGGCCGAGTAGGGCGAAACTCCATGCTCACCACAGGTGAGTTTAACACCTAACACCTTATTTAAGATTTTGCAGAATTCCAGCCAAGGAGCCTGTAATTGACAACACTGGCTCAGCCCAGTGGCTGCTTCACATGGTTTCTCTACTTCTAATGACATCAATTTCTCTCATGCCAGTAGTGCCTTCCTTTGGCGAGCAACTATGCAATAAGGACATCCGCTTCCTTCGGCGCTTGATATCAGCCAGGGGATTAACCTGTGCAGAGGTGACTTGTTAGTCATCAGTTACTGCCTCACCAAAGTGAGGTCAAGTTCACAGCAGGTTTTTGCAAAGCTACGTTTTTATTGTCAGCATAGGAAGCATTTTCTTACACATGCAATGGATGGTTCACTTTAGAGGCACATCTGACCACTATGAGAGTTTGTGGGAGGCATCAGTGCACTTGGGTTACAGACAACTGAATAAAGTACAAATACATCATTAGAAAAGCAGAGGGTGTGTGCTCCGGTGACGTTGCAATAAAGCAATTCTTTGGCATACACATGGTATATGTTTATATTGCAAAGTGCAAGGCAATCTCTTTCCAATCTTTTTTTTTTTTTTGAGATGGAGTCTCACTCTGGGGTGCAGTGGGGTGATCTCGGCTCACTGGAACCTCTGCCTCCTGGGCTCAAGCAATTCTCCTGCCTCAACCTCCTGAGTAGCTGTGATTATAGGCACGCGCCACCACCCCTGGCTAATTTTTGTATTTTTAGTAGAGACGGGATTTCACCATGTTAGCCAGCTGGTCTGGAACTCTTGACCTCGTGATCTGCCCACCTCAGCCTCCCAAAGTGCTGGGATTACAGGCATGAACCACCACACCCGGCCCTTTCCAATCATTCTTAATGGCTTATGCCTATCACCATTTCTGGCTTGTTACTAAAGTTGGAGTTTTGAAAGTAAATTACAGTTATTTTGCTCCTCATTCTTGAGCGACAATGGAGACATTCCAGTTCTGAGCTTGCTGGATAGTGCAACAAGCCAGCTGGAGGTTGAATATCTTAAGGACAAAATTTGATATGCATTGTTTACCAACCAGCAAGCCTTTCAGCTCTACAATAAATTGATTTTTTAGTAAGCCATTGAAATCCATCAGATTATCTCCTGCTAGATAATAATGGTCTCCCCCATGTGAAGAGACAGGCTTTCTTTCAGCAGGGCTGCCCAACAGCCATTACTTTAGGAAAATGGAGTTGAGAGACACAAGGATCCTGGATAGGGATGAGGCGAGACACCCACGCTGTGGTGAAGACCAGGTGGCCAAAACCCAATTTGAAAACCCTGATGTGGATGTGTCCTGGGCCTGTTCTCTTGGAGCAGGACCTCCCTGTAGTTTGCATTCTTCTTCTCTCAGCTTGAACCTCTTTCCTCAGCACCTGTGGTTCATATCTGTTGAGCAAGGGGGAAGACATTTGTTGTCTGGGTGATGTTCAAAAACACAACTGTGTTCTTGAGCCAGTTTCTATGTTAAGTACAACCAAGGTCTCACTGGTGACCTTGAACAAAACAGAAGTAACCTTTGTTCTTCTGGCCAGTTCCAAGTCCTCGGAACCTACAGTCACAAGCCACACATTTCTGACCAGGTTTTCCCATGCCTGGAGCCTGTGTGGGCCTTCCCCAGTTCACTGGCAGAGACCTTGCTGTGGTGTTGCAGGATGCACGTGTGAGAGGCGTGCAGGGCGCAGAGCCAGACACGGCTCTAGATCCCAGCCCCAGCATGAGTGTGGTGCAGGCAAGTGACTTAATGTCTTTCCTCCTCATTCTCCTCATCTACAAATAAAGATAGTAATAGGCTGGGCGCGGTGGCTCACGCCTGTAATCCCAGCACTTTGGGAGGCCCAGGTGGGCGGATCACGAGGTCAGGAGATCGAGACCATCCTGGCCAATATGGTGAAACCCTATCTCTACTAAAAATACAAAAATTAGCCAGGCGTGGTGGCACATGCCTGTAATCCCAGCTACTCGGGAGGCTGAGGCAGGAGAATTGCTTGAGCTAGGAAGTCAGAAGTTGCAGTAAGCCGAGATCACGCCACTGCACTCCAGCCTGGCGACAGAGCGAGACTCCATCTCAAAAAAAAAAAAAAAAAAAAAAAAAAAAAAAAAAAAAAAAAGATAGTAATAGAACTCAGAGAGTTGTGGTGGGAACAAATGTGTTAATACAGTTGACCCTTGAACAACCTGGGTTTGAACTACTGGGTCCACTAACAAGTGGATTTTCTTCCTTCTCTGCGACCCAAGACAGAGACAGCAAGACCAACCCCTCATCCTCTTCCTCCTCAGCCCACTCAATGTGAAGATGTTGAGGATGAAGTCCTTTGTGATGATCCACTTCCCCTTAATGAATTGTAATTATATTTTCTCTCCCTTATGCTTTTCTCAGTAACATGTTCTTTTCTCTAGCTTGCTTTATTGTAAATACAGTATATAGGCCGGGCACAGTGGCTCATGCCTGTATTCCCAGCACTTTGGGAGGCCGAGGTGGGTGGACAATTTGAGGCCAGGAGTTCGAGACCAGCCTGGCCAACTTGGTGAAACCCTGCCTTTACTAAAAATACAAAAATTAGCTGGGCATGATGGGGAGTGCCTGCAGTCCCAGCTACTTGGGAGGCTGAGGCAGGAGAATCGCTTAAACTCAGGAGGTGGAGGTTGCAGTGAGCCGAGATCATGTCACTGTACTCCAGCTTGGGCGACAGAGCAAGACTCTGTCTCAAAAAAATAAATAAATAAAATAAAAAAATAAAGAATACGGTATATAATACATATAACATATAAAATATGTGCTAATCAACTGTTTATGTTATCCGTAAGGCTTCTGGTCAACAGCAGCTTATCAGTCGTTAAGTTTTTGAGGAGTTGAAAGTTAGACACGGGTTTTCAGCTGTACAGGGGTCGGTGCCCCCACTTCATGCTGTTCAAGGGTCAGTGGATATATGAAGTGTGTATAGCACACATGGGGCATCTTAAACTGCATTAGCATTCGTATGCCTGTTATTTTCTTCACAGTTGTGGTAGGTGGTGTTATTGGTTTTTTTGTTTGTTTTGTTTTGTTTTGAGACGGAGTTTCGCTCTGTCGCCCAGGCTGGACTGCAGTGGCGTGATCTTGGCTTACTGCAAGCTCCGCCTCCCGGGTTCACGCCATTCTCCTGCCTCAGCCTCCCAAGTAACTGGGACTACAGGCGCCGGCCACCACGCCCGGCTAATTTTTTTTTTTTTGTATTTTTAGTAGAGACAGGGTTTCACCGTGTTCACCAGGATGGCCTCGATCTCCTGACCTCACGTCTGCCTGCCTCGGCCTCCCAAAGTGCTGGGATTACAGGCGTGAGCCACCGCGCCGGGTGGATAGGTGGTATTATTGTTACCAACCTTCCCCCTTTCCTTCCCATGAGACTTTGAAGTTCTTCCACCAGAGGCAGAATGTGCTTCCTCACCATTTGATTTGAGGTTTGACCATGTGACTTGCTTTGGCCAGTCGTGTGTGTTTAAAGGACACATGCCAGTCCTGATCCTAGGCGTCCCGAGGTTAGCATGTTTCCACATGTGCTCGTGAGCTTCAAACCTCATCCACGAGAGCAAGCCCGGGACCTGGCTGCAGGGAGCAGGAGAGACATTGAGGCAGGGAGGCAGGATTGGCCCTACCTGCTGCCCAGAGCCAAGCCCTGCTGGCCAGTGGGCTCCCAGCCAGGCGACGCCCAGGCAGGCACATGCATGTGAGTGAGAATAAATGATTATGTGAAGCAGTGAGTTTGGGGTGGCGTTTTATTTGGCGTAATTGTGGCAGTCGCTGGCAGATACAACAGGAGAGTTAATGGGGTGGAAGTTCATGAACTGCTATGGAGGGACGCAGGAGGGGAAAGAACGGGATACAATTCCCACTGCCCCCTATGGAAACTCGGGTGTGAAAGGGTAGGATGACTAGTCTGAGGTCTGTGATTTGGAGACAGGAAGCTGACTTCAGAAGGTTTGCTCCCTGCCTCCCATGCAAAGCATGGCACCAGGGAATATATAGTTGTTCTGAATGTGCTGAGCATAGTTTCCTCAATGTTTTTCTATCTTGACTTATTCTCCCATCATTTCTCTTAGCAGCACAGAGAGGGCTCTCTCCCTTCAGTCACACCCGGTAGAAACCTTTGCCATTCTCTGCGTGCCAAAGGCTCATGCCACAAACAACTGGTCAGAGTTCAGATCCTGGAAGTGGTGTGTTTCTTTGTGCATGCCATGAATATGTCACAACTTTTCCAAAGCTCTGGGGGCAGCTGAATGATTGAAACTCTTTGATACGATCCTGAGGCCCTCTGGAGTCATGGGCTTGGCGCCTGGGCAGCCCCTGTCCCTGCTGTCCATCAGCTTCTGAATGAGAGAGAGAGCGAGCAAGTGGTGGAAGCAACAAGAGACCTTGGGAATCACAGGATGGCGTGGGGTCGCTCCTGCTCTTGGCTGGCCTGGCCTCATCCACTTCCAGCCTCTTTCCTCAGCAGCTCCTGGGCAGACCTCAAGAAAGCCTTGTTTGAAATGCAGGAAGACCTCAGAAGTGTTTCCTTGCCAAGTTTGGTTGAAGCTATTTTTTTAAATTGCTCTTTTTTTCCAATCTCTTTTTTGTAACAATTTATTTATTTTGATGGGCAGAGCTCATGTATGAGGTCAGTGGATATTTTAGCATATTGTTGTATCACCTGTGAGGATATGAGACCCTTGGAATCTTAATAACAGCATATTAATGATGCATTCAGTCTCTGGGTACCCACACCTGCACTAATCAGTTCTTAGGAGCAGAGACCATGTAGGCTGGAAGGGGTGAAGACACCTTCTAAATCCCCCGTTGTTAGGCTGAGCACGGCAATCCTCACTGTTATGTATCCTACTGTCTTTGCCTTTGAAATAATGCACTGGTATTTTACCTGAGATGGTGGAAATGGTGGTGGAGATGGAGAGAATTCTAGTTAAATGACAGATGCAGGCTTGACTTTGCAGTCTCACAGATGTTTCATTAATTGGCAGTAATGATGCCTGCTCAGAAAAGGGAGTTTGCACCAGGAAGCATTTTCTTAAAATCAGACCATTACCTCAGAATTAGAATGAACAAAGACAGAGTCGGGCAGGTTAGGCCATCCTATCCATGACGACTTCAGTGAAATGGAGCCACATGTAAGCCCATTGTGGGGGTTTCTATGACGGACATGATAAGGAGAAGGTAACTTTCACTGGCAAACAGACCCAGCACTTAAGATCCTCAAAGCAGGATGGAGGAAGCAGGAGCAAAGCTGTCTGCAGAATCACAAAGGTGAGGTCTCATTGCCTTGTCTGGTAGGCTGTCAGCCGCTGTCTGCTAGCCAGGCGCCAGCGTGCACTGTGGCCCCCAATCTACACCCTACCCTGCAGCCAGGGGGTCTTTTCCCAATACAAATAAGATCCTGTTATCCTTCTGTCCCCCACCATCCTCCTGATTAAACCCCTTCAGAGGCTCCCCGTTGCCTGTACCAAAGTCTTCCCTCTGCATGTAACATGCAGTGTGCGCTGACCCCTGCTCTCCACTCCCCTTCACTCTGCATGCTTCTCCTAACCTCCTGTTGAGCCATAGGCTCTAGCTATGCTCCCACGGCCACAGGCCCTTAGCACGTCCTTTCCCTGTGTCTGGATTACACATCTCCATCCCCTTTCCACTGGCACTCTAACTTATCCTTCAGGCACTGGCTCAGTTCTGATGTTACTTAGAGGAGCCACTCAGACCCTCAGGCCAGGTTCCCTGCTGAGAGCACGTACAGCAACACTTGTCCTACATGAATTACACATTTGCTGGTTGGATTACATTTCTTTCCCAGTAAAGTTCTATGAGGAGAGTAAGTGTTTGCTCACCACTGATCGTGTCCCTAGCACCAGGACAGTGGTGACACGTAGCATGCCCTCAGTAAACATCTGCAGAATAAATGGAAAAGGGAGTATAGCCAAAAATGCATTTAGGACGTGTGATTGTAGTCACAGAGGCGCCTGTTCTAGATCAGATCAGATCAGTCACTAGTTATGGCAGGAGAGTGTTTAGTGTGATGGTTTGTAGCCACAGAGGAGGCCCGGGTTCAAATGCCGTCTCGGTAATGCTGTGGCTGCACGCCCTTCGGCAAACTGCACAACCGACCCGTGCCTCAGTTTCCCCATTTGAAAATGGGAACAGTACTGCCTGAATCAGGCTTGGTTTGCATTAGATACCCACATCAGATGCTCAGCCCAGTGCTCCTCTGTGTGTGGTGCTGGTGCTGTTGTTGTGTGTGTCGGGTGTGGTGTGCTGAGCTCCAGGGACTCACCAAGTTTTGAATGAAATAGATCAACTTTGTTGTTACAGAGCAAAGAGGTGTGGGGAGTTGTTTTTGCCCAGAGCCTATGTCTAGACCCTTGAGATGAGTAAAGTGCCACTGAACATTCTGACATTGCTGGTCTTAGGAAGGTGATAAGTAGGGCTGCACCATCATCCCACAGTCTATGGGGTGGCTTCTCCAGGATGCCTGACACTGCCAGTGCCTCCTTCTCCAAGGGAAGAACACCCGACATGGGTGATCTTAAGCGACCGCTTAAGATTGGTTTAGTTCAGTTTGGAGAGCAATTTGATGTGCTGGTTTGATTTTTGGCTCGCTGATTTTTGCCAATATGTAATTCCTACTCAGTTCATACTGACTTATAAAGAAAACCTATCATTCTGTCCATCTGTCTATCCATCCATCTTCCTAACTATCTGGAAAATAAATGAAATGCCTTTGGCTTCTCCTGTCCACAGTACAATGAAAGGATTTGCCCACTCTGGGGTCCGGGGATTTGTTACTGAGTTTTGGCTCCTGTTTCAAGGGGTTTTCTATAATGGAGATAGTTCTGAAATCACCTAAATCAGCACAGCCAGTGTCTGCATTCCCAGGAACAGAGCTCTCCGTGAGCAGAGTTACAGAGCCCAGGGAAAACAGGGTGAAAAAGTGGGGGTGAAGTTTCGGGGCAGTGTGTTGAAGGGAACAACTCTGTTTGAACAGGTAACCATCTGAGACATGTCTTGCACTATTTTTCTTCTGATTGTTCGCTGTCTTTTATAACACCACTGTTAATACTGGAATGAGTGTTCTAATGGGAGGCATGACATGTTAGAAAGATGTGGAAACATATAAAACACCATTTGCAAAAATAACAGAGAAGCCCAGGAGCAGCGCACACAGGCAAAGTAAACAGCAGAGACAGTTTCCAGCTCTGTTAAAAGACTGGCCATTAAAGGGAGCTCAAAGACAAGCCACCACAGGCACCTTATGATAACCCTTCTCCCCGGTTTACAAAACAGAGATCAAACGAGGGAGGTCATGGTTAGAATTACGTATAACAGCCTCTCCATTCGGGTTCCAGTAGAGGAAGTCAAGTGATAGCTAAAGGGATTAGAGCTATTTTTAGTGAAAGCAAAGAAGAAAACCCTTTGGAGTTGCAGATTCCAACGTGAACAATGGTTACTTGGCAGGCGACCTCTGCCCCAGATGGAAGAGAGAGAATACCACAAGCTGACAACTTTATTGGATCCAGATGGGAAGAAGAAACCCCACAATGATATTAACAATAATCTAACAATGAGGACTTGGTAGATGGAGGTGTGACAACACCAGGAGGTCAGGGAGCCTGCCTGAGTGCAGGTCAAAGGCATGTGATTTTCCATGAGGTGACTGTGGTTTATAATAGCGACATCAGGGCGCATTTTTAGTTTTACCAGTCAAGGTATTAGTCCAAAAGCCATAGCCAGTATAGCTTTGTGAAAAGCTATAGCATTTTGCAAAGGGGTAGCTTGGACATTCCCAAGGGCAGATTGTTTGTGGGGGGCACAAATTTCTGGTGGCAGAAATGCTCAGACCAAGGCTGAAAGACCACCATGACCCATCACAGGCAAGGAATCCAGGCAGGGCAGGCACACCCAGGCGACTCCCCAGCTTCAGGAGGGTGCCTGGGGTGCCAAATGGGCCACGGGGCTGCCTCTGAAGCAGAAACTCTTTCAAACTCATTTTCCAGCAAAAGGGGCAGAACTGGGGGTCGGTGGGAATGCTTCTTGGGCTGGAGCTGTGCAGAGGCTGAGAGTTCCTGGGGGACAGAATAAGGCAGCTGCCTGGGCTGTGGCACATTGGTTAGTGCTCACCAAGTGATAAGCAACACCGATCAGCATGGGGTCTGTGTGAAAAGTGCTGGCAAAGCCATCGGGCGCGGTGGCTCACGCCTGTAATCCCAGCACTTTGGGAGGCTGAGGCGGGTGGATCACGAGGTCAGGAGATCGAGACCATCCTGGCTGACACGGTGAAACCCCATCTCTTCTAAACATACAAAAAAGTAGCCGGGCGTGGTGGTGGGCGCCTGTAGTCCCAGCTACTCGGGAGGCTGAGGCAGGAGAATGGCGTGAACCCGGGAGGCGGAGCTTTCAGTGAGCCGAGATGGCGCCACTGCCCTCCAGCCTGGGCGACAGAGAGAGACTCCGTCTCAGAAAAAAAAAAAAAAAAAGTGCTGACAAAGAGGGACTTTCCCTCAGAATGAGTTCTGACATGCGATAGTTCTCCTCCAGACCTGAGGGGTCTGGGGAGAAGACGGCTGGCAGGTATGGGCATCGACAGACGTTGGAAGCGAGGTAAAGAGAGCAGAGGAAAGGACACTGGCCTCGCAGGCAGTGTGTGTCCATTACCAGGTCCCCAGGGCCACAGGGTGTGGAGGGAGCTGTGAACTCACCTGGGCATCCCCCGAGGTCCTTAAAAAGAAGACAGCAGAAGCAGACAAATAGCGGTTAAGAAATCCGAACAAAATCGCTTTCAGGATTGTCTTTCCTGAGAAGAGAATCTGTGAGGCACGATTTTTCACCTTCCACCAGGGATTGAGAAGTGCCCTGCGGGGTTGAGAGCAACCCGGGAGCCAAGCAGGAGTGGAACTTTTAGATGGGCCTTGGCATGTGGCTTACACAAGAGGCCCTTTGGCCTGCACAGAGTTTACACAATTCGAAGGCTTTCTGGAAAACGTGCCTCAGAGCCGTGTGCCCCAGCTTGCTTGTTATATCTGGCAGGCACCGGCTGCTGTGGGTTCCGCACCTAGGGTGCGCCACACCGTCCCCTACTGCCCTTTAGCCTGTATCCAGGGGCAGTGGCTGGAACTCAGGCAGAGGAGCAGAGGCCCAGGCATGCGAAGTGGGGTGCCTGCAGTTAGGGGTTGGGCTGGGAACGCCAATACTAAACGCCTCAATAACCAGCAACTGTGGTTCCCCCGCCCCACTCACTCATGTGCCGCTGCCACAGCACTCCATCTACCTTCCCCAGGGGGAGCAGTGTTACTGTCCTCAGGCATCGTGGCAATTATGTGGACAGCGTCGCTCATTTGTCCAGTGTTCTTGGGGATCCAGGTGCTCAGAAAGGTGGATTTTCCAGATGGTGGACAGTTCCCTTTTGCAGTGTAAAATCTTTAAAAATTACTGTTTTTCAGAAAGTCAAACACTGCATTTCTCAATTGTAAGTGGGAGTTAAACAATGTGTACACATGGACATGGAGAGTGGAATAATAGACACTGGAGACTCCAAAAGGTGGGAGGGGGAGAGGGAAGAGGGATGAGAAATTACCTAAAGGGTATCACACATGCTATTCGGGTGATGGTCACACTAAAAGCCTAGCCTTCGTCACTACACAATAGATCCAGGTAACAAAACTGCACTTGTACCCACTAAATCTATTTTTTAAAAAAGAATTATTGGCTGGGCGTGGTGGCTCACGCATGTAATCCCAGCACTTTGGGAGGCCGAGGTGGGTGGATCACCTGAGGTCAGGAGTTTGAGACCAGCCTGACCAATATGGTGAAACTCAGTCTCTACTAAAAATACAAAAATTACCCGGGCGTGGTGGTGAGTGCCTGTAATCCCAGCTACTCAGCAGGCTGAGGCAGGAGAATCACTTGAACCTGGGAGGTGGAGGTTGCAGTGAGCCGAGATCATGCCACTGCACTCCAGCCTGGGTGACAGAGCGAGACTCCATCTCAAAAAAAAAGAAAAAAAGAATTATCCTAGGATTAAGATAATCACTGTTTTGATGAAACCTTGATAATATGTACAGAATGCTTCTGCGCTCTTAAGCAAAACATACATAGCATGGGTCACCTAGTGATGACTGAGCACTGTCATCATGAATGCCTGCAACAGCGCAGGCTGCGTTAACAGAGGTGCCCTGTGGACGCACAGGACATACAGAACTACTGTCTCCTGCAGTAAAGGATCCCAAACTTCAGTGCCCAAAATACAAATATGACCTAGGAAACAGAAGAATTAGGCAGTTTAAAAAATTGCTCTTTTTCTAATTACAACAGTAATATATGTTCATTGTAGAAAATTTGTATGCACAAAATAATAAAAGAAAAATTAAAATCACTGAGATGAGGTTTAAAATAGCTTTTTGCTGTCAGCCCTAACTGTCATGTTGTTGACGTCAGTAGGTACAACTGTTAAAAGTCAGCCTGGGCACAATGGCTCATACTTGCAATCCCAGAGCTTTGGGAGGCCTAGGTGGGAGGATCTCTTGAGGCTAGGAATTTGAGACCAGCCTGGACAACAAAGTGAGACCCTGTCTCTACAAAAACATCAAATAAAAATCTCTAGCTGGGTGCAGTGTGTATACCTATAGTCCTAGCTACTCAGGAGGCTGAGGCAGGAGAATTGCTTGAGCCCAGGAGTTTGGGGCTGCAGTGAGCCTTGTTTGCCCTATCGCTCTCCAGCTTGGGCAGCAAAGTTAGACCCTATCTCAAAACAAACAAACAAAAACAAACAAACAAAAAACTCTCTTAATTTCTACCTAACAGTCTCTTCTCTCCTTCAAGGTAATGTACCTGCATTTTGTGATCACTGCTTATATTTTTATTTATTTATTTATTTATTTTGAGACGGAGTTTCACTCTTGTTGCTCAGGCTGGAGTGCAATGGCATGATCTCGGCTCACCACAACCTCCACCTCCCGGGTTGAAGCGATTCTCCTGCCTCAGCCTCCTGAGGAGCTGGGATTACAGGCATGCACCACCACGCCCCGCTAATTTTGTATTTTTAGTAGAGACGGGGTTTCTCCATATTGGTCAGGCTGGTCTCGAACTCCCAATCTCAGGTGATAGGCCCGCCTCAGCCTCCCAACGTGCTGGGATTACAGGCGTGAGCCACCATGTCTGGCCCACCTGCTTTTATTTCTGGGTAAAATGGTGTTGTTGGTTTCAAGAAGATAAGCTAGATGTTATCATGAATGTACAAAAACTTCCTTTATACCCTTATTCTATAAAAAGACAAAATATCAATTCAAGTCTGTAAGAAGCTGGTGTAAGTTTGCAAAGAATTACCAGTCTCTTTGAATCTTTTCACGGCTACTGTCGAAAATCTCAAAACTTTGCAGGTAGATTCCTGAACAGAAGATGTTGGGGTTGAAACCACCTTTGCAAAAATTCTAACAGTGAGAAAATTACAGCAGTGAGGGGGTTCTGGTCTAGCCAACTCCCCTCTTGCCTTTAGCCTTCAAGCTTCACCTCTGAAGACTGATGCCTGAACCTGGAGGTGACGTGGCTGGAGACAGGCATGTCCACCAGCAAAGAGGCACCTCAGGGTGTCCACTTCATCCTATGTCCTTCCAGGTGATAGGTAGTGGGAGGCTTGGCCCGGCTGGTTAGGACTGTGGGCCCTAGTCTTGGACGTGTGCACCTGGGGACAAACCTTCACTGGAAGAGGGGAAGAAAATATTAGAACTTTAACTTCATTGTTTATCTAAATATTTTAAATTGATATTCTTTTTTAACTTATTTTATGATTGCAAAAACTATATATATAGCATATAATTGACCATATTAGCCACTGTTAAGTATAGAATTCATTGGGATTAATTACATTCACAATGCTGTGCAGCCATCACCACTCCTTCCAAAATATTTCATCACCCCAGATGGAACCTCTGCCCATTAAGCAGAGACTCCTTATGTCCCCTCTTCCCAGCTGCTGGTAACCGTTCCCTCTATGAATTGATCTCTATGTATTTGACCATTCTAGATAATTTATATACATAGAATCATACAATATTTGTGCTTTTGTGACTGGCTTGTTTCACTTGGGTTTTCAAGGCTTGCACATGTTGTATGTAGTGTGTATTAGAATTTCCTTCCTTTTTAAGGCTGAATAATATTCCATTGTGTGGACATACTGCACTTTGTTTAACTGTTAAACTGTTGATAGACTTTCAGTTGATTTTAGCTTTGTGAATAATGCTGCTCTAATCACTGGGGTATCTGTTTTGAGCATTTGTTTTCAGTTCCTTTGGGTATATATTAAGGAGTGGAGTTTCTATTCTTTTTATGTTTAAAAAGATCTGTTTTTGTGTTTATATATAATGGGTTAGCAGAGTAGTAAAGATATGATTTATAACTTGACGTACATATTTTGGGGAGCCAAAAATATTTTCTGGAAAAAGTCCATTATAAAAAACAAGGACATAGGGCGGGTGCGGTGGCTCACGCCTGTAATCCCAGCACTTTGGGAGGCTGAGGCTGGCAGATCACGAGGTCAGGAGATCAAGAGCATCCTGGCTAACACGGTGAAACCCCGTCTCTACTAAAAATTAGCCGGTTGTGGTGGTGGGCGCCTGTAGTCCCAGCTACTCGGGAGGCTGAGGCAGGAGAATGGCGTGAACCCGGGAGGCAGAGCTTGCAGTGAGCCGAGATCACGCCACTGCACTCTAGCCTGGGCAACAGAGCGAGACTCCGTCTCGAAAAAAAAAAAAAAAGAAAAAAAATTACATCAATAGGTTAGAGCTTCACATAGAGATTCTGGCAGCCACATGGTTAATTCCTAGATTTCTAGTTTTTCACAGAGATGGGGGACGACGTGTCCCATTTGGCCTGGGACAGTCCCAGCTGATGTCCTCATCCTGGTGTAATTGTTAGTAGTCCCCTTCATCCTCACCAAGGCCTGCCCTCCCTGGGGGAGCAGAAACGCTTGCAGTTCAGAGCAGGTGGGAAGAGACAGCAAGAGGAATTGGCTCAGCACCACCACAGAAAAGCAGCTCAGAAAGATCCAGTGCATGGAAGACAGCACATTTTATATTTAAAATTTTAATTTTGTTTATTCTAGAGAAAGGGTCTCACTCTGTCACCCAGGCTGGAGTGCAGTGGCATGATTGTAGGTCACCTGAGCTCCTGGGCTCAACAATCTTCCTGCTTCAGCCTCCAGAGTAGCTGGGACTATAGGCTCATACCACCATGCCTAGCTTTTTTTTTTTTTAAGAGATGGGGTCTTGCTATGTTGCTCAGGCTGGTCCTGAACTCCTAGGCTCAAGCGATCTTCCTGCTTCTGCCTCCCAAAGTGCTGGGACAATAGATAAGAGCCATCACACCTGGACAGCGCATTATTTTAATGGCCACCGTTTTTGCTTTTAGAAGAGTGTGTCTGAGGTATTGCCTGTCCCTTGGGCCCCTCTTCCCTCTGAAGCAAGGGGACCAAAGGCTGGCTATGCAGTCATGAGCTCCCAGCTCTAAGGTGAGGAAGCACCGTTAGTGTAGGATACACTGGATATGTCATGTATTCAAGTGGGGAAAGCAGCAGCCCAGACTGTGCCCCTCACATCCTGATTGCTCGGCACCCTCTAGGTGGGGAAAAAGCTCAAAATGATCTTTTAGAAACAGCTGCTCCTCTCAGTCTTATTTCCACACTTGCCAATTCAGAGCTGCCAAATACTTCTTAAAAATCATTAGAAGTGGCCGGGTGCAGTGGCTCACGCCTGTAATCCCAGCACTTTGGGAGGCCAAGGTGGTGGATCACGAGGTCACCATTCTGGCTAATGTGGTGAAACCCCGTCTCTACTAAAAATACAAAAAATTAGCCAGGCATGGTGGTGGGCGTCTCAAAAAATAAAAAAGAACCTCTGAAGACATTGGCCGGGTGTGGTGGCTCACACCTGTAATTGCAGCACTCTGGGAGGCCAAAGTGGGCAGATCACTTGAGGTCAGGATTTTAAAACCAGCTTGGTGCGTGGTGAAATCCCATCTCTACTAGAAATACAAAAATTAGTTGAGCGTGGTGGTTCGCACCTGTAATAGCAGCTACTTGGGAGGCTGAGGCAGGAGAATCACTAGAATCCTGGAGGCGGAGGTTGCAGTGAGCCAAGATTTGCACCACTGCACTCCAGCCTGGGCAACAGAGTGAGGCTCTGTCTCAAAAAAAAAAAAAAAAAAAAAACAAGGACCTCTGAAGACTTCTTGAAGGAGGGTGGGTCTCCTGGGGGACTAGCCTCATCTTGGAGGCATTGCAGAGGTCTCCTGGGCCCAGCCAGACCCCAGACATCTTGTTCCTTTGTGGAGTCTTCAAGGGAAGAGCTTTTGAAGCCATAAGGAAAGACTGGATTTTGAAGACAAAAGTAACTTTCCTCTTTTGAAGGCAGCATGGAGCCAAGGAAGCCTGTGGAGCCTGACATGAAGGCACAGGCTCTGAGCCTGGCATGTCCATCCACCCTCTGTTTATGATACCCTGGGCAGGGCCTAAGCCCTCCTGGGCCTCAGCTCCCCTCCTGTAAGTGGTGACAGACCTCACAGGGTTATTGGGCACTGACGTGGACAAAGTATCTGGAAGGAAGCAGTGCTGCGTAAGCGTCGTTATGACTATGGGGACTCAGCAGGACCTAGGCCAGGAGCAAGACCTAGAGTTGATGAGGGCCTGGGCTCCAGGAGTGGGCGGGGTGGGTGGGCGGCAGCTCTGCAGCCTGGCATGCTGGCCTCCCCGCCATGCGTCTTCCTTCTCCCTGCAGGCTCTGAGTCCCTGCCAGTCCCCTACTTCTGTCTCTCCCAGAGCTGCTACTCACAGATCCATCCTCAGAGGGAGCACTGGGCTCTGCCAGTTAATGCATGTGTCCTGCTGAGGCAGGGAAGAGCTCAAGGCTTTCCTGGTACTGTTTAAAAACATACTGGCAGGGTGAGGTGGCTCACGCCTGTAATTCCAGCACACTGGGGGGCCAAGACAGGCAGACATCTTGAGCCCAGGAGTTTGAGACCAACCTGGGCAACATGGTGAAACCCTGTCTCTACAAAAAATGCAAAAAATTACCTGGGCCAGGTGACATACACCTGTAGTCTCCACTACTCAGGAGGCTGAGGTGGGTGGATCACCTGAACCCAGGACGTTGAGGCTGCAGTGAGCCATGATCATGCCACTGCACTCCACTCTGGGTGACAGAGTGAGACCCTGTCTCAAAAGAAATAAATAAAATAAAAACATATTGTTCGATTTTAAATGCTAAACCATAATTGACACCTGAGCCTCAGGGCTAATGGAAAGTACAAAGTGCATGCTGGGCCACGGCCCTTACCTCCACTGAAGGAAGAGCCTTACACCAAGAAGGTAGGCCCTGCTGCTGCACCCTGGCTTCCCCGTTGCTGGGAGGCCTGTCTCCACACGCCACCCTCAGGCCCTCCTGCACAGTGGCTCATGGTGGCTGACACACTGTATTTGAGGGTGACAGTCCTTGCATCAACATCTGGACAGTGCTGAATGCTGTTTCAATCTCCTCTGCTGTGCCCTAAGCATCCGATCCCAACAGCCCTCACTTAGAGGAGTGCTCTGACCTATTCCACAGGCCCTCCGAGGGTGGCAGACATGCACCCAAATGAGTAGCTTAAGTCAGTAGGCCCGGTTCTTGCCCTTCCCCCACACATATCTTGCCCCTCCTACACCTTGACCCTGGACCTAAAGCAGCAGAACAGAGCTTAGAGGTCATCGGGTCTAAGCCCCACTCCTGTCTTCCAGAGCAGCCTCACACTCTCAGGATCTGTGTGGCTGTCAGGGACTGTGAGGGCCAACTGAGAATGCATGTGTGAATCTGGCTGTCACGACTTTAGTTGTGATTGTTTATTTATTTATTTGTTTGTTTATTTATTTATTTATTTAGTAGAGACAGGATTTTGCCATATTGCCCAGGCTGGTCTCAAACTCCTGGGCTCAAGCAATCTTCCCACCTCAGCCTCCTAAAGTGCTGGGATTACAGGCGTGAGGCACTGTGCCCGGCCTATGTGATTGTTTATTTCTTTAGCCCTCACCTCATTCTAAACTACAAAAATAAATAAAATAAATAAATAAATAAATAAGGTTTAAGGCAAGATTATTGTTATTACTGTTAATAGGACACCTGGGCCCTTTCCTCCTTCATGTCAACACTGAGTCTATGGAGTCCCTCCCCATCCCAGCCCCCATTCACCCCCATGGCCGCAGCTGCTGGGTTCTGCCTTGGCCACTCCTCCAAGTTCCTTCCATAAAGCTAGTAAAGCATCCAGGAGAGGGATGATGAGGGACCATGTGTAAATGGGAGAAACTTCATTAGGGTAAGGAAGGCATGGGAATCTGGAGGTGGGAAACCATGATGTGGCTGACACTGATGCCTGAAGTTATTGAAGGGTGCCTCAGCCCTCCTGGGAAGCAGCAGCTCAGTGTGTGTCTGTCCGTTTCCAAGGGAAAACCTGGTCCTCTCAATGAGGGGAAAGAGGAGATTCTGCAGCATGTGTGTCCCTGCCGGGCAAACTTTACAGCATCAGGCTCCAAAAGTAGAGCAGGGTGACCCTGGGGAGCCCTCCCTCCTTCCTCGGCCTGGGATGCCTGCCTGCTGCCTGTGCTGTCTCCTCTGTTCCCCTCTCCTTTCCTGGCTGGAACAGCTGCAGGACAGGGCCCCCCGGCAGCCATCATCCAGCCTTTCATCTCTATCCTTGTCTCCAGCCTTGCCAGCAACTTAAGCCTAATCATTGCACAATGAAAGGCTGTTTCTCTCAAATGGATGCAGACATCCTTAGCCTTCAGGGGCAGCCTCTTATTTTGCTCACAGATAAGGCTGTTTATTTTAAAGAAATACTATACTAATAACCCTCTTGACTTGACAAGGATCCTGGTTGCTATCTCTGTATTGATGGATTGATTGATTCATTCATTCAGTAAGCATTTACTGAGTGCCAGTTCGAGTGTGTGGGTGAGTCTTAGATTTACTGCCTCCTTGACATCATTCTTTAGAAAGAATTCTTTGACTCTAACTTTTGTTTGCTACCTCAGAATGTTCTGCCTATGCAAAGAACAGTTTCAAATCAACCTGGATTCGAGAGCTCATGAAACTGATCCTCAGCCTTCATTTTCAGCCTTTTCCTCAATCCTCCCCTGCACAGCCAGCTGGCTCAGCACTCTCCCCAGCAGGCCATGCGCTCAAGTGCTTTACCTTCAACATTTTCCCACTGAAGACCCAGCCTTCTCCTCTAGCCAAATTATGGTATGCTACGTAAAATTCCTTAGAATTCTATTTTAAGTGAATTTCACGTAAGTAAAGCCCATTGTTAATGTCATTGGAAAGGTTATTTTTAAATGAAGAGGTGTGCCATACCCTGCCAAATGTGATAATGTGTATAGTAGCACCTAGCACAGTGCCTGGTGCATTCTGGATAGACAGTAAATATGACCTGAATGAATGAAAGAATGGGCCTCACTGTCTGATGGGATGAGGCTCCCTGAGAAGGAGTGGGGAGTGGTGGCCTCTTTGAGGATGACCAGCAGGCTGTTAAGCAGAAGGCTCCTTCTAGAATTGTACTTTCCTGAGTACCTAGGACCAGCTTGGGGCCCCTCAGGCATCTGAATTTTTGGACCACTTTGGTTTATATAACCCACTTCTTATCCAGGTTCTGTCTCTTGACAGTTTTTGTTGTTGTTGTTGTTGTTTGTTTGTTTTCTAGGTCTCACTATGTTGCCCAGGCTGGTCTTGAACTCCTGGGCTCAAGCAGTCCTTCTGCCTCGGCCTCCAGAGTAGCTGGGACCACAGGTGCACCACACCCGACTTTGGCAGTTTTTTAACATCTCCCAAGTCTTTATTTTCTTGGTAAAATGGTTTAATAATTGGTATATATACTCATAACTAGTACACAGACTAACACAGTGTGCATGTATACCACCATCAGTGTCATCTGCACCTTTTGTCTCACTGACTCATGGTAAGACACGGAGCGCTCCACGAGGGGACGCCATGTGTGGAGATGCTGGAGTCTAAGGGTATTGTGATTGGGCAATGGTAAGAACTCCGGGTCCCTAAGTCCATTCCTGCTGCTACAACAAAACACCTTAGAGAGTAATTTATAAATAGCCATTTCCTTTTCACCGTGCTGGAGGCTGGAAGTCCACCATCAAGGTGTCAGCAGTGAGGGGGGCCTGTTCCTCACAGATGGGGGCTTCTTGATGGGTGCTGGCTGACTCAGCACAGATGGGGGCTCTGATGTGGCAGGGGTGGGGTAGAGACGGGAACGCTCTGCAGAAGGAGCGGAAGGGAGGAAACAGCTTCCTCCAGCCTTCTTATAAGGTTATCAGCCCCGTTCCCCTTACGACGGAATCACTTCCCTGGAGGCCCCCTCTTACTACTGTTGCACCGGGGACTGGGCTTCAATCAGTAGCAGCAGGGGATGCGCGCTCAGACCCAGCAGTCGGCTCTGCCCGCCTCGCCGGGCTGCACCGAGTCCGCGGGTCTCTAGCGCACGGCCTGGCCCCACGTGCGGCGAGGAGGGCGCAGTGAAGTTCTGCTGTGTGCACCCCCTGCAGCTCGGCCGGGAAGCGCCCGCTGGAGGAACGGAGAGCGCCGCTTCAGCGTCGGCCACGTGGGCCGGGCTCTGCCGGTGGCAACCTGGACGCGCTGCGGGCGCCGGCGAGACCTGCGCCAACGCCTACCTCCGGGCCACAGGCGGGATAAAGCTGCCCCACTTTGCCCCCAGCGAAGAGAACCCTCCTTCCTCTAAGTATTTTCTTCAGCAACTAAGCTTTTCTGTTTGCTCAATTTCTTGTCCCGTGAGCGCTACCACCCACCCCCCGCCACCTTCTTCCCCTCCCCCCACATCCGTTCACTCTCTTTGACCTTTTGCCAAAACTCTGAACGCTCGCTGCCCTCCCTCCCATTTCCTCACCGCGTTTCAGGAGCTGTAAGTTCTTGGTGTTCAAACCCCCTACGGTTACGTAAACAGAACTCTGCAGTTATCTTCTTTCCCTTTCTTCGGAGCTTTGTTTTCAAGTTCATTAGAGACTTCCTGTGGGTGTAATTACCGCTCTGCAGTTTTGAGCGCTGCCCACCTTCCCCCTGTTTTGTTAAAAATGTCATAGATCTTTGGAGATTTCTTTCACTTCTAAAGTTATTACCTGTCTGCCTGCACATCAATCTTGTTGATTTTATTTCAGGGCATTTTCCGGAGTGAACTTCTGCATAGCGATTTTTTTTGTCCCTCCCCACCCCCTCTTTGTTTTGCAGGAAGGTGAAATAAGACAGAAGAAAAGGGTTAGAACTTTAGAACTCCAGGACCCAACCTCAGTCCTTTCAAGCACCGTCTGCAAACAGATGCTGTGCTAGACTCAGCACCCTGTCTGGTGAAACTGCTCCTTGGGGTGACATCGGTCGAATGTGTGAGAGGCTTCAGCGGATGCCCTGACTTTTACACCATGGAAGGGCTTTCTCCTCACTCTCCATTCTTCATCCCACTCCATCCATGCGCTTTCTCCCCTCCCCATGGGGTGGGGTGGGGGAGTCTTTCCTCCAGCTGAGAGCAGAGGCCTTGGCCAACTAGATGTGTCTTCTGGGATTTCACAGTCGGGCCACCTCTCACCTCTTGCACAGGCTGGTGGGTTAAATGAAACTCCTGTAGCAACTCACAGAGCATTTGATTTAAAGCTAAGATTTATAGGAACTCACAAGTCAGAATGGAACAATAATTTCCCTCCGGTTGCACTGCCACTACTGAGGAGCAATCGCCTAATTCCACACAGAGTTTGCTGATTCTGTGGGCCTAACAGAGAACTCCAGATGGGCAACTAGGAGCTAAGAAGTGCATCCTATGTCACCAGGAGCTAATTTTCCCTGGATTTTCAAAGAGGCCTCATATTTGACCCATGTCATGGCAGGGTGAAATATAAGTCCTTCCTGAACCCTTGGAAGCTGAACGTTGTGGACATCAGCCATGGGAAATACATTTCCTTTAAACTGATCACCAGGCCTTAGTATGATCCATGCCTTGAGTGGACAGAGACCTTTCATGTTTGGTCATTACTCAGCCAGACACTTCTCTGAGAGGTGATGACTTCCCTAGGAAGGAATAACAAAGCCCCTTTCAGGCTGTTGATGGGCCCTGTCCACTTTAATTTTGCATTCAGCCTCGCTCATTTCTGTGAGCTGAGATTTTGATTATTCTGATTTCCACGACTCCTTTTGTGAAACAGAGACACTGAGGTGAATGCACGGGCCCAGTCCCCTCCTTTTTGAGTGTGCCCTCGGAAGCAGAGGCAGGTGGTGTTGCCGAAACACCCAGGTTCTGTCTAGGTCCTGCCGCTCCCTGCACAGAAAGCCAATCACAGAGATGACAAGTATTGCCAAGGAAGAAGGCTTTAATCAGGTGCTGTAGCTGAGAAGATGGGAGCCCAGTCTCAAATCCATCTCCCCATCCACCTAAAACTAGGGGTTTATACACCAGGGAAGAAAGATAACAGTGTGTAAGAAAACAGGAACTACGGAGGGGCAAGGAAGCAGTCACAATGTAGGGTATCTCATTGTCTGGATGTGTTGATCTGGTGAGTTTCCCTTCTTTGATGATACTTTTTTTTTGAGAGGCGGTGGCTCATGCCTGTAATCCCAGCACTTTGGGAGGCTGAGGCGGGTGGATCATTTGAGGTCAGGAGTTCGAGACCAGCCTGGCCAACATGGTGAAACCCCGTCTCTACTAAAAATACAAAAAAAATGAGCCAGGTGTGGTGGCGGGCACCTGTAGTCCCAGCAATTCGGGAGGCTGAGGCACGAGAATTGCTTGAACCCAGGAGGCAGAGGCTGCAGTGAGCCGAGATTGCACCACTGCACTTCAGCCTGGCGACAGAGGGAGACCCTGACTCCAAAAAAAAAAAAAAAGGTAAGGTTCAGCCAGGTGTGTTGGCTGACGCCTGTAATCCCAGCACTTTGGGAGGCCAGGTGGGTGGATCACGAGGATCACAAGGTCAAGAGATGGAGAACATCCTGGCAAACATGGTGAAACCCCATCTCTACTAAAAATACAAAAAATTAGCCGGGTGTGGTGGCAGGCACCTATAGTCCCAGCTACTCGGGAGGCTGAGGCAGGAGAATATCACTTGAACCCGGGAGGTGGAGGTTGGAGTGAGCCAAGAGTGTGCCACTGCACTCCAGCCTGGAGACACAGTGAGACTCCATCTCAAAAAAAAAAAAAAAAAAAAAAAAAAGGAAGGTTCAAACTTTAGAACCAGAAGGGTCAATTTCTACGTTTATCCAAAAAACTATTTATGGGACTATTGGGTCAATTTCAGTGGGAGGCCCCAGGGCCATGCCCCAGAGGAAGAGACTGGCGTTTAGGGAATGAAAGCACAGGGAAGTGAGGAACGTGGAGTATTGCAGAGCCAAGCTGAGGGGCTATGGCAAGAGAGGCGAAGAAGAAAGACAAAGCAGCAAGCCAGCAGGCAGAGGGAGGCACAGTGAGGCAAAAGCTGGTTCTGGAGCCACCATGTAAGCAAATTCAGCTCCTTTTACACCTGGCTCAGGCCACTTCATGGAGCTAAGGTGGGGCCGGGTGCCCCATCTTCATCATCCTGTACTCCTAGATTCATTGCAAATAGTTTGTTCTGAGTTTTAGGGCCTTCTGGGATGAATGAGGGGGGTGGTACCCCATTCTTTGCCCACCATAAGCAGCAGAGAAGGCCTCCTCAAAAACCCTGGGGGCTTAGGTAAAACCCCTCTCCTGTACAGAGCACACTGTGAGTGTTCAATAACCAGTCATGGTTAGATTATCCAAAAGATTATCCAAAAGCCCATGCAGGAGGAGAGGGTATGAAAAGGGCATGGGAAATATTACAGAGAAGTGAGGGGGCACATTTAAAGAAAAAAGAAAAGGAGACAAGAATGGGGCTTAGGTAGGTCTGACACTTGGTGGGGGCCATTAGCCAGAGGACCCAGTGCTGGAGAGCTATCCCTGGTTTGTGAGGAGTTACTGGTTAGATAACCTCCCTAGATTGGACTATCCAGAAGGATCAGCATGGTACACGTATGTTTTTTGTAAGATATTGTAAGACATCATTTGTTAGATGTCAGATCAAAAAGTAGTTTGTACCAAGTCAGGGCTCCCAACCTTCTCAAGTGTGATGGCCATCTTATTTCTTGCCTGTTAACTCTTTTTAATAGTGAAATATGACAAACAGAGGAAAGTGCATTAAAACCTGAGTGTTGACTGCTGGTTCCCCCAAGATGGAGAGTCCCATTCCTCCCAGACACTCCCTCTTACAGGTAAAATATCTGGACATAACACAACAGACAGCAGAAGAAGACTCTGAAAGCTGGAGGAAGGAAGAAAAAAAGCCTAGGGACCTCAGACCTTGAAGAATGACAGGTGTGAGTCCTTGGATTTCCTTATCACCCCCCACCCCACCCCGCCCTTACCCTGGATGAGGCACTGCAGAAGCCTCCAACCAGAAACCACCAGCAGGCACAGACAAGCTCTAAGAAAGGCCTGGTCCCCCCTGGTCAAAGCACAGAGGAAAGGCTGGCCTGACAACAAAAGGAAACCTTTTTGGCAATACCCACCCTATCCCAGCAAAAGTCTAGTGGGCCTAACAGAACCTTCTAGCCCCACCTGTAGCCTCTGCTCTGCAGAAGCTGATTGAGTGCTTGAACTCTCTGGCCTAGTAGGGTGAGCACTCGAGCTGGGAGCTAATCCTCTGTTCCCTTGGCAGGGCAAACCCAAATGGGTAAACACAAAAAAAATAATTAAACTTCTTAACATCATAAACACCCAAAACTACAAACAAAGGAGAAAATATTGAAAGAACCAGAGAGAAATGAAGCATTATTCATGAGGAATATTTGTTTGAATGACAGTGGATTTCTCATCTTGAAACCATGGAGGCCAAAAGGAAGAGGCACAACATTTTTCAAGTTGAAGATAGAACTTAGAATCACAAATCCAATAGCCACTGAAAACGCCCTTCAGGAATGAAGGAGAAATCAGACATTCTCAGATGAAAGAAAACTTAAGAGAACTTATTGCCAACCTAGAAGAAATGTGCTAATGTCAAGAAAGCTACAAACTACCAAACTCAACGAGGATGATAGAGACAACCTGAATAGTTCCATAGCTGCTACAGAAATTAAAGTTATAAGCAAACGGCTCACAAAAAAGAAATCTTCAGATGAAAATACTTTAAGGAGTATTAATACCAATTTTACACACTCTATCTCAGAAAGTAAAAGAAAGAACGTTTCCTGGCTCATTGTATAAGGCTAGTATTACCCTGATACCAAAATCAGGAAAATGCAGTACAGAAAAGAAAGTTATAGACCACTATCTCTATAAATTTAGACACAAAATTTATCAACAAAATTTTGTAAACCTAATACAGCATCGTATATAAAAAATTATATACACCATGATGAAGTGGGATTTATTCCATATATGCAAGTTTGGTTCAATATTCCAGAATCAGTCAATGTAATTTACTCTGTTAACCAGGTAAAGAATAAAAATGATTATATCATTTGATGCAGAAAAAAAGATTAACACAATCCTATGCCCATTCACGGTAAAAAGTCTCAGCAGACTAGGAATGGCGGGGAGTGGTGGGGACAATCCTAAGTTGAGAAAGAGCATCTATTTAAAAACCTAGGCTGGGCACAGTAGCTCATGCCTGTAGTCCCAACACTTTGAGAGGCTGAGATGGGCGGATTGCTTGAGCCCAGAAGTTCAAAACTAGCCTGGGCAACATGGCAAAACCCCGTCTCTTCAAAAAATACAAAAATCAGGCTGGGCAAGGTGGCTCACACTTGTAATCCCAACACTTTGGGAGGTGGAGGTGGGCAGATCACTTGAGGTCAGGAGTTTCAGACCAGCCTGGCCAACATGGTGAGACCTCGTCTCTAACAAACAATACAAAAATTAGCTGGGCATGGTGGTGTGCACCTGTAGTCCCAGCTACTTGGGAGGCTGAGGTGGGTGGGAGAATTGCTTGAACCCTGGAGGTGGAGGTTGCAGTGAGCCAAGATCATGCTGCTGCACTCTAGCCTGTGTGACAGAGTGAGACCCTGTCTCAAAACAAAACAAAACAAAAAAACAAAAATTAGCCAGAAAGGGTGGTGTGCCTGTGGTCCCAGCTACTCGGGAGGCTGAGGCAGGAGGATCACCTGATCCTGGAAGTTCAGGGCTGCAGTGAACCATAATTGTGCCACTGCACTCCAGTCTGGGTGACAGAGCAAGACCATGTCTCAAAAAAAAAAAAAAAAAAAAAAGAACCAAATACTTAATGGAGAAAGATGGAATGCTTTCTCCCTAAGATTGGGAAAGAGACAAGCAATCTGTTCTCACCACTCTAATTCAACATAGTGCTAGAAATTCTGACCACTGAAATAAGACAAGAAAGAGAGATAAAAAGCACAAAGATTAGAAGGAAAGAAATAAAACTGCCCTTATTTGTCAAAGACCTGGTTGTCTACTTAGAAAATCCCAAGGAATTTACAAATAACTCCTAGAATTAATGTAAAGTCGGCAAGGTAGCAGGGTACAATAGCAATACAGAAAAATAAATGTCATTTCTATATATTAACAATGAACATTTCAAAACTAGCATTAATAACACAATACCATTTATGACAGTTCCAAAGAAAATTATATACTTGGGCATGAATATAACAAAATATGTACAACATTTGCACGCTAAAATTATAAAATGCTTTTGAAAGAAATAAAAGAGGATTTAGCTAAGTAAATCCAACCAAGTTCATGAGTTGGGTGACTGAACTTCCTAAGGATGTCAATTCTCTCCAGATTGATTAATAAGTTTAATACAATTACTCTTAAAATCCCAGCAAGGTGCTTTGTAGACATAGACAATCTTATCCCAAATTTACATGGAAAGGCACAAGTCCTGGAATAGCTTAACCAAACTGGATAAAGAATAAAGTAGGAGGAGCCAGTCTATCTCACTGTGTAGCTACAGTAATCAAGGGAGTGTGGTATGGGCAGAGAGATAGACATGTAGACAAATGTGGCAGAACAGAAAACCCAGAAACAGACCCACACAAACATGCTCGACTGATTTTTATCAAAGGTGAAAAACAATTCAATAGAGAAGGATAGCCTTTTCAATAAACAGTTCTGGAGAAATTGGACATCCATAGGCAAAAATGAACCTTGACTTGTCTCAAACCATATACAAATATTAGCTCAAAATGGATCACAGACTTAAACCTAAAAGATATATGAATTGAACCTCAGCAAAATAAAAAACTTTTGCTCTGGCCAAGTGTGGTGGCTCACCCTGTAATCCCAGCACTTTGGGAGGCCGAGGAGGGTAGATTGCTTAAGCCTGGGAGTGCAAGACCAGCCTTAGCAACATGATAAAACCCCATCCTGTCAAAAATACAAAAACTAGCCAGTCATAACCCGGTCTCTAAATAAATAAATATATTAAAATTAAAAATAAATTTAAAACCCCAAATTTTGCCCCGTGAAAGACCTTATGAAGAAGACCTAAAGGCAAGCTACAGACTGAAAGAAAATGTTTGCAAACCACATAGCTGACAAAAGACTGGAATCTAGAATAAAGAACTTTCGAAATTCAAGAACATGTACATGTATTTCTTTTGGGAAAATACTAAGGAGTGGGATTACTGGGTTATAGCTTAAGACAATCCTTAACTGATTTCCAAAGTAGCACCAGTAACTTTCATGTTAACTAGCAGCATACGAAAGCTCCTGTTTCTCCACATTCTAGTAGTTTACATGATTTGTCTTTTTAATTTTAGACATTCTGGTGTAAGTGTAGTGGTATCTCTTTGTAGTTTTAATTTGCATTTTTCCATTATTAAAGAGGTTGAATGTGATGGTAAACTATGTGTCCAATTGGCTAGGCTATGGTATCCAGTTGTTTGGTCAAACACTAGTCCAGACGTTGCTGTGAAATTGTTTTTCAGATGTGATTAACATCTAAATCAGTAGACTTTGAGTAAAGCAACTTACCCTCCATTAGGCAAGCAGAATCCAATCCAATCAATGGAAGACTTTAAAAGCAAAGACTGAGATCACTGAAGGAGAAGGAATTCAGCCTCTAGACAGACTTTGGACTCAGGCCTGAAACATCAACCCTCCCCTGGGTCTCCAGCCTGCTGGTCTTTCTTGTGGATTTCAGACTTGTCAGTTTCCACGAAGGTGTGAGCCAATTCTAAAATAAATCTCTCTCTTACACACATCCTATTGGTTCTGTTTCTCCAGCAAGCCCTAATACTTCAATGTCTTTTAAGATTTTTTTTTTTTGAGACGGAGTCTTGCTCTGTCGCCCAGGCTGGAGTGCAGCAGCGCGATCTCAGTTCACTGCAGCCTCCACCTCCTGGGTTCAAGCAATTCTCCTGGCTCGGCCTCCCGAGTAGCTGGGACTACAGGTGCATGCCACCACGCACAGCTAATTTTTGTATTTTTAGTAGAGTCAGGGTTTTACCATGTTGGCCAGGATGGTCTCGATCTCTTGACCTCGTGATCTGCCCACCTCGGCCTCCCAAAGTGCTGGGATTACAGGCGTGAGCCACTGTGCCCGGCCTTCAGATGTTTTTTGGCCATACAGATTTCTTCTTTTGTTAAGTACCTATTCCATTATTCTCCCTTTTTTCTTTTTCTTTTAAAATTTATCTTATTTATGAATTTATTTATTTTTAGTTAATTATTTTTAACCTCAAGCCACAATATGCTTTGAGCTTTTTTTCTATTTGTTATGTGTATCTTTTTTGTAATAACTTGTAGGCATTTAAAATATATTCTGTGTATGATCTCTATGCAGTGATACATTTTACAAATGTATTCCCTTGCAGCTTGCCTTTTCACTCTCCCAATGGTATCATTTAATAAATTAAAGTTCATAATTTTAATATGGTCTAATTTGTCAGTCTTTCCTTAAGTTAGTGCTTTTTGTATTCCTAACCCAGAAACATAAAGTTATTTTTCTATCTATATCACTTTTTAAAGGCTTTACTACTTTTTTCTATCACAGCTAGCTCTATAATGCACCTGGAATTAATTTTTCTGTATGGCATGAAGTGGGGGTCACGTTTCACCTCTTTCCCCATATGGATATTTAATTGTTCCAGTACAATTTATTGAAAAGAGCATTCTTGCCCACCTTATTCTACATCTTTTTCATAAATCAAGTGTCTGTATATTCATGATGTGTTTCTGGGGTCTCCATTCTGTTCCATTGGCTTTATTTTTCTATTCTTGAACTAATAATACACTGACTTCATTACTTTCAGCTTTATATGAAGCCTTGATATCCAATAGAATAAACTCTCCCACCTTGTTCATTTTTCTTTTTTTGAAGAGTGCTCGACTCTGCTGGACAATTTGTACTTTTATATAAATTTTAGAATACTTTGGAAAAGTACACACACACAGAAAATCTATTGGAATTTTTTGTTGGAATTGCATTAAATCTAGATTAATTTAAGGAGAATTGACATCTGTGTAATATTAAAATTTCCAATCCACAGATGTGATATCTCTTTGCATTTGTTTAGTTCTTTAATTTTCTCACTAGTGACTTAACTTTCTGTCTGGAAGTCTCACACATTTCTTGTTAGATTCATTCGTATTTTCTTGATGCTATGTCAAAACCTTTCCTATTATACCTCTTGATCTCAAATTTTAATTAAATTTAATCTTCTAAAAGATAGGCCAGGCGCGGTGGCCCACACCTGTAATCCCAGCACTTTGGGAGGCCGAGGCAGGTGGATCACAAGGTCAGGAGATCGAGACCATCCTAGCTAACACAGTGAAACCCCGTATCTACTAAAAATACAAAAAAATTAGCCAGGCGTGGTGGTGGGTGCCTGTAGTCCCAGCTACTCGGGAGGCTGAGGCAGGAGAATGGCGTGGACCCAGGAGGCGGAGCTTGCTGTGAGCGGAGATTGCGCCACTGCACTCCAGCCTGGGCGACAGAGCTAGACTCCGTCTCAAAAATAAAATAAAAATAATAAAAAAAGATATACTTTTAATCTCAAATTTCTTTTTTTGGTTGTTTACTGGTATATATAATGCAATTGGTTTTTAAAATATTGACTTCTATATATCCAGCAACGTTGCTAAACACAGTTATTCATCTTAATAGTTTATCTGTATATTCTTTTGCATTTTCTACTTATACGAGTATAGCATTCAAAGATAATGGTAGTTTCTTCCCCCTGCTCTCTTATTTATTGTTGCTTTACTGCACTGCCTAAGACCTCCAGGACAATGTTGAATAGGGACACTGATAGACAACATCCTTGTCATGATCCCTATTTCAAAAGGAAAACTTTCCACATTTCACTCTTAAGTGTGATATTCACTAGAGATCTTCTTGTAGTTACCCTTTATTTGATTAGCATGTTATTTCTATTTCTAGGTTGCTAAGAGTTTTAAAAATATATAATTAACGGATGTTAATTTTTTTTTTTTTTTGAGACGGAGTCTCACTCTGTCACCCAGGCTGCAGTGCAGTGGCTCGATCTTGGCTCACTGCAACCTTTGCCTCTGGTTTCAAGCAATTCTCCTGCCTCAGCCTCCCGAGGAGCTCGGACTACAGGTGCCCGCCACCATGCCCGGCTTTTTTTTTTTTTTTTTTTTTTTTTTGGTATTTTTACTAGAGACAGGGTTTCACCATGTTGGTCAGGTTGGTCTCGAACTCCAGACCTCAAATGATCTGCCCACCTCGGCCTCCCAAAGTGCTGGGTTTACAGGTGTGAGCCAACCCGCCCGGCCTGATGGATGTTAAATTTTATCAAAAGTTTTTTCTGCATGTATTGAGTCATTTATATTATATGTTCTCCTTTATTCTGTTAATGTGGTGAATTACAATGTTTGTTTTGTAATGTTAAACAAATTTTGCATTGTTAGAATAAACATAAATTACTTATGATACGTTTTTATCTATAGTTGGATTCAGTTTGATTATAGGTAGTTTGGGGTTTCCACATCTATATTCATGAGAGAAATTAGCTACTTATCTTACTTTCTCATAAGGTCCTGGTCTAGTTTTGGTATCAAGTTTAAGCTTTCTTCATTAAATAAGTCACTTCTTTTCCTAGTCTCAGAGCATTGCACTCAGGAAGTCAGTCACTTTGTTCCAGCACACTGAAGATAGCATTTTACTTATTCCAGATTTCATAATTCTGTTGAGCAGTTTTATTTTAAGTAACTGAATGCAATCTATGTTCTATCTCTGGCTGTTTTAAGATATTTATGTTTGACTTTTTTTCCTGCAGTTTTATTATTGATGTATGTATTTGTATTTATCTTGTTTCGGATTTGAATGTGTGGATTGACATCTTTGATCAGTTCTCCCTTATCACTAGGTCTCATCCCAAACTCAGGGGGTTTGCCAGGTCCAATCCTTGTAAGGTACTGAGTCCAGTGCTTTTCTCTCTAACCCCGAGAGGCTGTCAAAAACACCATTAGTCTATCATCCATCCTTTTCATTTTAGCCAGAGCAAGAACAGTTCTAAAGGCCAAACTCCCTAACTTTGATGTTCTCCTGGGTCTTAGCCTTATAATTCTTGTCTATGTTGTTAGCTCTCCAAGTCCCTCAAACAGATTTAAAAAATAGTTTATTGTATTTTCTGGATGTCCCAGGAGGGAAGATTGGTTCTAATCATCTAGTCCACATCTAGTCCACATAAATGGAAATCCTAATAACCATTGTGATCATAAGTTTACACTACCTTTAGAATTCATTGACTATGAAACTATCCAATGGTCTTATTCTACTGAATTTTATGAATGTTAAAAATGAATTTCTAATGTATTATTTGTATGTAATAACTACACACATATTTGAAAAATAGTAGTTTCTATGCAAGTGCTTGAGACACAAAGAGAATCAGGAACTACTAGTAATAACTGTCCCGAATTCTGTGGTCCACATAGTAAGTAAATATTTCTGAGTAAAGAAATGAAAGGACCATCATTTTATTACAATTCAACCAACATTTATGAAGCCCCAGCAGGAACGGCCACTACAAAAGTAAATAAGGTGAAGTTTTGCCCACAAGCATCTACAGGAGCCCTGAAACGGGTTATGTAACCAGAAGGGGATAGGGTGAGAAGCCTTCTGAATTAAGGAATAGCCAGAAACAACTTACCTTTAGTGCGTCATTTGTACGTAAATTTTGATTTCTTCATTACTTTACGAAATTACCTCTGACTTACAGTAAAATCCCATGTTTGCATAAGAGCTCTTTAGTAGGGAAGATGATTTTATAACATGAACTTTTTTTTTTTTTGAGACGGAGTCTTCTTCTGTCCCCCAGGCTGGAGTGCAGTGGCGCCATCTCAGCTCACTGCAACCTCCGCCTCCCAGGATCAAGCGATTCTCCTGTCTCAGCCTCCCGAGTAGCTGGGACTACAGGCGCAAGCCATCATGCCAGGCTAATTTTTGTATTTTTCAGGGTTTTACTATGTTGGCCAGGCTGATCTCGAACTCCTGACCTCAGGAGAGCTGACTGTCTCAGCCTCCCAGAGTGCTGGAATTACAGGCGTGAGCCACCGTGCCTGGCCCGAATGTATTTTTAAGCAATCACAAGCATAGTTATTTAAATGTTACCTGAAGCCTGGTAGAGAAGACACACATCAGGAGACAAAAATGAATGGGTCCTTGATCCAGTTGGAAGACTGTCAAGAGACTGGAACATCATGTTGAAGAAGTTGGATTTTATCTTCTAGTTAATATCTACCTGTGTATAAGCTAAGGCATGCTTTAGAAAGGTGGTTGGAAAGATGGAAATAATTTGGGGGAACAGCCTCAAGCTGGCCCCCTGGTTAGGAAGCTTCTCTGGTTGTGGGGTCCAGTGGTACTGGAGGCCTGGGAGGGCAGGGCAGCAGGGATGGTGAGGCCAGGCTGGCGTGGATGATGGAGAGGCATTTTTGGGCAGGATCCCCACACAACAGGTTGCCTGATTAATAAAAGGCATAATCAAAAGGAAGAAATCAGAAGTGGTTTTTAACTGTAGTAAAGAAAATTCCAACTGTGCTTAGAAGACCTTTATATAATTAAAAACATAGAATTATTCTATCCCTAAATAAATAATGAAGGGGAGAAACCCCATGACATTATATCTCATTATTGTTTAATTAGAATAGAAATTTTAAAAAATAAAAGTAATACCGGGCGCGGTGGCTCACTCCTGTAATCCCAGCACTTTGGGAGGCCGAGGCAGGCGGATCATGAGGTCAAGAGATTGAGACCGTCCTGGCCAACACGGTGAAACCCCATCTCTACTAAAAAAAATACAAAAAATTAGCTGGGTATGGTGGCGGACACCTGTAGTCCCAGCTACTCGGGAGGCTCAGGCAGGAGAATGGCGTGAACCTGGGAGGCAGAGCTTGCAGTGAACCGAGATGGCGCCACTGCACTGCAGCCTGGACGATAGAGCGAGACTCTGTCGCAAAAAATAAATAAATAAATAAATAAAAATAATGAGATAAACACCAATTTCAATAAAAAATATTTATGGAATTGTCCTTATCTGACTCATTCTGTTAAAATTTTACATCACCACAAAGCTATAGAGTGGTAGAATCTAAACTAATAGGGTTTACTGTGCTGTCTTTATTCATCCCCACTCCAGCTTTTAAGTATCTGTGTGGAGCTAGGGGAGAGAGACTGGCTGGAGAAAATAGTGTGTTTGACTCCAAGTCTGTTCAACTCGTGTTGGGGCATTTTTAGTGCAGTGAAGGCACATTCTTTATCTGAAAAGCAGGGCTTTAATGTTTTAATGATGAGCATCCCCAGAATATTTTTGTCATGTAAAAGAGGTGATTTCTTATGTACAAGTAAGTGATTCTACTAAAGTCTTCGTAAGGATTATTACAGGAAAAGGATTTACTGTAATAGGCCTGAGAAAACCATGGGAATAGTTCCAGCAGGAGTTTTTATTCCAAAAGTTTATCTGCCCTGTGACCACCTTAATACTCTCAGAAGATCTGAGGGCAGAGGGAGTTGGAGAAATCTTTTGCATGAACCTCTGATTTATAGTCTTGTTCTAAGTGCAGGGACATCTGAGGAGGCTCCAGGGAGGGCACATTGATACCTGCCTGGAAAGAGTCGAAGGTGTTGAAGAAGGACAAAGAGGGTATTCTAGAAGAGGAGGAGTGGGAGGTCGGAGGAGGTAGGTGGAGGGCTGCCTCTTGGTGATGTTCAAGGTATGCTGTTGAAATACAGATAGGTCACAAAACACTATTTCATATTCAACAGGGATTATATCTTGCAAATAATACATTTATTGTTTGTTCAGTGTTTCACTGTAACCCTTTTCCCGTAAGAGCTGGGCCCAGAGGACTGTTAGCCCAGCGAGGAAGGGCTTTAATGTCACAGAATCAAAGTCTGGTTTTCCACAAGCCACAGTGAAGAGACTGGAGGGTTAGGACAGCGACCGCTCCCTCATGGGGAAAGGAGCTAACAACGATCTGATATAAAGGAGGTGCAAGCAAACAGAGACCCTGATAGAAACCCCAGGACCACGTGTAAGGGGACTCAAGACTCAGCTCATCTGCCAGGTGCCCTTCCCGAACATAAGGGTGGCGCTTGGCCTGGTGACCCAGTGCTGCCACTTCCCGGGACTGGGGTTCCTGTGTGTGTTTACTTTTAACTTTTTATTACCTTGGCGGAAAGAGGGGAGGAGGAAGAAGGAAGGGAGGAGGAAGAAACACTCCTGAACACACAATTACCTCCAAAGAGAGAGTGCTCACCTGAAAGGGACTTTTCCAGAACAACCATGTGCTGTATCCGTCTCCAGTGGCAGCTTTAAGCATCCTCCTCCTGCCTTTGACAGGGGTGTGGGGCTCTGGACAAGATGAGCACAGTTTTAGGAAATAAAACATCTACACGTCTTGCAGGCCTCAGTCCTTAAATGTGTGTATATTAATTTATATTTTAAAAAAATCCAAGGCCGGGCATGGTGTCTCACACCTGTAATCCCAGCACTTTGGGAGGCCGAGGTGGGCAGATCACGAGGTCAGGAGATTGAGACCATCCTGGCTAACAGGGTGAAACCCCGTCTCTACTAAAAATACAAAAAATTAGCCGGGTGTGGTGGCGGGCGCCTGTAGTCCCAGCTACTCGGGAGGCTGAGGCAGAAGAATTGCTTGAACCCGGGAGGCGAAGGTTGCAGTGACCCAAGATTGTGCCACTGCACTCCAGCCTGGGCGACAGTGCAAGACTCTGTCTAAAAAAAAAAAAAAGAAAAAAAATCTGAAAGGATTTTGGTTTTGGTGGTGAGATCTGGGTAACTGCTTTTTTTTTTTTAAACTTACTTTTTTTCTTTTCTTTTCTTTTCTTTTTTTTTTTTGAGATGGAGTTTCACTCTTGTTGCCCAGGCTGGAGTGCAATGGCATGGTCTCGGCTCACTGCAACCTCCACCTCCCAGGTTCAAGCGATTCTCCTGCCTCAGCCTCCCAGGTAGCTGGGATTAGAGGTGCCCGCCACCACACCCGGCTAAATTTGTATTTTGGCCAGGCTAGTCTCAAACTCCTGACCTCAAGTGATCCACCTGCCTTGGCCTCCCAAAGTGCTGGGATTACAGGCGTGAGCCACCTGCCCGGTCATGTATAGCATTTTATTGTTCAAAACAAAACTAACTATAAGGCTGTCCACTTGAACAGACTGGAGACAGACATAGCACCGTGCCCTTGGTCCCTTCCTGCCTCCTCTGGGCTCCTGTGGTGTTATGTCTGGACCACAGGACCTCTTAGGAGCCAAGGTCCTGAGTGGACTGCACAGCTGACAGTGGAGAGGGGAGCAGGAAAAGTAAGGCAGTGACCCCAACCCCTGCCGGCTGGGGAGAAGGAAGCCTGCCCCACAGTCCTCACCAGTCCTCTTGGTTCTGTCAGCAACCCTGCTCATCCTCCTGGCTGCACCCGGCCTGCCCTGCCCTGCCCTGCAGTGCCAGAGACTGGACGTGGGTGGCAGCCTTATGCACTGCCAGTGGGAAGTCCTCCCACCGAGAACCCAGCTCCTCCTTCAGCTCTCCCTGGTGCTCCTCTGGCAGCAAAATCCTTGCTTCCTGCCCTATGCCACTTGGCCCAGCCCTGCTCCCCTCAACAGAGCCCTGCTCCCCTGGGCCTCAACACAGCCCTGCTCCCATTGCTTCCCCAATTCTTGGCAGAGGTCCTAGTCCCCCACTGCTGTGCAACAGCTAGTGATTAGGTAATGCAGAGCCACTCTTCCTAGAGGTCACAGGGGACTTTTGTTTCATGTTAGCAGGGGACTCTTGATGACTCAGTGAGGTACAAGAAACTAACACATCTTAAACCTCTGTGCACTCTGCACTCAGTTCCCATGCATGGGGATCTGCCACCTCAGCCTAATAGGATGGGCTTATTGCCCCCGGATTACAAGCAGAGAAACTGAGGGCTCAAAGAAAAACAAACAAACAAACAAACAAACAAAGTGGACCGGGCACGTTGGCTCATGCCTGTAATCCCAGCACTTTGGGAGGCAAAGGTGGGTGGATCACTTGAAGTCAGGAATTTGAGACCAGCCTGGCCAACATGGTGAAACCCCATCTCTACTAAAACATACAAAAATTAGCTGAGCGTGGTGGCAGGCACCTGTAATCCCAGCTACTTGGGAGCCTGAGGCACAAGAATTGCTTGAACCTGGGAGGTGGAGGTGTAGTGAGCTGAGATTGCGCCATTGCGCTCCAGCCTGGGCAACAGAGCGAGACTCCATCTCAAAAACAAAAAAACAAAATCCAAACTGAAAACAAAACCTTTACCTCAAATCACATAGTGAGGACGTGGCAGGGCTAGAACTGGATTCCAGCTTTTTAGGTGCTTCTCCACAGCTGTTCCCTTGCAAGCAAACTAGGCTGGCCTGTGGCCCCTCTGCCCACCTTGACTCTAGTGGGTGGGAGTGGAGACAAAGCTAAATGTACTCCTCCTGCCGTTACTTCTGAGGACACGCATCATCCCAATCAGCTGTTAATAGCCACTGAAGTGTGACAGAACTTTATAGCTTTCTAAACGTCGGATAATTTGCATGGAGAAAAACTAATTTGATAAAATACTTAGAAATTCTGTGTGATCTAATTTTTCTAAGCACTCAGGCCATTACTTTTGTCTGTAAATGTAATTGCTGCAGCTGAATATTTTTGCTCTTTCTTGCTACGTGATTTATTTTCTTACTTTTTAGGGTTTAATCATATCTTTGGCATTAAATATTAGCCTCAGACTCTCTCCCAAAAGACATAACTTATAATACCATGGGGACATTAAATTTAATCATCTTTGGCAATTATTTGATGCTATCCTGGAAAATTAGCTTAGGGTAGCTGCAAACATGTGGAGTTTTGAGTCTTTATCTACATTATATTCATGATAAAACAGGAGCTGAGACCCCACCATGCAACCTATTGACCTTTCCTGGGTCACCATAACAATATCTCCTGTACTGAGTCTCCATCACAGTAATTGAATTGCAGGGAGTGCACATGAAGCCTCCAAAATCTATGCTTCAGTGTCTGCTCTTTTGAGACCATTCATATTTCTCTTTTAATTATTATAAAAAGTAAAATCAATCTTTTTTTGGAATGGGAACCTCTTGAGGCTGCTGTTCTATATTCCACAGACATCCCTATGGCCCCTGACAGCCTCCTCCTAAAGTAAGCCCATACCTTCACTTTTCATGTGGGTTGGAGATGGAATAAAGAAGTTGACATTTTTAGAGCAGGAGCAAGAGGTCCATCTCATAAATTATATACTTCTGTATCTAGACCATGAAAACACAGCTGAAGAGAGTTAATGAACCTGAAAAATGAGAATTGTGTTTTCTCAATCTTAGAAGAAATCCCACCTCTAGATTGGTATGATGTTTCTCATTTCTGAACAGTTCACAGTCTTCTCTCTGTCTCCTTTTTAAAGAGTCTTTATGTTTACAACTATTAAATGTGCTCTTTGTGAATAAGATGGGGAAGAAAGAAAACAGTTTTGAAGTATCCGGAAGGCAAGAATTTCAAACAATGATATTTTTCAGTAGAGCTATCCTAGGAGACCATGGTGAGGAGGAGGCTGTATTTTCTTGCTGAGCTAATTACAGGAAGGTCCTGGAGTTGTTGGAACAGGGAGTTTACACTTCATCCTCCGCTGGGTCCTGCTGATGCAGGCTGCAGAGAGGGCAGTACGTTGAATTAAGAGAAGGCCAAGGGAGATGCCTTCTTTCTCTCCGTCTTGTCTTCCTTCCCGCACTTGCCTCTTCTCTCCCTAGCACTATTTTGCTAAACATGCCCCTGGGAGGCGTGTTAGGTGTATTTTTACTGTATATTATCTTTATAGCAGCCAATTGTCTCAGCTCAGAGGCATTTACGGCGAGCACTTCTCTGCTTGTCCTGTTCAGAGAAACCTTTCAAAGAGATGACCCCTCACCCCTCTGAAGAAGCTCCCCTTGTGTGTAATTGCACCAAGGAGCAGGCATGGCCAGGCTTATTTCAGAGGATGCTTCTCTTGGTATCCAAGGACAGAGGTGGGCCTGAGGCCCTCTTTCTTCTGATTTAACAAGCACTATGGGATCTGATTAAATTGCTTTTCACATTTATTTCTATCAATGTTGTTGGACTTTCATTATCCAGGCCCTCACTTTGAAAAATTGCCTCCCTTATCTGTCAAGCTTTTATGAAACATGGGGATTTATGGAGTGTTTCAATAAAATCTTTGGATCACACTAGTGCAAAAATGTTGCCAGAAAAACATCATCAGAACTTCAGGTTTTCCCGTTCGGGGCTATTCTTCATTTGCTCAGAATAAACAACCAAATCAAGACCATAGGGCTGACCGACACATCTGGTCAGAGTAAATGCTTGTCTCCTCTGGGTTCTGTCAGCTGCTGGCTGTGTCCACACCACCGTGAGCGTGTATTTGTGTGTGGAAGTGTGTGTTACACGTTTGAGCAGTCCTACTGGTGGCCACTAGCTTGCCACTGTGTCTCTTGGGCCCTCTTAAGATATGGTAAGTCTAAATTGAGATGTGCTGTAAATATAAAATACACACTGGATTTCAAAGATTAAGTATGAAAAAACTGTATAATATCTCAATTGTTTGTATAATTGATTGCATGTTGGAATAATGTCACTTTGGATATAATGGCCTAAATAAAACATATTCTTTGAATTAATTTTACCTGTTTCTTTTTACTTTTTTTTTTTAAACAGGGTCTTTCTGTGTCACCTAGGCTAGAGTACAGTGGTGCAATCATAGCTCACTGCAGCCTCAAACTCCTGGGCTCAAGTAATCCTCCCACCTCAGCCTCCTAAATAGCTGGGATCACAGGCGCAAGCCACCACACCAGGCGAATTTTTTAATTTTTGTAGAGATGGGGGGTCTCATGAGGTTGCCCAGGCTGGTTTCAAACTCCTGGCCTCAAGTAATCCTCCTGTCTCGGCCTCCCATAGTGCTGGGATTACAGGTGTGAGCCACCATGTCCAGCCTTTTTTACTTTTTAATGCGATTACTAGAAAGTTTAAAATTACACATGTGGCTCATATTTCTACTGGACAGCTGGCACACCCACTGCCTAAAACCTCAATTTTAAGAGTCTGTGCATCTGTACTTTCTCTCCAGGCACCTAACACTTAACTGTAAATATCATTTTGGGTCCAGATGAATCCAGTATGGCGTCTTACAATACTAGAAAATGTTATTTAGATGTTCTTAAATGTTTTTAAAGAGACAACAAAAGGATTATTATATAATTATTAAATAATTGCATCCACACTACAAAAGGGGACCACGTATAGTGTACTATGTATTTAGGAGATGTGTAATATATATAAACGTATAATTACAGAGGAGATGGGCTTAGTTTTAGTATCAACTTCCCATCCCTCCTCACTAAACATCTGATGATTTAGCCAGGTAGGAGTAAACCCAGCTTCCTCTGCCCCAGTTCTCCTGTCATTGGTCTCTCCAGTGCCCACACTGTTTTTATCCCATACCATTCTGCTCTGAAATGCATGCTTCCTTATATCAGAATTTTGGACACCAATCGCAGAGCTAGCTCTCAGTCTATCTGTCTTACTCAGTTGAAGGATTCAAAATAGAACATCTTCAACAAATTTATGTAACTATGCTTGCAACGGCATAGGCTCTAAGGAGGTTAACTTTGCCTACCCTGCTGTCTGCAGAAGGCTTTTGTACCTTTCTTGTCTGTTCTGAGTTGCTGTGTCACAAGAAGTCTCACAGCTCATCCTGGCTTTTTTGTCTGTGTTTCACTGTGAAGTTTCACCCCCTGCCCCATGGTCCCAAACAGTTGATCAAAATGTTTAGCCAATAAAAACAGTTCTTTTCCTGGAAGGGAATTTCTCCACCTCCTTATACCCATTTAAGGGGCTTCAAACCCCATACTCACATGCAAGCGGTATAGAGTCGTCCGCAATGTGCAGAAGCATGCAGAATGTGTATTTTCAAAGTTTCTTGGGTCAAACCAATAGTTGGCATAAGTGAGCCTTAGAAATAATAAACCAAGAGGGAGAGGGGTAGTTACATTAAAGAGTGTTTTGTTTCTTTTTTTCAAATTTCAAAAAAAGAAAGAAAAGAAGGAAAAAGGGCATTTGGCTGGCTAAGACAGCAATGTCTCTCTGCTTTTGTTATAATTGCTTAAGAAAATGTTTAGATTTTTCTAAGTTCTTTTTTTTTTTTTTGAGACAGAGTCTCGCTCTGTCGCCCAGGCTGGAGTGCAGTGGCACGGTCTTGGCTCACTGCAATATCTGCCTCCCAGGTTCACGCCATTCTCCTACCTCAGCATCCCGAGTAGCTGGGACTACAGGCGCCCACCACCATGCCCAGCTAATTTTTTGTATTTTTAGTAGAGACCGGGTTTCACCGTGTTAGCCAGGATGGTCTCGATCTCCTGACCTGGTGATCCGCCCGCCTCGGCCTCCCAAAGTGCTGGGATTACAGGCGTGAGCCACCACGCCTGGACTAGCCCATACTACCTTCTAACAGATTATGCAGCCCCTTGCAAATAATTGGTGTTTAACAAATGTATCCAATAGGTAAATAACAGAATGAAAGAAGGCATGTATATCCACTTCTTCATCATTTCACTGTTCAACTGTATTCACTATCAGTAATCCCAGTTTTGAACAGTCATCTCTAGCACTGGTTTTCTGATGCTCCAAGAATTCTCCAGTCATCCTAAGAAATGTCAGAAAGTCCTTCAAATTTAAGCTTCATTCATTTCAATAAAAATAAACGCAGATGGTACAATTTATAGAAAGGGGGGCGTATTGCAACATTATGCCTATATATTAATAGCATAGGTAGCTATATCAGTTTCTTAAGCCTGGGCTCAGCATATTACATTTATACTTTTGGGAAATCACAATTTATATTTCTTGGTGTAAGCTTTGCCTCAACATCGTCTGATTTTCGAAAGCAGCAAACAAACCAATTCTTAATTCTAAATGTCTTCTGGGGCAAATATGGTAAAAGGCAAACATTCCAAAAATTTATTTTAGAGGCATTTCAAAATACGAAATGCCTAGTGTCCTCGTAGTTTCTGTTGCACACGAGCAACAAAGCTGAGGAAGCCCAGCTAATTTTTGTATTTTTAGTAGAGACGGGGTTTCACCATGTTGGCCAGGCTAGTCTCAAACTCCTGACCCCAAGTGATCCTCCCGCCTTGGCCTCCCAAAGTGCTGGGATTACAGGTGTGAGCCACCCGGCCCGGCCTGTCTTAATTATAATTAAATAACAACAGTGGAATGGGAGAATCCTTGGGAAAGCAGGGGTGTATTGGTCAAAGCTATTACTAGAGGAAACTCTCACATTAACCCCTAGATTCCCTAAGACATTTCTCTATGTTTGTCCTTAAGCCAACCATCATTCCATGTCAGAGCTCGCCTCAGATGGGCATGGGGCGTCCCTTCCCCTGTTGAGTCTCCTCACCTACCTCTTCTCCTGGTCCAAATTTACAGACAGCAGAACTCTGCCAGGGTGAGGCCTTTCTCTGGAGGGTGAGGGCGCTGTGGTCCATCTTTGCTGTGAGTGGACCCCAGTATCCTCCAGGTACTGGATCTCCAGGCCTCAGGCTGGTACACCTCATCTGTCTGCACAAATCCCCTCCAGCAACATCTGCACTTCCAAGGTTTGTTGTGTTCAGACTCCCCTGCCCAAGAGAGGGTGTGAGAGGGCGAAACACTCGGGCAAGAGAGACGAAAATGACATTTTGCCAAAGCAGGAGCATGCAGGATGGTTCTCCCTTTTTCTTGCTTGTAGTTCTCGCAAATAACTGGAATGTGCCAGGCCTGCAGCATCCTGAGAGAGAGGAATGGCCTGGACAGCTGGGGTTCTGCCCCAGTCCCCCATAGAAACAGAACATCCAGCTTATCATGTTCCTCCCGGGTTATAAAGGCAGGGCAGACTGCTTTTCAGGCATCCTCAGCTGGAGCGCAAGTGGAGCCCTTTCAGACCAGACTTTCTCTGCTCCAGCAGCTTTCTCGAGCCTTGGGAGACTGGAGACTGGCTGGTGATGAGTCCTAGGCTTTGTTGTCCCTGACTGCCTGTCTGTAAGTAATAAACCTGCTTCATGTCACTTGCTGCATATGAGTATGCTGTCTCACCAGAATCAGACAGGTTGGAAACCAGTGCTCAGCGAACCTGCTTCCTAGGCTGCTGCTCTATAAACAGGGGTAAGGACTCCATTCGTCAGGGGCGTGAGCCATTTCTCCGGCTTGAAGTCTGAAAAGCATGTCCCTCTCCCACCCCCTCCCCCATCAAGTTCCCTTTCTGAGCATCATCCATCTGCCTGGCACCGGCTCACAGGCCCCACCACCCCACTGCCAGCGCAGTCCAGAGGGCACCAGGGGCATTGTCTTTCCAGGCTCTGGGGCCAGTTCAAGGGAATCCTGCCATCACCAAGAGACCAGGTGCTGCATCTTTCAGGGTTATGGGGCTGAGGCGGAGGCCACTGTACTACCTGGGCGGCTCTGCAAGGCGTGTTCATGGTGTGGGGTCTCAGCATGCCCAGCCTGGCACATCCATCTATGTGCCATGCTCCAAGTCAGTCCCTGCTCCCATTACAGTCTGGGGCAAGAGGCAGGGTTGCCAGGGTAAAAACCCCTTCCCTCGTTAACAGACCTCCCTGGAGCCCCTGCTTTTCACAGAGACAATCTGGCATCAGACGTGGTCTATGCAAGAGGAGCTTCAAAAGGAAAGAGGTGCCCATCCCTGCTCTCCCCAGGGCATCCTGGGCTCCTATACAGATTTGCCTGCTCCTTGATAACATCTTTGTTTTTTTAAATTGGAGTATAATTTACATAAAATAAGACACACAGATCTTAAGAGTTTGGTGAGTTGGCTGGGCGCGGTGGCTCACGCCTGTAATCCCAGCATTTTGGGAGGCCGAGGTGGGCAGATCACGAGGTCAAGAGATTGAGACCATCCTAGCCAACATGGTGAAATCCCTTCTAAAAATACAAATATTAGCTGGGCATGGTGGCATGCACCTGTAGTCCCAGCTCCTTGGGAGGCTGAGGCAGGGGAATTGCTTGAACTAGGGAGGTGGAGGTTGCAGTGAGCCAAGATCGAACCACTGCACTGCAGCCTGGCAACAGTGAGACTCCGTCTCAAAAAAAAAAAAAAAAAAGAGTTTGGCAAGCCAAGTTTGGACAAATGTATACACCTGTGTCACCTCCACGCCAGTCAAGACGTGGAGCGTTCCCATCACCAGTATGTTCCCTTGTCCCTTCCCTGCCCTGGCCCCCTCTCCAGTTTCTATCACCATAGCTTAGTTTAGCCTATTGTAGAAGTCATGCACATGGGACAGGCAATAGGGTCTCTCGAGGTTCACCATGTTGCTCTGTGTCTCAGCAGTCCTTTTTATTGCTAAGTAGGATTCGCTGGCATGTACACATCCTGATTTTTTTTTCTGTTCATCCATTGATGAAATAATTCTGGACTCTTTCCAGTTTTTTGCCCTTGCTATGAATAAAGCTGCTATGAGCATTCTTGTAGTCTCCTCTGTGTAGGCATGTGGTAGCATTTCTTGATGGTTTTAACTTGCATTTTCACGATGACTAATGATATTAGCACCTTTTCATGTGTTTATTAGCCATTCATATATATTCTTTTCTGAAGTGTCTGTTCAAATCTTGTGCCCCTTTTAAAGAATTGGGTTGCTTGTTTTACTATTATTAAAATGAAGACACTTCTTGGTCAGCTATATGTATCGTTAATAGTCTCTTCCAGTATATTCCAGTATATGTGTATATGTCTTGCCTTTTCTATTTTTTCTTTTCTTTTTTTTTTTTTTTGAGACAGTCTCACTCTGTCACCCAGGCTGGAATGAAGTGGCACAATCTCGGCTCATTGCAACTTCCGCCTCCAGAATTCAAGCGATTCTTCTGCCTCAGCCTCTCGAGTAGCAGGACTACAGGTGCATGCCACCGTGTCCGGCTAATTTTCTTTTCTTTTCTTTTCTTTTCTTTTTTGTATTTTAGTAGAGACAGGGTTTCACCATATTGGCCAGGCTGGTCTCGAACTGCTGACCTAGCGATCCATCTGCCTCGACCTCCCAAAGTGCTGGGATTAAAGGCGTGAGCCACCACGCCCAGCGGCCTTTTCATTTTCTTACAAGTCTTCCTGGTATCTGTCGTAATGTCTTTTCAGGAATCCTTGTGACAGCTCTAACATTTTTTTTTTTTTTTTTTTTGAGATGAGTCTCACTCTGTCACCTAGGCTGGAGTGCAGTGGCGCGATCTTGGCTCACTGCAACCTCTGCCTCCTGGGTTCAAGCAATTCTCTGCTTCAGCCTCCCGAGTAGCTGGGATTACAGGTACCCCCCAGCACGCCCAGCTAATTTTCGCATTTTTAGTAAAGACAGGGTTTCACCATCTTGGCCAGGCTGGTCTTGAACTCCTGATCTCGTGATCCACCCGCCTCAGCCTCCCAAAGTGCTGGGATTACAGGCGTGAGCCACTGAGCCCAGCCAACAGCTCTAGTATTATCTGTTATGATTATTTTGCTGTTGCTCAGAATTTACTCAATGGTGGCACCTTAAAACAGGGGCTTTGGGTTCTATTCTGTTTTTAGGGGGTGGGGGAAGACAGGGTCTTGCTCTGGGTCTTGTTCTCTTCACCCAGGCTGGAGTGCAGTGGTGCAATGTCATAGCTCACTGTGATCTTGAACTCCTGAGCCAAAGTGGTCCTCCTGCCTCAGCCTGTGGAGTAACTAGGTCTAGAGATGCAGGCCACCATGCCTCACTAACTTTTGAATTTTTTTGTAGAGACGGGAGTCTCATTATGCTGCTTAGGCTAGATTCGAAGTTCTGGCATTAAGTGTTCCTCCCGTCTCGGCCTCCCAAAGTGCTGGGATTACAGGCATGAACCACCACACCTGGCCAGCTTATAGTCTTTAGATCTCTTCTTCCCACCCTATGGGCAGAACTCAAAGCATCCTCCTGATTGACAGCATTTGTTGATTGATGGATTGGCTCTTCTACTACCTCTGCAGCCAAATTAACTGTTCTTTCCTCTGTTTCCTATTGGATTATAAGATGGCTTTTCGAGGATTTAGGATTAAGTACAGTCTTCTAAAGATAATTGGTTCTTAGAAGTTGATGTCAGTTCTTTTGGTAAGTTCTTTGATGTAAGCCCCATAAGAGTGAAGGTGTGGTTCAACACTGGTCTCCTGCACTCTGTGCTGAGCACAGTGCCTGACACACAGTAGGTACCTGTGAGATAGCCCTTGGAAGCACTGAGTGAATATGCTGTAGGAACAGTTGTACATGGTCCTCCCAAGACCAAAGTGAAGGCTCACAGTCAAGCTGTAACATGGTTAACAGAGTTCAATATTATTCCTGAAGTTGCTGGTAGGAGGCAGGTGCCTGGGAGAGACAGAAAATTGCAATGTTCCTGTTTTTCAGTCTCTTGGGTTTAATCTATCTCTCATCTTTGATTAGAAATCAAGCATTTCCTCATGTGTCTTTGATATTACCCAGTTATCTTTTGAAATGAGTTTTTGAATACCTAGGGTTTCTGGGGTTTTAGGCAAGAAATTTGCAGATGTTCATTTCTGATCCTACAATATTCACTTGAGAATGTCATTATGCATAATAAGATCTAATTAGTCCTCTTAATCTTCAGTGTCCCCCATAAATCCACGGCTTTCATACTTTAAACTGAAGCCATTTATTTTTCAAGAAAGGGGTCATAGTGTTAAGTTGATCTATGGTCTATTTGAATTATGTAAAGAGAAACTGGATTTTCATATTTCCAGTGATGTAAATGACAATGTGATATCTCAGATTATTTCCAATGGGTCTTAGTGACGGATGACAGCTCTGTCCTTGACTCTGACATTTACGGCAGGTAGGATTATTGTCATCTAATAAATATGATGTACCTGAGAGCAGCGAGCAGATTGCGGAGTCGAAGGGCAAAGCCATCTTCAGATTTCTATAGTGTCTCTCTGTCTTTCTCATGGAACTCTGTGGAGAGTCACTTACAGTAGTGGGGCTTGGGCCATTTGTGGCCAGTAAACTGTGGAAGGAGTAGAGATAACATCAAACCTTGGTCTTTCTGAGCCTCCGATTAGCTGTGTTCTGTTTCTAAGTAGAATGCATCTGACGGTGGGGAGAGGTGCAGGCTGAGGGGCCTGGCTCTGCAGGATGAGCAAAGCACCCCACCTCTTCCTTCGCCCCGCCCCGGGACAAAGAAGAGACACCTGCCTCACTGAGTGCCAGCTTGCGGTGGTTACTCATCTCTGTGTGTTTTCTCCTGCCTGGGTCTGCCTGGCTGGCTCCTGGTTTGGCCCCAGCATGGTTCCACTTCTAACCAGGAGGGAGATGATAACGATCAGCTCAGTAGTCGCTCATTATGCTGATTAAGCGCTTATGTGGCAAGGAGGGGCCTTTGTGGCTGCGGAGGGGCAGGAGCAGAATCTATCCTGCCCACATTTACAGTTTGCAGGTCTCACAGGAACAGGGGTCACTGGGAGTTGCCACAGCTCACCTGTGTGCTGGCAGTGGAAGCCACGAGGTCCATCCTGCCAGTGATGCCCGTGGGCTCGCACTGTCCCTGGCAGGTGGGGACGGTCACAGAAAACCCCATCTGCATGCAGGTTGAGCAGCTTTCTGCTCCAGCCCCTTCTCTCTCAGTGTGACAAATGACCCCAATTATCCTCAGGTCAGTCATTTAGCTGCAGTGTGGAGAGGGTACTGACTTCCCAGCCAGCTACGCCTGGACTGGAGGCATCCAATGGGACTAGGGTCTTAAAAGCCCCACATTCTTATTATAGCTTCTGCCAAGGTCCCTGGCTGCCAGGCCCTGTCACAGCGCCGTGAGCTTACCCCTAAAACGATGCGGGCAGCCCTTAGGAAAAGGCTCTCGGCTCTCCTTCCTGAGATATTTATAGACTCCTTGACTGCAAAGAGGCGATTATGCAGCGGCCTGAGGGATTTGCACAAATGTGGCGCCTGCTTAAAGATTTAGTCCCAAGCTCATCCAAAGCCTCACCTCCCCATTTTTGTGATGCAATTCATTAAACAATGACAATTCTGCTGCCACTCTGCAGCTGACTTGTCAGTAAGGAAACGTCCTGTAAGGAGTTGGGAGCAACCATTTTTATAGACTGGGAATTATGATAAACAGGCCTCTGAAGAGTCAGAAGAGTGGAATTGATTGGGGTGCTGAGAGGAGACGGGCAGAGAGTAGAGTTGGTCTCCAAGGCAGGGCTCTGGGAGCTAGAAGGGGAACCCCACAGGAGGCTAATGGGGGCAGTGAGTTGGGGAGGGGGCCTGGGAAAGCAGGATCTTGTGTGGGGTCCCTTTCGCCTCTGCTGATAGCACAGTTCACATGGACAGTGAGGAGGCAGAAGCCACTCACACAAGTGAAGTGGCGGGGAGACAGGACACAGTGGCCTGTGCACAGCCAGAGATATGGGGCATAGTGGCCATGGAGAGAAGATCGAGAGGAGATGGACAGCTGGGATAGGCTGACCTGCCACCTCCGGGCCTTATCGTTCCAAAGCGGGGGTGGGGAAGGGGAGTTAGGGGACCCTCCTCCACAGCTTGGACCTGCTGGCAGGTCCAGTCAGGGTGTAGTTCAGGAAACAGAGGCCCCTCTACTGTGCCAGGGAACCAGGAGTCCACAACATCATGGGGTGGCCTAGAGAATGTCAATCTAGTTATCCGCCTAAACTATCAGTGTCAAGGTCACACAGCATGGGGCTGGGCAAGGTGGCTCACGCCTGTAATCCCAACACTTTGGGAGGCCAAAGTGGGCGGATCATGAGGTCAGGAGACCAAGACCATCCTGGCTAACACGGTGAAACCCCGTCTCTACTAAAAATACAAACAATTAGCCGGGTGTGGCGGTGGGTGCCTGTAGTCCCAGCTACTCAGGAGGCTGAGGCAGGAGAATGGTGTGAATCCCGGGAGGCAGAGCTTGCACTGAGCTGAGATCACACCACTGCACTCCAGCCTGGGCAACAGAGCAAGGCTCCGTCTCAAAAAAAAAAAAAGGTCACACAACATGGCCGTTGTCCAGGGCAGGGAGCAACTGCACTCCTGCCAACTCCAGCCACCACTGCCTCTCCTCTGGCACTGTGGCACTGTGCCAGCCCCGGGACAGGGGCCTCTGCCCACAGAGCCACCACTCCTGCAGAATGTAGGCTGACCTGAGCTGCACTTAGAGCACTAAACACAGCAGATCCTGGGATGCAGTCAGGCCCCATGCCCTGCAGTGTAGGGAAGGGGTTTTGGTGGGTGGGGGGGATGTGGCAGACAAGAGCCACTGTGCCCAGGAGGATAATGGGGTGGGTAGCATTCTGCTGCCTCACAGGCCTGAGTGTGGTTGTCGTATCCTAACCCTGGCTGTTAGGACTGGCCAGGGCCCCTTGAGCTCCCAGATTCTCCTTCCCAGACCTGCTCCTTGACTTCTAGAGTACCCTCAGCTCACAAGAACCTGACTTCCAACCTGGACTTAGACATTTTGACAATGTGTCTTTTTGAGGCATGTGGAGTAAATACTTAGGATACTTTGCAGTTACAGCTGATTGAAAATGGAGAATTTTGCAGTGAGCCAAGATCGCGCCACTGCACTCCAGCCTGGGCGACAGAGCAAGACTCTATCTCAAAAAAGAAAAAGAAAGAATATGGAGAATTTAATAATACACATACTTAGAAACTGAAAGTGCAGCAACATAAGGAAATGAGCTGTTGGTAACCGAATACAGGTGTCTCCTGGACTCGATCTCCTGGAGTCCTTTGTCTGCTCCAGGTTGGGCTGGTTACATGTTGCATGAATGTGCCTTTGGAACAAGCAAAAAACAGAGCTGAATGTTGATAGAACTTCCATGGCCACACCCAGGTCCCCCCATTTTACTAAACTGGGGAGGGGAGAGAATCAGGACCATCATACTTGCCTTTTCTCTCCACTTCCCACCCTTGCTTTTGTCTCTCTATAGCGTTTTAAGAACCTTGTGAATAGATAATACTCAATTTTCTAAATTATGAAGATCTAGTAAAGTTAGCTTTGGTGCTGAAAACCACTGCAGTTAAACTCTTCTCTTGAGTCAAGATGGCTCTCCCGAGGCAGCTTCACTGAGTAGGTGTGCAGAGGCCAAGGGCCGGACACCAGCTCCAGGATGATCCATTTGCCACCCTGGGCCTCAGTTTCCCATGTGTCTGTAGATTATGGTTTTCCTGTTGGGTCTTTAACTACCTTCTCACATTTTGTGATTTTCTCTGAGATTATAATTTCTTTATAAATGTTATATGTGTCATATATATAACATATATGTCTTCATAGTTAATTTACATGCTTATTATAGAAAATTTAGAAAAAGTCAAAAGAAAAATTAGGAGATTACTCATAGTCCAGCACCCTAAGGAAGCAGGTATTAATATTTTTAGGTTACAGGACATCCTTCTAGTAAGCGCTTCAAACTTGCTCCATTTCTATGAAGAACTAGATATGAAGAAACCTATTTGTCCTCTGCTTGAATAATAGTGGTTTCATAGTGTCCTCTGTTAATAGAAGGTCTATAGGATGTAAAGTTTGTAGGTCAGAGAAGGCTGTCCTTCTCAGTCACTTGCTGTTGTCCAAGGAAAACCCTGGGAGCTGTGCAATGTAAGTTGATTCTTGGTGAGAGTGTGTGTACTTATGCACACAAACACCTATGCACACAGATTCCCAAGCTTAGGCTGAATGCCCTCTTGAAGCAACATTTCTGGGAAATTTTAGGTAAGTGTAAAAATATATGTTAAGGAAAAGCCAAGAGGCTCATTCAGCACAGGGATGGTTTCCTTGACATCATTTGTCATTGCTGATTTTCCTTCCTTTGGAGTCATCTTGCTCATCTCTTTGGGTCTGTGTGTGCTTGCTTGGTGGGTTTGCAAGCAGCCTGTGTGCATGGCAAGCCCTCAGGGCCCCTGGACTTGGAAGACTTCAGGGAAAGAACAGGGAGACACTGAGGTTTCCTACTAGCCTACCCAATGAAACCATTCATCATGCACACTCACTATATTTCAAACACTAGTTGATATTGTCATGGCTAATAAATGCAATAATAAGTGCAATAATAGAAAAATATTCCTCAGTTCATAGTAGCCTTGGATGTTGTGAATTTTCTACAAAAGATTATGGGAGAGTGTACAATTTTGGACATTAAAAAGTAGTCAATCCATATTATCAGAATGTGGGGCACTGACCTCATTTTCAAGCCTTGCATTTAAGGTCTGGTGGGCCCGTGGACTTGTTTCCCTTTGGTTGATTCAAGCAGAGGTGATGCCCATCCAGTGTGGGATGCGACTGGAGCCATGCATGCATTCCCAGCAGTGGGGGTCAGCTGACCGTGTGGCTGTCAGAGTGGATGTCTTGTCCCTGAGCCTACCCCTCCCTCATTAGGGTCCCAAATGTCCAGCCCTCCTGTCATCCTCACAGACCCTCCAGCCCCGAAAGTCTGGTTTCCTGGCTTGCAGGGGAGGGAGGCAGAATGGCTGGGCAGGGCCAGGCAGGCAGGCTTGTCCCTTCTCAATCTGTTTCTCTCCCTCTCCCAGAGGGACAAGCAAAGCCTTTCACTTTGGATAAAAGTTATCAGGCAAGGAAAATATATTTTCAGATCTTGTTCTCCACCCCTGACTTCCCTCCTCTGAGAGTCTAAAGTGCAGGTGAGATAAGGAAACATGTTACTCTTCCTACCAGTTGGAGACACAGCTTTAAGCCAAGGGCAGTCATTTGTAATAGTTGAATTTCCTGCATCAGCGACAGAGGGAGTAAGGCTGGAATGGATGTGTCTGAGGAAGAGACACACCCTGGGCCCCTTCAACCAGACCGCATTGGAGGGGCCTCTTCCACTAGTTTCTAAGCCAGTCCCTGGCTTGCACTCCTGGTAAAGTGCATGATCTTGTGTGTATAGCCGGGTGGATTTTTCCATGTGCATGCACCTGAGTCATCACCACTCAGATCAAGACAGATTTCCACACCCAGGAAAGTCCCCTGATGCCCCCTCCTGTCCCCAAAGCCCCTATTCAGGTGGATGCATTTTTCCCATTTACAGATGAGGGGCCCAAAGCTTGGAGAAGGCAGGACAGCAGGCCTTACACCTCCTTCCGAACAGCGAATCCTCATGGACAGTGCCCTCTCTCGTGAGACAGAGCACAGTGCAAGACTGCTCTGGAGTCCTGGGGAAGAAAAATCCATTTGCTTTTGATCCCAGGGATGCTAGGATGGGGTGGGGGTGCTGGGATGGTGAGGGGGTGGAGGGATGTGTTGGGGGCCCTGGGAGCGGGTGGAGGTGAAGGGGGCTGGCAGGCTGTTGCCTCTGCCTGCCTCAGGGCGACCACCTGTGCAGACAGAGCTGGTGCCAACTGCAGGCAGCCCACCCACCCACGCTGACCCTGTGCCAGAAGAGCCAGGGCCTACGGCCTCAGGACAGGAGCCACCTCCTTGATGTCCCCTTTCTCCTTTCTTGGCAGCGCCTTCCTCGCCTTGTCCACCTGCTGGAGTGTGTGCCCCCCACCACCATGCCAACCTGAGACCCTCCCATGCCATTCCCCTAGGGTTGTGCAGACACATCCTCCCCCTCTGGCTTGTGCCTGTTGGGTCCCTGGGCTCTGAGTGAGACCTGGAGGTCTTCCAACTATGCTTGTATATCCCCGGGGGCTGGGAAGATGCTGGAGAGCCACCCACTCCTGGGGCTTTTGATCTTGCTTCAAATTACGGTGGAACCTTTGAGCATTTCCTGTTCCCTCCCTCACAAAATGCCCTGTGCCTGGGTTTTCTTTTCTCTCCTTCAGGAGCCCTGGGAGATCTCGACACAGTAGGGTCCACATCAGCAGCGCCTGGCTTTGCTGTGGCCTTTCCTTCAGCAGGCATGCAGCTTCAGAAACGAGCGCATGGAGGATGAATGCAGCAGAGGCCCCCGCGTGGCTGCAAGTCGGCCAGAAACACCTGCTGTCTGCTGCTCCACAGGCGCGACAGGGAACCGTCCCGGGGTTTCTTGCTCAATGGCTGTAGAACTGGCATTGGAACAAACAGCTCGAACTTCCCTGCAGGCACCTGGGTACACACACACAGGCACATACAAGAGATACAGATACCCATGCATGTGCACTACAAATTCCCAACTGATTTTCTTCCTTAAATGGAGATGTAATTTCTGACAAATCGTTATCTAGTTAGTGGCTTGAGTTAGGGCAGCCTGGCCAAAAGGGGTAACTGCAAGTAATAGAAAAAAAAAAAACAAAAAAACAACGTAGTGTCTTCTGCAAAGAGATTTTTTTCCCCTTCCCATAATACTAAATTGTGGCTTTGGTTTAGGGATTCGGCAATAATTGGTAGGTGTAATTCTTTTGGGCTTATTCTCATGATTGTTGCTTCATGGCTATAAAATGGCTGCCACAGGTCCAGCCATCATGTCCGTTTCATGTGAGTGGGTTGGATTCTAGGCGTGCTGCACTGAGCTTACACGAGAAGAGATACTATGAGTTCTAAAGTGCCAAGCACTGTGTTTATTGTCTGTATCTTTTTTAATCCTGTGATAACTCTGTAAGGTATGTACTAATGTTATTCCCATTTTAGACATGAAGAGACTGAGTCTTAGAACTGGTAAATGGCAGGCCGGGCGGGGTGGCTCACGCCTGTAATCCCAGCACTTTGGGATGCCGAGGTGGGCGGATCACAAGGTCAGGAGATCAAGACCACGGTGAAACCCCGTCTCTACTAAAAATACAAAAATTAGCCGGGCATGGTGTCGGGTGCCTGTAGTCCCAGCTACTCGGGAGGCTGAGGCAGAAGAATGGTATGAACCCGGGAGGCGGAGTTTGCAGTGAGCTGAGATCACGCCACTCCACTCCAGCCTGGGTGACAGAGCAAGACTCTGTCTCAAAAAAAAAAAAAAAACAAAAACAAACTGGTAAATGGCAGAGCTTTGATTTGCACCCAGTTCTCTCAGTGCAAAGTCTTTACCTTTAGATGTGACCTGAACCTTCACACAGTAGGGTGTTAAATGTGCTGTAATGGAAATGCAGAGAAAGTGCTACGGAAATTCGTTAAAAAGTGAAAGATTTCTTCTGTTTAAAAAGTGGATTTTTAAACAGATACATGGAGCCAAATGAAACTAATATTCTTTTCTGAGTAAAACCTTCTGGTGTGTTAGACATCCCTGTGGGTTGTATTTGATGGATAAATGCACCCACAGAACTAAGGTTATTGAAATGGGGGCCTCTGTTGATGTGCCTGGGGCTCTGTATTGATCCAGTCCTGTTTGACACTTTTTAATCAATAATTTTAAGAAAGACATAGACAAGATGCTTTAGAAATTATGGAAAGCACAAATCTGGGAGGGATAGCGCATGAGCTGGATAATGAAATAAAAATTTCACGAGATTTTGGCAGGCAGGAGCCTTGGGGTTTAAATAAATAAAATGGAATATCATAGGGATTCATTTAATGTCTAACACTTAGACTTGAAAAATGAACTTGAGACTTAGGTTCAGGAGTCCTGGCTTCTCATTAAGCCAATGAAAAGGCATAGCTGACCACAAAGCAAACTAGCAAATACTGTTGGCCCAGCTTCCAACAAAGCCAACATTAGGAGGCACTCTAGTTGAAGACTATATTCTTCATCAATGTGTGTTCTCTGAAGTCCCTGGTCCTGTAGCTCATGGTCAGCTAGAGGTTTGACTGAGATTTCCACAAATGCTGTATTTAAGTCATTAGTGCACTTTTTTTTGCTTGCTTGCTGTAAATCTTTGATTATTTCCCAGAGTTCCACAAAGTTGATTCTGACGGCTTTTGCTTATCTTTGTGTGCGTGTTTCTGTGGAGGACAGGTCCTTGGGGCTGCCGACTCTGCAGTTCTTGCTGGGCGTCACTCCCAACCCCGCAGCATCCTGTGTAGAATGGAGGAATCAGCCCTCGTTCAGCCCAGCCAGGACATTTCTGCTGGATCATGCGCAGCCCCAAGTGTCAGGGACTAACTGGAGGAGAGCAAGCTGGCAAAGGGTCAAACACTGGTGGCACTCAGCCTGGAAAGGAGGCGGTCCAGTGGAGAGATGTAGTGGCTGTTTAAAGATCGTGATGCTCTGACACCTGAGAGCTCCAGAGAGAAAAGTTAAGGATGCATGTAGGAAGTCTCAGAGATTCAAATTTGGACTCAATGTTAGGAAACCTTGTGCAAAGAGGGAAGAGCCTATCAGTGGAGTGCTGGCCTCCGCGTCTTACGAGCTGCTTGAGCTTCCTGTCATCTGCCTCAAATGCTGCCCAGCAATTCCTGCAGGCAGAGGCAACAAAGTGAGGTGATGTAGGCCCTTTCCATCCTAAGATACTATCATTTTTTTCCACTCTAGTCTTCAGCTTCTGTTGCCAGCTCTTGTGGATTTTTTTTGACAGAGTTTCACTCTTGTTGCCCAGGCTGGAGTGCAATGGCATGATCTTGGCTCACCGTAACCTCTGCCTCCCGGATTCAAGCAATTCTCCTGCCTCGGCCTCCCGAGTAGCTGGGATTACAGGCATGCGCCACCATGCCCGGCTAATTCTGTATTTTTTTTTTTTTCTGAGACATAGTATCGCTCTGTCCCCCAGGCTGGAGTGCAGTGGCGAAATCTTAGCTCACTGCAACCTCCGTCTCCTGGGTTCAAGCGATTCTCCTGCCTCAGCCTACTGAGTAGCTAGAATTACAGGTGTTTGCCACCACACCTGGCTAATTTTTGTATTTTTAGTAGATACGGGGTTTCACCATGTTGGCCAGGCTGGTCTTGAACTCCTGACCTCGTGATCTGCCCACCTCGGCCTCCCAAAGTGCTGGGATTATAGGCGTGAGCCACCGTGCTGGCCGTGGATTCTTTTTTTATAAAGGCATGCCCTCTCCATCCACACCTCGCCACGCAAACAGCGCTAACTGTTCCCCCACCAACTTGTCCCTCACCACACTCAGCAGTGTTGTGGGGGGTGCCCTCTAAACTCAAGTAGGAGTGAGGCTCCCTCCTACTGAAAGAAACGCAGTTGGTGTCCGCTGCCCACAGGTCAATTCCGATTCCATTTGCAACTGGCCCCAGCTGCCTTTCTAGACCCAGGGCCCTTGTGTCTGTCCCCTCCTGCATTGTCACTCAGTCCCCTGGGGAAGTAATCATGTTGCATGTAGCAGATGGCTTCACTGGGGGATGGCGGGGCAGGGGCGATGGGAGGCTGTGCCCAGGACTGCCTGAGTTACAGGAGGAGATTATGACAGAGCCGAGCGGTAAAGGAAGGAGGGGCCCCAGGGACAAAGGGAGAAGAGCAGCCCCAAAGGTTCCAAGAACCCCCCAGGAATAAGACTTCTCTGAGGCTGAGAGATGTCCAGGGTGCTCTGACAACAATATTATTTCCTTTCAACACGTTGATACTCCATTTTTTGTAAAGCGCACAAGACGCAGACAGAAAACCTAATGTTTTATCCCAGGGCATAGGCTTGGAATTTCTCGGCAGAACACAACATATAGCAGAGAGGCAAAATAAAAAGGAATACAGAAAGAAAGAAAAAAAAAAACAACCTGATGTTGCAAAGAAAGAACACAAAAGTCGAGGGTGAGGCCAGCCTGGGTCGGCTTGTTCAGCGAAGGACGCACAGTGAGGACGCAGGCCTAGTGAGGCCTGGTGACTTGAGGGCCCTGTTGTGCTTTCCTAGGGGAAGGCCACTGCAATAAGGATTAGAAAAAGTCAGCCAATTTTGTCCTGCTGTGTATAATTACCTCTCCATCTATTTATAAAGCCTTGAGGAATTCAAGCAATTATTCATCCTAAAAACACCGTGGGCAGTGACGCCTCCAAAGATAGCTACTGCATAATCTCTCCGCTGCTCTCTCGCAGCCCCGCCTGTGCTGTACTTTCACCATGGGGGAGGCAGCGGAGGTGCAGGGGCCATGCCACCATCCCAGGGTCTCGGGAGTTCTCCCAGCTCCAGGACTCGGGCAAGTCCCTCCACCGCTCTGCGTCTTGAAGTCTTCATCTGTAAGTGGGGATGTGACTGTGTCTGTCTCTCCTGGGTGTTGGGAAGGTCACACAGGTCTAGATCTATATGTAGTCACTAAGAAGAATATTTAGTAGATGTTGCCAGCTGACTGGAATCAACCCGGACTCTGCCCCTGCTCCCCAAACCACCCTCTCCTGGCCGCGCAATCCTTCAGGTGCTCAGGCTGATTCCTGGAGTCATCTTGGATTCATTTCTCCCTCTCACACCTCACATTTAGTCCACTAGCTAATGCTGTGGGCTCCAGCTTCAAAATGCACCTGCAAGCCACCCTGCCCCCTCCTCCATCACGACCACCCTGTTCTGACCCTGGCAATCCCAGCCCCTTCCTCCCTCAGCCACAGGGCTCCAGCTCCAGCTGCTGGGTGGAGGCTGGGCTTGCTGCTGCTCTGGGGACTTTGCTCTTTGCTGTTCCTTCTCCTGGAATGCACATCCCCACACACCTGCCTGCTCACATGCTCCCCTGTAAGGCTTGCTCCAAGGTCACCTCCTCAGTGAAGCTGCCCTGACTGCTGCCACCCACACCACCCCCTCACGGGGCTACCCCACTTCCCTGGATCATTTTTATCCATAGTGTGTATTCCCCTCTGACACACCATGTCGTTTACTTTTTCATCTTTTCGCGGAACTGTTCTTCCCTCTAGAATGGCGGTTCTCAACCATGGGCCATCTGTCAGTGTCTACAGACATTTGGAGTGATCCTAACTGGGGGTGGGGTGTTCTAGGCACCCAGTGGGCACAGGCAGGAGTGCACAGGATTAAGAACACCCACCCGAAGAACCCCCACCCCAGATGGCAACAGAGAAGAGGTTGAGAAACCCGCATCCAGACTGTAAGCCGTCTGAGGGCAAGGGCCCTGTCCCCTGTTTTGATCACTGCAACATCTCCAGCACCCAGAACAGGGCTTGACATCACGGATGCCCAGTAAGTGGGGAACGAACAGAGACTGGCACATACACAGCACTGGGGAAATGTTGGTCATTATTATCATTATTTCTCATGGGTTTGTATTGTTTCTGTGCCTCAGGTTTTCAGGAAAGTCTCTGCTTTTCCCCTGGGCAGTGCAACAGAGGGGAAGAGTGTTGGACTTGGAGTCAGAGACCCATGTCTGAGCCCCAGGTTGGCCATTATGAGCTGTGTAGCTCTGGGAAACTCACTTAACCTCTCTGAGGTTTTGTTTCCTCATTCGTTGAGTTGGAATACCATTTGTTTTCCTCCTCATCTGGCAAGCTGGTGAGATAAGCAAATATGATGATATGTCAAAATGCTTGTAAGTACTAAATACCTTCCAGCTATTGTCATTATGTGGTCCCTCCTGCAAAATGGAAAAACCAATTGATTTTACCATGGCTGACAATCTTATATCGGTTGTGAGGAGCTTATTATTCATAATTTCAGTGTGTTTCCATTTCTGCCCATATGGCACTCCTCCCTTAGACAGGTATCTTGAGACAAGAAAAGGAGCAGGTGGCCTTTAAAATACATTGCACATAACACATGCGTTTCACTGAACAGCTTTTTGCATTTAAAATGCAGACAATATGCTCAAAATAGTACTAATAAATTTTCTATCTTGAGTAATGTATCTCAGACATATACCAAGGGAAAATAATTAAAGAAAAACCCAATAAAATAGAGATCATAAAAAGGGGGGCTTATAAATCAAGAGAGTAGACTTCTAGCCATTCTCAATACAGCCTTTGAGTGCAAGGATCCCAGATGTTTGATTTGGACACATGGAATTTTGCAATAGGATAGTGTACTTCTTATGAATGAAACATCAAAAGGCATATGGTAGTAGATGCAATCATGTTGGCAGACGTGTGTCTTGGAGAGCAGAAATGGCCAACTGAATGCTTCCTTCCTCACTCGTGAAGCCATCAGGAGCAAAGCTCCAGGGAGTGCCTTCCGCCCTGCTGGCAATGAATGGCCTCTCCTGACAGATAGCCTAAGAGCCTTTGGCTAAAGATTTGCAACATCAAAGAGTGAGTGGCATGGCCTGGCCAGCCACCTGAGACAACGTACTTTGTTCCAGAACGTGGTTCAGAGTTTCACCTTGCTGGCTCAGTGGGGATTAAGGCTGAAAGAGGCTTTGAAAATGTTGATAACAGATGAATGTAAATATTATTTACCTAGCAACATAACACTTTTTTTCTTCTTTTTTGGCTCTTTCATGGAGTCATTACTCTTTCCCTTGAGTTGTCAGTTCCTTCATTTAGTCTATTCCTTCAACAATTATTGATCAAATCATTATTTGTGCTGGGCAGTGTTCTATGTCCCAGGAATTTTGTACTGTAAACCAGTACTCTGTCCTCATAACGCCTATAATCTAGAGACATTGAACTGTGAGCACAGGAATAAGCAGTGTACTTTCAGAATGTAATCAGTGTTCTCAAGGGAGGAGATTATGATGTAACAGAGCTTCTTTTCATCTCAAAGGAAGGCCATTAAGAAGGGCCAGTCAGGACAGGTGATGCTGGCAGGAAGGGAGCCAGCCTGCGACGTGCTGGGAAGACAGGCAGAGAGACTATACGTTCAAAGGGTGTGAGGCAGGCATGAGTTTGCAGAAAGTGTGCTAAGGGCCTGGAGCAGAGTGAGTGAGGGGGAACAAAGACAGGGAGGTGTTAAAGGGCCAGGAGGGGCTGGACCCTCTGGAGCATTGATGACTATGCTGTGGAATGAATTTGGATGTTGTTTAAGGGGAATGGGAAGTCATTGAAATATTTTAAGTAGAGAAATGGGATGCACTGATTTACCTTATGAAAAGAGTTCTCTAGCTGCTTTGAGAGAATGGATTATAGTGGGGTGATATAGTTTGGACGTTTGTCCTCTCCAAATCTCGTGTTGAAATGTGATGCTCAGTGTTGGAGGTGGGGTCTGGTGGGAGGTGATTGGGTCGTGGAGCAGATCCTTCATGAATGGCTGCTGACATCATCTTGGTGGTGAGTGAGTTCTCAGTCTGGTAGTTCACATGAGATCTGCCTGTTTTAAAGAGTATGGTGGCCAAGTGCCGTGGCTCACGCCTGTGATCCCAGCACTTTGGGAGGTAAAGGCAGGAGGATCACTTGAGCTCAGGAGTTCGACACTAGCCTGGGAAACAGGGTGAAACCCATCTCTACTAAAAATAGAAATATTAGGCGGGTGTGATGGTGCGCTGCCTATAGTCCCAGCTACCGGGGAGGCTGAGGTGGGAGGATCACTTGAGCCCAGGAGGCAGAGGTTGCAGTGAGCCAAGATTGTGCCACTGCACTCCAGCCTGGGCAACAAAGCCAGACCCTATCTAAAAAAAAAAAAAAAAAATAGAGTGCGGCACCCCTCCCTTCCCACTGTTGCTCCCTCTCTCGCCATGTGGGGCACGGGCTGCTCCTTCATCTTCCACCATTATTGTGAGCTTCCTGAGGCCTCACCAGGAGCAGATGTGAGCAAATTAAACCTCTTTTCTTTATAAATTACCCATATTTAGGTATTTATTTATAGCTACTACAAGGGGGAAAGGGAGAGCAGGGAGATCAGTGGTGCTTTCACACTAGTACAGCAATAGAGCAGCATCTTGGACCAGGGTGGTGGCTGAGGAGACAGGATCATGGCTTTGAGATACATTCTGAAGAAGAAAAGTAGGCCTTGCTGATAGAATAGTCACAAACTGTAATGGAAAAGGTAAATTCAAGGATGTCTCCTGGGTTTTTGGCTTAAGCATCTGGATACAGAGATATGGAAGACTGGGAGGGAAATGGGTTTGGAGTATACATGCATGCAATCAACAATTCTGTCTTGCATGTGTGAAATTTAGATACCCATTAGACATCTGCATAGAGGGCCAGGCACAGTGGCTCACGGCAGTAATCCCAACACTTTGGGAGGCCAAGGTGGGCGGATCACTTGAGGTTAGGAGTTCAAGACCAGCCTGGCCAACATGGTGAAACTCTGTCTCTACTAAAAATACAAAAATTATCTGGGTGTGGTGGTGTGCACCTGTAATCCCAGCTACTCAGGAGGCTGAGGCATGAGAATCACTTGAACCTGGGAGGTAGAGGTTGCAGCGAGCCAAGATCACACCACTGCACTCTAGCAAGGGTGACAAAGCAAGACTCTATCTCAAAAAAAAAAAGACATTTATGTAGAGATGTTAGGTTGGCAGTTGGATAACAGTCTTGAGTTTCGGGGTGAGGGCAGGACCAGAAATGAAGATTTGGGATTCATTAGCATGTAGATCATATTCAGAGCCACAATAATAGATGAAATAACTGAGGAAGAGAGCTAGAGGGGCCAAGAGCAAACACAGGAACATGCCAGCATTTAGAGGACAATGGAGAAGGAGGAGATGGCAGAGATGTCAATAGGAGGAAAAGCAAAAGGGTGTTATCATAGAAGGTGACAACAGAATATATCACAAAGAGGAATATGTTTGAATGTGTCAAATGTTGTTATCACAGGCTATAGAAGTAAACACAAAGTCTTATGGGAATACTGAGGATGAGCTGCCTCTAGTGTGTGTGAAACCCTGGCCAAATATTTGTTGTGGGGCCCCTGTCTATATATGCAATGTTATTTAAAAACATACTACATATTCTTGGGCTTATGTGGGATGTAGTGATTTATTGATGAAGACTTAGAATACTGGGTAGGAAGAGATGCTTTTGGATTTGTTTATGAGCCAGTGAGTGTATCTGAGGATTCTTTATCCTGTGTCTAATGTGAGTGTGTTTTCCTGAATCAGTGCATCAGTGCTATTCTGGAGGCCCAAATCACACATGATTCCGTGAAAGAAACTCTGTGCTGGCCAGAGGATGCACTCACTCTCCAGGCTTTCCTGCATGGGCCCTCACCATGGAGTCCTGGATACTTAGGGCATCTGGTTGACCACATGCTTGGGAGAGCACCAAAGAAGGTCCTGGTTTTCAAGCCTCCAGCTTCTCCTTAGAAAGAGTTGACTACCTGTCTGGGCTCCAACTTTTCTGGCTGCTACCAGAGGGTCTGGCCTCTAAACCATCTGTGTCAAAGAACTGACAGGGCCTGACATTCACTGGGACCCTAGGCTAGGGGTGACAGAGAGCAAAGCAAAAGTTTGAAAGAGTATGCAGTCTGAATGAGCATGCAGACCTTTGCCACAGCTCCCCTTCCCAGCTCAGTGCAGAGCAAGTAGGAGATAAACTTCTGCTCTTAGCTTCTCTGTGAGGAGAGATGAAATGGACCACACATCTAGCACCCCAACTTTTCTGACAACTACTAGAAGGACTGACTCCTGACTCACCTGTCTCAGGGCACTGATGGTACTTGGCACACTCTAGTCTCCTGGGGCCACCAAGAACAAGAACAGCATTTTGGACAAACACACTGGTTTGAGAGGCACCCAGACTCTCTGACTGGGCTGTGAGGAGGCTCATCTGTGAAGACTGAGGGAGGTGGCTGTTTTATCAAATGTGCAGAAACCAACACAGAGAGTCAAAGACAATGAACAAACAGGAAATATGCCATAAATAAAAGAACAAGATAAATCTTCAGAAACTGACCCAAACAGAATGGAGATATGTGATTTACCAGACAAAAAATCAAAAGACCTGTCACAAAGATGCTCAGTGAGGTCAGGAGAGCAATGCATGAATAAAGTGAGAATTTCAACCAAAAAGGTAGAAAATATTAAAAAGTGCCAAACAGAAATCACGGAGCTGAAGAATATAATAAAAGAACAGAAAAATTTAATAGAGGGGTTCAATAGCAGACTAGGTGAACTGAAAGAAAGGATTAGTGAACTCAAGGACTGGTCATTGGCAATCATTCAGTCACAGCATTAAAAAGAAAAAAGAATGAAGGGCCAGGCACAGTGGCTCACACCTGTAATCCCAACACTTTGGGAGGCTGAGGTGGGTGGATCACGAGGTCAGGAGATCGAGACCATCCTGGCTAACATGGTGAAACCCCATCTCTACTAAAAATACAAAAAAATTAGCTGGGTGTGGTGGCACGCACCTGTAATCCCAGCTACTCGGGAGGCTGAGGCAGGAGGATTACTTGAACCTGGGAGGCTGAGGTTGCAGTGAGCTGAGATTGCGCCACTGCACTCAGGCCTGGGCAACAGAGCGAGACTCTGTCTCAAAAGAAAAAAAAAGAGAGAGAGAAGAAAAGAAAAAAGAATGAAAAACAGTGAAGATACCTTTAAAAACTAATGAACACCACCCAGCAGATCTACATATGCATTATGAGACACTCAGACATTATGATATCAGTAACACAGAATGTGGAATAAGGAGAGGTAAAATTGCAGAGTACTTCTATAGAAGTGTTATCAGTTTAACCTGTTATAAATATATGTTATGTAAGCCCCTGGTAACCACAAAGAAACTACCTATAGAAATGACACAAAAGAAAAAAAGTTACAAAGCCTATCAATGCAAAACAGCACAACAAAAACAGGCAAACAAAACCCAACAATAAAACACAAAGGAAGACAGCAAGAGAGAAAAAGAGGGACAAAAGAACTACAAGACAAACAGAAAACAGTTTTAAAAAAATGGCAATATGGTGGTTCATACCTGTAATCCCAACACTTAGGAAGGCCGAGACGAGCAGATCACTTGAGGTCAGGAGTTTGAGACCAACCTGGCCAACATAGTGAAACCTGGTCTCTACTAGAAATACACAAAATTTAGCCAGGTGTAGTGGCAGGAGCCTGTAATCCAGCTACTCGGGAGGCTGAAGCACAAGAATTGCTTGAACCTGGGAGGCAGAGGTTGCAGTGAACTGAGATTGTACCACTGCACTCCAGCCTGGACAACAGAGCAAGACTCTGTCTCAAAAAAAAAAGGCAATACTAAATCTTGCCCTATCAATAATTACTTAAAATGGCTGAATGTGGCGGCTTATGCCTGTAATCCCAGCACTCTGGGAGGCCAAGGCAGGTAGATCACTTGAGACCAGGAGTTCAAGACCAGCCTGGCCAACATGATGAAGCCCCATCTCTACTAAAAAATACAAAAATTAGCAGGGTGTGGTGGCATGTGCCTGTAATCCCAGCTACTTGGGAGGCTGAGGCAGAGAATAGCTTGAACCTGGGAAGTGGAGGCAGCAGTGAGCCAAGATCACACCGCTAGACTCCAGGCTGGGCAACAGAGCAAGACTGCATCTCAAATAATAATAATAATAATAGTAATAATTACTTAAAATGTAAATGGATTGGCCAGGTTCATGCCTGTAATCTCAGCACTTTGGGAGGCTGAGTCAGGAGGATCACGAGGTCAGGAGTTCAAGACCAGCCTGGCCAACATGGTGAAACCCCATCTCTACTAAAAATACAAAAATTAGCTGGGCATGGTGGTGGGCACCTGTAGCCCCAGCTACTAGGGAGGCTGAGGCAGGAGAATTGCTTAACCGGGATCCGGGAGGTGGAGATTGTAGTGAGCCGAGATCACACCACTGCACTCCAGCCTGGGTGACAGAGCGAGTCTCCATCTCAAAAAAAAAAAAAAAAAAAAAAAAGAAGAAGAAGAAAGAAAGATCTCAAGTAAATTGAGCTAATGTCGTACCTTAAGGAACTAGAAAAGGAACAAACTAAGCCCAAAGTTAGCAGAAGAAAAGAAATTACAAAGATCAGAGCAGAAATAAGTAGGGAATAGAAAAGCAATAGAAAAACCCCGCAAAATCAGAGGTTGTTTGTTTGTTTGTTTGTTTGAGATGAAGTCTCATTCTTGTCCCACAGGCTGGAGTGCAATGGCACAATCTCGGCTCACTGCAACCACTGCCTACCGGGTTCAAGCAATTCTCCTGCCTCAGCCCCCCGAGTAGCTAGGATTACAGGCACCTGCCACCACGCCCAGCTAATTTTTGTATTTTTAAGTAGAGACGGGGTTTCACCATGTTGGCCAGGCTGGTCTCGAACTGCTGACCTCAGGTGATCTGCCCGCCTTGGCCTCCCAAAGTGCTGGGATTATAGGCATGAGCCACCGTGCCTGGCCCAGAGTTGTTTTCTTTAAAAAAGGTAAATAAAATCAACATGCCCTTAGACAAACAAAAAAAAAAAAAAAAAGGAAGAATGGATTCAAATAAATGAAATAAAAAATGAGAGAAGACATTACAATGGATATCTGAGAAATAAAAAGGATCATAAAAGACCATTATGAACAATTATATGCCAACATATTGGATAAAGTAGAAGAAATGGATAAATTCCTAGAAGCATGCAACCTACCAAGACTTAATCAAGAAGCAACAGAAAACCTTAACAGATGAGTTACAAATAAGGAGATTGAGGCATTAATCAAAGACCTCCCAAAAAAGAAAAATCGATGGCTTTCATGGATTCAAAGAATTATTAATACTTCTTAAACTCTTCTAAAAATAGAAAAAGAGGAAACACTTCCAAACTCATTTTATGAGGTCAGCATTACCCTGATATCAGAACCAAAGAAACCACAAGAAAAGAAAACCACATGCCAATATCTCTGATGAACATAGATGCAAAAATCCTCAATAAAATATTAGCAAAGCGAATTCATTAGCACACTAAAAAGTTTATACATTGTGACTAAAGTGGGATTTATCCCTGGGATGCAGGTTTGGTTCAATATAGGCAAATAAGTCAATGTAATGCACCACATTAACAGAATGAAAGATTAAAAAAAAATGACCATCTCAATAGATGCAGAAAATATTTGAAAAAAATCAATATCCATTTATGACAAAAACTCTAAACAAAATATGTATGGAAGGAACTTACCTTAATCCAATAAAGACCAATTAGGAAAAGTCTATAACTAACATCATAATAATTGAAGAAAAATTAAAAGCTTTTCCTTTCTTGGTCTCACCATGTCTATTCAACACAGTACTAGAAGTTCTAGCCAGATAAATTAGATAGGAAAAAGAAATAAAAAATATCCAACTTAAACAAGGAAAATTGTCTGTTTCTGGGTGACATGGTCCTACATGTAGAAAATCCTAATAATTCCATTTAAAAATCAGATCTGATAAGTTTAGTAAATTTTTAAGATACAAAATCAATATACAAAAATTAATAGCATTTCCTTATACCAACATTGAAATATCTAAAAAGGAAATCAAGGAACAATCTCATTTACAATAGCATAAAAATATTTAGAAATAAATTTAACCAAGGAGGTGAAAAAGAATTTGTACACTGAAAATTATAAAACACTAATGAAAAAAATTGAAGAAGACACAAAGAAATGGAACGATATCTCATCTTAATTAATTGGAAGAATTAATATTGTGTAAACACTTATACTGCCCAAAGTGACCTACATGTTGAATGCAATCCCTATCAAAATTCTAAGGGCATTTTTCTCAGAAATAGGAAAACAATTCTGAAATTTATATGGTACCACAAAAGATCCTGAATAGCTAAGGCAATCTGGAGAAAGAAGAAGAAAGTTAGAGTCATTGCACTCCCTGATTTCAAATGATACTGCAAAGCCATACTAATCAAAACTCAATGGTATTGGCATAAAAACAGACACAGAAACCAATGGAACAAAATAGCCCCAAAATAAGCTCACGAAAATATGGCTAACTAATTTTCAACAAGGACCCCAAGAATACACAATGGGGAAAGATAGTCTAAATAAATGGTTTTGGAAAAACTGGATATCCACATGCAAAAGAATAAAAGTAGGACTTTATCTCACACCATATACAAAAGTCAGCTCAAAATGGATTAAAAACTTAAATGTAAGACCTTAAACCATAAAACTCCTACACGGAAACATAGAGAAAAATCTCCTTGAAGAAGATTCAAGGATGAATGTTTTTTGATAAAGATTTTTATGATGATCTGCTTCCACTTAATGAATAAAGTCCACTTAATGTCTTGGCAATGATTTTTTTGGATATAACACCAAATGCACAAGCAACAAATGCAAAAATAAACAAGTGGGACTAGATTAAACTAGAAGCTTCTGCACAGGAAAGGAATGAATCAATGAAATGAAAAAGCAACCAACAGAATGGGAGAAAATACAACCCATATATCTGATAAGGGTGTTAGTATACAAAATATATTAGGTACACATATAACTCTATAGCAAAAGATGAATAACCTGATTAAAAATGGGCAAAGGACTTGAATAGATAGTTTTCGAAAGAGGACATACATACAAATGTCCAATAGGTATATGAAAAAGTACCCAACATCACTATCATCAGGGAAATGCAAATCAAAACTAGAATGAGATTTCATCTCACATCTGTTAGGGTGGCTATTGTCAAAAACATGAGATAACAAGTGTTGGTGAGGATGTGGAGAAAAGAGAACTCTTATACACTGTTCATGGGAATGCAAATTGGCGTACCTATTATGGAAAACAGTATAGAGATCCCTTAAAAAATAAAAAATAAAACTATCATATGATTCAGCAATGTCTCTTCTGGGTATATATCCAAAGGAAATGAACTCAGTATCTTGAAGAGATATTTGCACTCTCATGTTCACTGCAGCATTACTCATAATAGCCAAGATATGGAAACAACCTAACTGTCCATTGACAGATGAATATATATATATATATATATATATATATATATATATATATAGCGTGTATATATATATAGCGTGTATATATATAGCATGTATATATATATAGCGTGTATATATATAGCATATATATATAGCGTATATATATAGCGTATATATATATAGCGTGTATATATATATATAGCGTGTATATATATATATATAGCGCGTATATATATATATATATATATATATATATATAGCGTGTATATATATATGCAGTGGAGTATTATTCAGCCTTAAAAAAGAAGGAAGTTATGCCATTTGCAACAACGTGGGACATTATGCTAAGTGAAAAAGCCAGACACAAAAAGCAAATATCATATGATCTCACTTGTTTGTAGAGTCAATAAAAGATGAATACATAGAAGCAGAGAGTAGAATAATGGTTACCAGGGACAGGGGTGAGGTGAGGTGGGATGGGGGTAATTGTGGTGATGTTGGTCAAAGGATATGAAGCTTCAGTTATGTAGGGTGGATAAGTTCTAGGGGTCTAAGGTAAAGCATGAGGACTATGGTTAACAATACCCATGGCATATTTAAAATTTGCTAAGAGAGCAGATCCTAAGTATTCTCACCACACACAAAAAGGTGACCATGTGGGCCGGGCGCGTTGGTGCGCGCCTGTAATCCCAGCACTTTGGGAGGCCAAGGCGGGCAGATCACGAGGTCAGGAGATCGAGACCATTCTGGCTAACATGGTGAAACCCCATTTCAACTAAAAATACAAAAAAAAAAAAAAAATAGCCGGGTGTGGTGGCACACACCCGTAGTCCCAGCTACTTGGGAGGCTGGGGCAGGAGAATGGCATGAACCCGGGAGGCGGAGCTTGCAGTGAGCCGAGATCGCACAATTGCTTTCCAGCCTGGGCAACGGAGCGAGACTCTGTTTCAAAAAAAAAGGTGACCATGTGAAGGGATGGATATGTTAAGTAGCTTGACTGGTAATCGGTTCACGATGTATATGTACAGTTGACCCTTGAACAACATGCGTTTAAATTACAAGAGTCCACTTATATGGGGATTTTCTTCTGCCTCTGCCAGCAAGGCCAACCCCTCCTCCTCCTCCTCCTCCCCCTCAACTAAAGACGAGGAGGATGAGGACCTTTAGGGTGATCCACTTCCACTTAATGAATAGTAAATACGGTTTCTCTTCCTTATGATTTTCTTAATATTTTCTTTTCCCTAACTTACTTTGTTGTAAGAATGCAGTACTCAATACACGTAAGATACAAAATTTGTATGAATTGACTGTTTGTGTTATCTGCAAGGCTTCCTGTCAACACTAGGGTATTAATAGTTAAGTTTTGGGGGAGTCAAAAGTTATTTGTGGATTTTTTACTGTTCGGGGAGTTGGTGCCCCTAACCCCTTCGTTGTTAAAGAGTCAACTGTATATCAAAACATCGTGCTGTATACCTTAAATGTATATACTTTCAATTAAAATATTTTAAAAACAAACCAATAAAAAGGCACTGCTTCTGGCCCAGGGTGAGCCATCAGATGGCACAGCTGGCCCTGTCCGGTCCCAACCAGCAGAGGGGACTGTCAATTGAGAAGCTCCAGTGCTAAACGCTGGAATATGAAGATATGCATGGTGGGGAGACAGCACACACACACATAACACTCAAGGCCTGGTGGAGCCCACCCAGCTCAGCCTGGGTTGGGGAGGCTCCCTGGGAAGGGGATTCCTGATGTGAGCCTTCCAGGAGGGGTAGGAATTCTCTACACAGACAGGTGGGAACTCCAGGCAGAGGGGAGGCCTGAAACACATCACAGGCCACCCTGTCCCTAGACTGCTGAGAGGCAGGACGGGGCTACACGGCCATGGGTGTGAGTCACCAAGGACCCTGTGCCTGCTGAGGCATGAGGACGCATTTCTGGGACGACAGAAAGACAGCAAAGGGCTTCAGACTATGGAATACCCGGAATAGGGCTCTAAGCATCTCCTCCGATGATTGTGGACTCAATGCAGGAAATGTGGAGGCTTCGAGCTAGACCAGTGACAGAGGAGGGAAAAGGAGATGGGGCCCATCAATATTTGAAACTTGGCAAAACGCAGCAAGATTTTAATGGTTAATCAAAAATGGGAGGTGAATGGGAGAAAGAGGAGCTGACAACCACTCCCACAATTCTGGTTTCCAGGGCGTGTTATAGCTGAGAGGGCAGCAGTTTGAGTGGCTGGGCAGCAGAGGCTGGGGTTGAGGCTGGGAAGTGGCGGCAGCAGGGGAGACTGCCCCATCAGGAGCCTGCCATAAGCGTGGGATGCAGAAGGACTGGAAGGTGCTGGAGGTGATGTGGAGCTTTGGGAGAGTGTCGGAGGGATGGAATAAGTTGATGCCTGTTCCGAGACCAAGAAGTGGGGAGCAACTGAAGAAACTGGAGAGTGGGAACCAGGTTGCAGCTGGTCTCCAGATGCTGCACTCTCTGACAGCTCTCATCTATCTCACTGTCACCCAGGATTGGACAGGACATCTACAAATGTGCATGTGTATTTGCTATAAGGTGCATTCTTTTCCCCTGGAGATAGTGACCAACCTTTCAAGAACTATTCTTGGGTATATTTTATCATTTCTTTATTTTAGTATCTATGAAGGGAACATTATAGAAGCCATGTTAACACTGGAGAAATGTCTAATATTAAAAAACCAGTACTCTAGCAAGTAAAATTATGTATGTGTGTAACCTCGTTCCTACATCCAGGAAATCATTAAACTAGTAGGGGGTTGTATTAATTAGAACTCTCTGTTGCAAACAACAGACAGTCTGGATGATTTAAAAGGAACAGAAATGTATTAAGAGGATATTGGATAGTTCACAAAACCTCCAGGAGGGCTGGAGAGCCAGGCTGGATGCTGTGCCACTGACACAACATTCAAAACTCACAGATTCTTCTGCTGCCATCCACTATGCTAGCTACCAGCCATGCATGGCCATGCAGCACTTGATGTGTGCCTGCCCAACTGAGATGTGCTGCAGGTGCACAATACTCACTGGACTTCGAAGACTAAACGTGAAGAAAGGACATAAAATCTCACTCAGGTTAAAATGATATCTGCACACACTGGGTATTAAGTAAAATACATTGAAATTAATTTCACTTGTTTCTTTTTGCTTTTTAAATGCAGTTACTAGAAAATTTTACATTACCTGTGGGAAATTGGCTCCACATCATTTCCTCTGTTTTCTATTGATCGAATTGAGTCCTAAGGCCACATCTGATATTTGGGGGAAAGGAAATATACATCACCTCCAGATGGGGGCAGCCCCCCATGCAGGGATGGGGAGCTGCCCGAGGCTGTTTTTGGAAACATCTGTGGTCCCCAACAACAGTGCTTCTGGCCTGTTTTTTCACATGGGGCTCCGCGTCTGTGGCTGACTCAATGCTGGGCTTGAGGTGGGGGTGACTGTCACATGACAGATTAGGTCAAGCCTCCATCGTGCTCAGGGTTTATGAGACAGATCACAAGGGCCTCTGGGGACTGCCTGTCGCTTGTGGTCCTGGGGAACCAACCCCATGGTCAACTCCACCTCTGAACCTCTCCTGCAAGGGGCAAGAGCATCCTGGTAACCTTGCCCATCCTGACACCTGCTGTGGTAACTCATTCCCTGCTCTGGCACTTGAGCAACCCCTCGGCCCCACCATCCCAGGACTTCACAACCTGCCGCCGCCAGGGAGCCCTTTTTGCAACCACAGTGCCTGGCAGCAGTGACATGGCTTGCAGAAACACATCCTTGCTATTCAGTTGCACTTGCCAACGAGGCATCTTCTGGGGTCTTGTCGGGGAGATCACTGGGGGATGGCCAGCTGTTTTCATAGGAAAAGTCTGTCTGGTTCTTCATCTCCGTATTTGTCCTCCACACTGCTCACTGCATTTCTGCATCCTGGCTTTGTGTGGGGCATGCTGCTGTGGACTCCAGCATCTGTCAACCCAAATGCAAAGGCGGAGCCCACCTCGGCTGCAGGAACTGCCACACTGAAGTGCTCTACCCATGCTTCAGCTGCCTCCAGAATCCATTCCCATATGGGCTAACCAGATGTGTGCAGCTAATCAACAGTTAGCATTTCTGTCTTTGGATAGTAAGGACTTCTGCTTCCAGACTTCAGATCTCTCCTTAGGTAGCAGCTCTGACCCAAGGTTAGGATTCCAGGACTCAGTCAGCTCCTGGTATTCCTTAGCACCCCTTTTTTATTTTATTTTATTTTATTTATTTATTTTTTTGAGACAGAGTCTCTCTCTGTGGCCCAGGCTAGAGTGCAGTGGTGCTATCTTGGCTCACTGCAACCTCCGCTTCCCGGGTTCACACCATTCTCCTGCCTCAGCCTCCCGAGTAGCTGGGACTACAGGTGCATGCCACCACATCTGGCCAATTTTTGTATTTTTAGTAGAGATGGGGTTTCACCATGCTGGACAGGCTAGTGTCGATCTCCTGACCTCGTGATCCACCTGCCTTGGCCTCCCAAAGTGCTGGGATTACAGGTGTGAGCCACCACACCCGGCCTAGCACCCCTTTTTAAAACAAAAAGTTTTTATCATGGTAATATATACAAAACATAAAATTTACCATTTTGAGCGGGCACAGTGGCCTATGCCTATGGTCCCAGGTACTTCAGAGGCTGAGGCAGGAAAACTCTGTGAGGTTGGGAGTTGGAGGCTGCAGTGCACTATGATGGCACCTGTAAATAATGACTGCACTCCAGCCTGGACGACATATCAAGACCCCATGTCTTTTTTTTTTTTTTTTTTGAGACGGAGTCTCACTCTGTCTCCCAGGCTGGAGTGCAGTGGCGCCATCTCAGCTCACTGCAAGCTCCGCCTCCTGGGTTCACGCCATTCTCCTGCCTCAGCCTCCTGAGTAGCTGGGACTACAGGCATCTGCCACCATACCTGGCTAATTTTTTTGTATTTTTAGTAGAGACGGGGTTTCGCTATGTTAGCCAGGATGGTCTCAATCTCCTGACCACGTGATCCACCTGCCTCGGCCTCCCAAAGTGCTAGAATTACAGGCATGAGCCACCATGCCCGGCCAAGACCCCATCTCTTAAAGAAAATTACCATTTAAACCATTTTAAGCATACAGGTCAGTGGCATTAAGTACATTCACATTGTTGTACAACCATCACCACCATCCATCTCTATAACTCTTTGTACCTTCTCAGACTGAAACCCTGTACCCATCAAGCGCTAACTCCTCATTCTCTCCACCCACCACAGCCCCTGGCACCCACTATTCTACTTTCTGTCTCTGTGAACTTGTCTTCCCTAAGTACCTCATATTAATGAAACCACACAGTATTTGTCGTTTAGTGACCAGCTTATTTCCCAGAGCATCACGGCCTCCAGCTTCATCCATGCTGCAGCGTGTGTCAGAATTTCCTTTCTTTTTAAGACTGAATCATATCCATTGTATGGATGTAGCACACTTTCTTTATTCATTCATCCTCTGATGGACACTTGGGATGCACACTCGGCTTGCTTCTGCCTCTTTGCTGTTGTGAATAACGTTGCTGTGAACATGGGTGTGCAAATATCTCTCGGGGACTCTGCTTTCAGTTCTTCTGGATATACTCAGAAGTGGGACTGCTGGATCATATGGTGATTCTATATTTAATTTGCTGCAGAACCACCATCCTGTTTTCTGCCGTGGCTGCACCCTCTTACATTCCCACCTGCAGTGCACAACACAGCACTCCTCTTTACCCAGTGTCATCACCTCCCTTTCTCATTTTCCTTGGCAGCTTTTCCAAAACATTTTTCAATTTCCCTCGGCTTCTCTCCTATCTGCATACTCTCCCCTCCTGTGCCCCAAACCCCACCCGGTCCAGTAGCCAATCAGCTGCATAGCAAGAGGCCTGCCAGCATGAGTGGTCTCCAGCGAGATCATGATTTACCTTGATCTTAAAGCTTTGTGTCACCCTTTCCCTCCAGATGTCCTAAAACTGACACCAGCCAATTGCAAAGCCAATTGGTGTGGAACTTTAGGAGTTAGGTTCCTGGCACAGCTTCGCCTCCCCCAAGTAGCTCCATCCATGGCACCTTCTGCTGCCTCTCAAAACTCCTCCTTCTTTTTCTGGAGGAAAACCTACAATTCAAGATCTCCAACAGAAATTGAACTAACTAGGTACCAGCATGGCCTATTTCTCCAACTTCAAGTTAACGTCAACCAAACTCATCTGGAATGTTGAGACCGAAAAACATCTAGGAAAATCTTCACAGTGGTGAGAAGGGCGTTGGATATTTGGAGACGGAGAACAAAGAAGACTGATTTTCAAGTGAGAAAGGCATCTACATTGACTGATAGCAGCTGTGACTCTTTCAGGACAGAGGCTGTTGCTGTAAGCACTGGATGATACTGGAGTGACATGACAGGCCTGAGGAGCCCTCCCCTAGTCATTCAGATTCCTGGAAGTCTCTACAACAGGAGCTGGCCCAAGACCAGGTTGATGTTGGCAGTGACATTGCCATCTCTGTAGGATACTAGAGTGTAGCCTCTTGTCTTTGCTTCTCAGAGGTGAAACAAGTGGAGTGACTCAGACTGCCAGGTTGTGCCAGCTGGGGTCCAGGTTCGAAGGAGCTGAGACCTGTGAGGCTGTTAGGAACAACACAAAGGGCGTTCCTCATCCTGAGGACCAGGAGGAGAGGCACGCAGGACCCACCACTTGTCAGCAGAAATGACAGCATGAACACTGTGGACGCCACTCATATTTTGTTCGTTTTTTCCATCAAGGAGCATGAACTTCAAATAGTGGAGGGCACTGCCAAGAGGAAACTGATGCCTACGGAGGGAGGCAAGTTAGTTGCAGAGGGAATTTATCTCTGCAGGCCTTGGCAAATTACAGTCCAGCATTTTGAGTGAATCTCTGTTGATAACACCTGAGCCTGACCTGGTGAACCTTGGGCAATGACAGAGCAGTTGCTCTCACTGCGGGGGACAGAGAATCATCTGCCTGTATTGCTGAACAACACGGGTCCACCTCCTGGCCGCCAGGTAAGACCTCCAAAGGAATAAGAGACTCCAGGAAGCCGAGGAGGACCGGGTTTGAGCCCTTCCTGCTTCGTTATGAGGGAGCTGAGCCCATTCCCGTTTGAGAGGCTGTGCTACTCTTCTTTGAGCTCCACCACTCCATAGCAGGGGGCACATCAGTGATCAGTTAATCCAGTTTTTGTATTGTGGTAAAATATGCATAACAAAGTTTACCATCAAAACCATTTATTTATTTTTTTTAGATAGAGTCTTGCTCTGTCGCCCAGGCTGGAGTGCAGTGGCGCAATCTCGGCTCACTGCAATCTCCGCCTCCTGAGTTCACGCCATTCTCCTGCCTCAGCCTCCCAAGTAGCTGGGCCTACACGCGCCCGCCACCACGCCTCGCTAATTTTTTGTACTTTTAGTAGAGATGGGATTTCACCATGTTAGCCAGGATGGTCTCAATCTCCTGACCTCGTGATCCGCCTGCCTCAGCCTCCCAAAGTGCTGGGATTACAGGCGTGAACCACCACACCTGGCTTTTTTTTTTTTTTTTGAGATGGAGTTTCACTCTTGTTGCCCAGGCTGGAGTGTAATGGCACAATCTTGGCTCACTGCAACCTCTGCCTCTCAGGTTCAAGTGATTCTCCTGCCTCAGCCTCCCAAGTAGCTGGGATTACAGGCACCTGCCACCACGCCTGGCTAATTTTTTTATTTTTTTTTAGTAGAGACAGAGTTTCACCATGTTGACCAGGCTGGTTCTGAACTCCTGGCCTCAGGCGATCCACCCACCTTGGCCTCCCAAAGTGCTGGGATTACAGGTGTGAGCCACCACACCTGGCCCATCAAAACCATTTTTAAGTGCACAGTTCCGTGGCATTAAGTACATTCATGCCATGTACTGCCATCACCACCATCCATCTCTTAACTGTTCTAGGGAGTTCATATTAGTGGAATCATACCATATTTGTCCTTTGGTGATGGGCTTATTTCACAAAGCATAACGTCCTCAAGTTTCATCCATGTTGTAGCATGTGTCAGAGTTTCCTTCCTTTTCATGGCTGAATAATATTCCATTGCAGGCATGTAGCACGTTTTGCTTATCCAGTCATCCATCAATGGACACTTGGGCTGCTTCCACCTCTGGCTGTTGTCAACAGTGCTGCTGAGCACTCGGGTGCAGGTACCTGTTAGCGTCTGAGGTTGTTGGGGGAGGGGGGCGGTCATTGTAAAGGCACTTGTTCATTCCTACCATTGAAGGAGCTCCTGGAACTCTTGGATGCAGGGCCCTAATATTTCTCGATTGCCATGCACCAAATGCTGTGTGAAGTCCTTTTCTATATATGATCTCATGTAATTCTCCAAACAAGCCCAAGGATTGGTGGGGGTCTCGTTTTACTTTACAGATAAGGCTCAGGTTGGAAACTTGCCAAGGCTGTCTTGTGGGAAGGGACAGACCCTCATGGCAACCGAGCTGGGCTGAGCCAAGACCAGTCTTGGGTGTGTCAGACTTCCCTGCCCATCGAGTGAGTCTTCTGCAACCTTTGTAAAGTGCAGGCTCTGTCTCAGCAGGTCCAGGGCCTGAGATTGCATTCCATAAGGCCCCTGCCAGGTGACACTGACTCTGCTGTGGGACAACACCATGAGCAGCAAGGTCCTGTCACCACTGCTCTTGGGACCGTCTTCCCTGTTCACTCAGACTTGCTGGGGTGCAGCCACAGCTTTCCAAGCAACAGAGAGACCCAGGAAAGGAGTCCTTTGTGTGGCTGAAAACAGTGCCTCCCCAAGCCCACATCATCTTTACCTGCAACTGCCAAGGCCACATGGAGAGGCTTGCCCTTGGCCCTACAAATGAGCTCTTCACAAGGGGCGATACTAAGCTCCCGGGCCCACAGCACATCAATTCTGTCAGATAAAGGATGAACTCACATGTGCTTGGTTGAAGGGTTGTTAAGAAGTCTTTTGAAAGCACCAGGATTTTTAGGTAGCAAGTTGGGACAGGGGACCCCCTGAAGACAAGGCGAATGAACTGAAAAACCGCAAATTGTCCCTGGGCCAGAAAGAGCCCTCTGTTCCCTTTGGGGTCCTTGGAGATGCTCGGAAGGCTCTGGTCAGGGCCATGGGAGCTGGACGTGGCCATTGCAGGACATTCAACAGGATGACCAGGCTGGGCACTAGGCCTGCTGGTGTATGCTGCAGACACTTTGGATGACTCTTGGCAAGGGAGGTGGACTCTCTCTTGTGTTTTCCCCTTCTTTTCCTTGTATTGCCTCACAAAATGCTGCTGCGGGGGTTCTTTAGGGATCTCCTGGCCCCTCCTCTCATTCTCACAGATGTAGCAACGGACGCGCCTGAGGGTGAGATCACCTATCCGGCAAAACAGACCAGACTTGGACTTGTTCCTAACTCTGAGCGCAGGGCTCTCTCCACTCCATAACCAAGGGGCTTTGGAGGGTCAACTACGTTTAAACTGTCAGGCAGCACAGCATAAGGTCAAGGCCAGGAGACTTGGAGTCAGACAGTTTTGGGTTCAAGTCCTCCTGCTAACACTATGTTATCTAGGGCAAATTACTGAACCTCTCTGGGCCCCAGCTTATTGAAGTTTAAAATGGGAACAATGATACCTAGAGTGGGAAACAGTGGGTGGAACCTATGAGCTGCAACAGGGAGCTTGGAAGGATGTGGTCAGGTAGTGGAGGAAGCAGATGCTGCAGGTGGGGCCCTGGAGGAGTGGGAGAGCAGGAACAGGGCAGCCTCCATGAGGACAGTGGGAGGTTGATTTCATGGCTCAGCTTCTTAAAAATCAGAGCATGGTGGTTCTAGCACCAGCTTGGTGCCAGGCAGACCAGACTGTGAATTCCGGCTCCCCCATTGTGTGGCCTTGAGCAACTTGTCTAATGCCGTTAAAATTTAGTTTCTTCGGCCGGGCGCGTTGGCTCACGCCTGTAATCCCAGCACTTTGGGAGGCCAAGGCGGGCGGATCATCAAGTCAGGAGCTCGAGACTAGCCTGGTCAACGTGGTGAAACCTCGTCTCTACTAAAAATACAAAAATTAGGCCGGGTACGGTGGCTCACACCTGTAATCCCAGAACTTTGGGAGGCCGAGGTGGGCGGATCACAAGGTCAAGAGATCAAGACCATCCTGGCCAACATGGTGAAACCTCATCTCTACTAAAAATACAAAAATTAGCCAGGCATGGTGGCGCGCGCCTGTAGTTCCAGCTACTCAGGAGGCTGAGGCAGGAGAATCGCTTGAACCCGGGAGGCGGAGACCGCAGTGAGCCGAGATTGATCCACTGCACTCCAGCCTGGGTGACAGAGCAAGATTCCATCTCAAAAAAAAAAAAAAAAAAAAGAGCAGCGAAAGAGACAAAAACATGGTATAGAGGTAGTTAAATTAATCACCTAGGATGTTTTAGGGTAGGGAGCCAGGAAACAATGCTGTCTTTATTATTATTATATATTTTTTGAGACAAAGTTTCACTTTGTCTCCCAGGCTGGAGTGCAGTGGTACGATCTTGGCTCACTGCAATCTCCGGGGTTCAAGGCGTGAGGTTCTCACGCCTCAGCCTCCCAAGTAGCTGGGACAATAGGCGTGCACCACCACACCTGGCTAATTTTTGTATTTTTAGAAGAGACGGGGTTTCACCATGTTGGCCAGGCTGGTCTCGAACTCCTGACCTCAGGTGATCCACCCGCCTTGGCCTCCCAAAGTGCTTGGATTACAGATGTGAGCCACCATGCCCGGCCAGTGCTGTCTTTAGTAAAAGAAAAAATAAAAGTAATTCTTGTGGTTAAAAAAGTAGAAAATGGTATATCTATGCCAGGTTCCAAGAGGATATTATAATAAAAGGGAGGGAGAGTTGAGCCCCAAACAAAAGATGAAAAGCGATCGCTGAATTGATGGCATCCCTTTACATTTAAGAAGCAGGTCTGCATAAGCAAGAGGGGCTTTGGGAGAAGAGTAGGGAGCAAACTCGAGTTCTTTCAGGGCACAGTGGGGAAAAGTAAAGAACAGGGGAAGCAATGAAGGTGAACAGGAAGCCCCACAGGAGGAAAAGCGAGAGAGAGGCAAACAAGAACGCTTCCTTCGGGAGAGCCAGATGGGTGGGATGGGGAGGGAACCAGCAATTCCAGTGAGGGCAGGAGGAAATAAATCATGAGAAAAACATTCAAGGTAAAACCAACTGGGATTTTTTTCTGAGAGCAGGAGAGGATGGAATGTGTGAAAATATGTCAGTGTTAAAAACACAGGGGTTGGCTGGGTGCAGTGGCTCATGCCTGTAATCCCAGCACTTTGGGAGGCCGAAGTGGGAGGATAGTTTGAGCCCGGGAATTTCACACCAGCCTAAGCAACACAGTGAGACCCCCATCTCTATTTAAAAAAAAAAAAAATTAGCCAAGCATGTTGGTACACAACTGTGGTCTCAGCTACTTGGGAGGCTGAGATGCGAGGATTGCTTGAGCCCAGGAGTTCAAAGCTTCAGTGAGCTGTGATGGCACTACCGCACTCCAGCCTGGGCGACAGAGCAAGACCTTGTCTCTAAAAGAGAAACAGAACAAAAAACCTGGTGGGGACATGTGTTGGAAAGCAGGAACTCAGGAGGGATAAGGAAACAAAATGAGGGGTTGGACATCTCATTGTCTGGATGTGGTGATTTGGTTGAGTTTCAGTTCTTTGATAGTTTTTGAGAGGCCTGGGAGGTCATTTCCTGAGGAAGGAACTCAGATAAAACAAATGTAAGTTTCAAGTTTCAAGACCAGATGGGTCAATTTCTATGTTTATCCAAAAGAACTGTCTATGGGACTACTGGGTCTGATTCAGAAGGGCATCATCGCATGGCAGGCAAAGCATTCAATTCATGCTCTGCTGCTAGACCAAGGGCTCCTCCCAGCTGATGCAAACTGGCAGTTCAAATTATTATTTGAAAAATAATTTTAATAGTTCTATGCCTTCTCCAAACTGTTGCCCTCTCATAATAAGAGAAAAAGGAGCAGCCTAAACGACCTGACAGGTGACTGATAGGTGTCCCAGAAAGCGACAACAGAGACCACACAGAAGAGGAAATGCGCAGAGGAGTGAAAGCTTAGAACTTTCAGACCTGGGTTTTGTCCTGAAGGGCAACAGGGTGTCCACCTGCTGCCAATGGTACTCTGTCCTTATGCTCATCTTGGTGCATGTGGAGGCAGGGAGTGTTCCAGGGTTGGTTCCTAAAATCAGAATTGTGGGGTTGTAGGACACCTCGCCTCACACACACACACACACACACACACACACACACACACACACACACACACCACGTCTATGGAATTTTCAGAATATTAAGTGCAAAGAGCCTATGAAAAGTCCCTAGCAAGATAAAAAGCAAAAGTCAGAAATTAAATAAAGTTGAAACAACAAAAATAAGTCCTTTACAAGGGAATGAGAATCAGGCTGGCATCCACCTCCTCATGACGAGCATCGAGACCCTAGGAGACTCTCCAGCTTCTGGAGCAAAATCACTGTTTTTTTCCTTACAGGATCTAACAGGCACGAAGGGGGCCTCATTTTAATCCCAGTTCTGTCCAATCTTGATTTCATTTATTTAATTAGTTGCTTTAATTTTTAATATTTTGGGGCTTTATTTTTATTTATTAGACTTGTTAAAATTGTTTTCTTCAGTGAATTTCTTCAGGGCCCTAATACTTAGCTAAGCGTAGAACTATTAAAAATATTTTTCAAATAATAATTTTTTTAGATAACAGTAATAAGAGTTCACTTCTTAAATTTCCAGTCAAACTTATATATATCATTGATTTCCATCCTCTACTCAATACAGCACACTATTTTTTCATACAATTTTCCCACAACCTGCCATCAGATGTTCCTTCCTCCATGCCACCTCACTCTGATTTTGAGAAAGCTGATCGTTTTTATTTAAAGCTTTGATATTTTGTTCATCATGGACCTTTTGCATTAATTCTGAGCTTTAAAATAAATATTGTGAGACCCTGATCTCTACAAAAAATAAAAAAGTAAAATAGTCAGGCATGGTGGTACACGCCTGTAGTCCCTGCTACTCCAGAGATGAGGCGGGAGGATTGCTTGAGCCTGGGAGTTTGAGGCTACAGTGAGCTGTGATGGCACCACTGCACTCCAGCCTGGACAACAGAGCAAGATTCTGTCTCTTAATAAATAAAATAAAATAAAATAAAATTTAAAAATAAAAATAGATTAATCTTGTACTAAAATAGGAATCCTCTGCATATTTTTGGTGTCCTCTCCTTTTACATTTTGTGTCTCATCACTGCTCCCTCTGTTTTAGTCCTGCCCCTGATTAGAAGCTTCTAGTTTTAATGGATTTTATGTATTTTTCTTTTGTAGTTAGTTTTCCTATCATGTTAAAAACATCCTGGAGACTGATCTGAGTAATAATAAAACTCCAGTCTTCTGTACAGCCAGCTCTGCGTGCATTACTCTTTCTCTATTGCAATTCCCCTGCCTTGATAAAATCGGCTCTGTCTAGGCAGTGGGCAAGGTGAACCCATTGGGCAGTTAACAAATTTGGGAGCTTGTCCCGGATTGCCCCTGTGGCTACCTGCCCATGGTTTGGTAGCCCCCTCCAGCAATGGATCCGGAGGCCAGCCCAAGAGGCCTCCTAGTTCTCTTGGACTAGGGGCTGGCTCTGGTACTGTCTACTGGTGGGGCACTGCTGACCCAATGTGCATGGATTTAATTGCAATACAGAAATAGTCCTGGGAAGATGTCCCTTAACTATAGCCCTATCACAGGGTATCTGTCTGTAACCTCATGGTGGGGTGTCTGTAGCCCCATTGTGGGATGTCTGTTTGTAGCTCCACCACCGAGTGTCATCTGTCTCAGTTTGTCTCCTGGGGAGGTCTCAGTTGGCTCTCCCTAACTAGTAGGAAGAGTCTTGGTTCAGGAGACTTCTCCTGAATCAGGAAGATCTGAGGAGATTTCTCAGATGGAATATAGGAGGATAGTTTGGGAGGGATAATCTTGGAGTTCTTGGTTAGGGATCTGATTTGGAAGGCCTTCTGTCTGTCTCATTTTTGTGTGTGTCTGTGTATGTGGAGGGGATCTCAGAAGGAACTGCTGATGGAAATCTAGCAGTCCTAACTCAGAGGACCCTCCTAATTTGTCTGGTCACAATTAGTAAGCCCTGAGGAACAGGCCTGTCTTTTGGTAAGCGCAACAGGCCTGTCTCAGGGTGACTATCTGCTCTTTGCTTTGCCCAGAGACCCCATTGTGAATTACCATCCTGAGGTCATCCCTCCCCACCTGGAGTGGATCAAAGACAACAGAGACCAATCAGAAGAAGTTTGAGCTTTGCCAGGTTGATATTGGGTGCTGAATGAGGTGACTAGTGTCTGTTTTGTTATGTATATTTTGCTGGGATAGAAAATGTTCATTTGGTTTCCCATGCAGCCCATTGGTCAACACCTTGCAAAATTGAGAATCTTTTACCTACATTTCCATAAAACAGAAAAGGGTGATTTTCTTTTGTAAAGTGGCTTGAACCCTACAGCTATGGCACAGGGAGCAGGGTCATCAAAAGCCAGTCTGTTGTTCTGGAATCTACAGAGAAAGGGAACCTGGAAACCTGGTATGCCAACAAAAAGGGTAGGAAATTCTTGCCAGCCAAGTTTCTGGTTTCTCTCTCTCTGTCTGTGTAAATGTTAAACATTATGATTTGTTTCCTCTGCAAGGGTTTGATTAATAGAAAAAAGGATTTGTGTGACTAGTCTTAGGCTGTAGCAAATCTGCTGTACTTTGTGCTAAGAATTTGTCTTTCTGTGTTGTTCTGTAATGGAGAGAGGAGTATCACAGGATAGAACGTGGATTTAGGACCCCTATTAGGCTGCTTTTCAAGCTAGCCTGGCAGGCTGGTCAGTTACAAACTTTGCTATGGATCCCTGAAACCAATACCAGATGAGATTTCTCTGTCTTGTTTTGTATCCTTAACCTTGTGACCATGTGGGGATACTTCTTGGTTTCTGCCATCCAGAGGACAGCAATTTTGGGGTTCATGTCATAGTTAGCCCTAAAAGTTATCTTGAGCAGTTAAGAACCTTTGCAGGAATGAAATTGGCTGCCCTAGACTTCTTCTGGGAAGAGCAATAGAAACGGCTCAATGCTGTGTAGCTCAGTAGCTAAGGGTTTGTCTTTTCACAATGGTGGCCCAGGTTCAATTCTTGGCTTCTGGAGTGAATACTTTCTGGTTTGTTATTTATGTAACTTTGTCATTTATTAAGGTTCCCCACCCCCACAACCAAGAAATAACTTCTGATTCCTTGTCTTGGATAGATTTTCCTTTCTCTAAACCACGTTTGCGGAGATTTGTAAAAAAAAAAAAAAAAAAAGAAAGAAAAAAAAAGAAAAAAGCAAAGAAATAAACTGCTTACCATCACTTTGAGACACCTTATGTGTCCATGGGTAAGTTATCATATACCTTAGTTAAAACTTATTAATTTCATGTGGGAAGTTATCTGTGGTAGAATTTAAAAGCCAGAAATATTGGCTGTCCTGGCTAGAGTCTGGTAATAAGAGATTTAAAAAGATTTTTTTTTAAGAAAAAAGAGCTCTATGGTTAAAATCAGTTTAGTTAAAAACTGATATACAAGCTATATGTATTTAAAAGGCCTTTATATTTTTTCTCTTCTTGAATTGCATTTTTCTGAAAATATTTTTTCTTCTCAGTACACTGAATTGTTCTTCTCCGTTTTGTCTTCTTGCCACTCTTGATGCCCATATGAGAAAACCTAAGATAATTACTAACAGCCTGGGACTCCTGGGGAAAATCAGAGGCAGCACCACAAACCCCATTCTGGGAAAACCTCTGTTATTCTCACAGAAGCCCAGGAATTGAAAGAGAATATATCCCTCTCAAAATCTAAGGCTCTGTTCTGTTTTGCATTGTATTAGCTGACAGTTTTGACTTTTGTGGGTATCAGAAATTACTCCGCATTACGAGAGAAACTTAGTGTGTAATAACTAGTTAGGAAATATACTTTTGGGGATGGTTAATGGCAGTTATGGGGGGATACTCAGCTCTTTGATATTTCAGTTAGAGAAGCAAGCTCTTGGCCACCTAGAAAATATGGAAACATCCCCAGCCCCCAATGAGAGATGAGACTATCATGGGGGATGGGCTGATTACATAATGGGCTGATTGGCTTTGCGTTGCCTTGAAACAAAATGCATGATAGAAGCACTGCACTATCTTCTCCCGTAGTATTTCCCTCCTTTTTGGGGATCCGGTATTATGTATAAAAGGGCACCCTTAATTTTGGGGATCTTTCTTCCAGCTGTGCCTGCTTATTAGGCCCTAGAAACTGCATGCTTTCCTGGACCTGTTCCTCCAAGGGCTCCACCCTGAAGCCAGTAATCCAATTAAGAAACTGGCAAATGAGAAATCTTACAACTACTGGATCTTCTGAGTATTTATATGTGTTGTGTGTGTGATGTTTATATAAAAAAAGCTGGGCCAGGCGCAGTGGCTCACACCTGTGTTCTCAGCACTTTGGGAGGCTGAAGTGGGCAGATCACTTGAGGTCAGGAGTTCAAGACCAGCCTGGCCAACATGACGAAACCCTGTCTCTACTAAAAGTACAAAAATTAGCTAGGCATAGTGGTGGGTGCCTGCAATCCCAGCTATTCAGGAGGCTGAGGCAGGAGAATCACTTCAACTCGAGAGGTGGAGGTTGCGGTGAGCCGAGATCATGTCATTGCACTCCAGCCTGAGTGACAAGAGCAAGTCTCCATCTCAAACAAACAAACAAACAAACAAAAAAACAACTGATTAATTGGCTTGGAAAAATAAGCACTAAATCAAATATTTTGTCAGAAAAATAGAAATTTAATGTATTTTGTTCACGTGACTTTAGTAATCTTTTAAAAATACAGTTTTAAAGATTATTGGTAAAATAAAATGTCTTCGAAATGTAGAAATTTAGAAATGTTCTAAATTAAGGTCAGATATCAGATTTGCTAAATGCTTTAAGGTCATAAACTGCTTCCTTGACTTTTGAAAATTGTTCAATTTACCTACTTTGGAGCATTAGACTCTAGATAAGGCCTGGGAACATGTGGAGTTAGTCATTCCCCCGCTAGTTATGCTGGAAAGAGTCAGACCTTATCTTCACTTCGTCTGATAGCCTGGGCTCCACCCCTAGTACATAATTAAAATGGCTTACTTATCAGGTTTTTCACCAAAAATAAAAGTTGCTAAGAGTTACATTGTAACATATAATCGAGACTACTGGAGAAACAGTTTTACATACAATGTGTAGGGAAAATAGAATGTGTTTTTGGTAAAAGATTACAAGAAGGCATGGGAATATGATTTTTGTTAAAGGGAATGTAATTTTGTCTAATTCAGAGGGTTTTAAAAATTGTCTTAACCTAAAAGAGTAGTGGGACAAAACTGAAGGTTTAAGCAAGGTGAAAGGGGTTTGTGAAGGGTTGGTCTTGTAAAGAAAGTTCAAGACCAACTTGAGCAACGGTTGAGCAAGTTGGCTAAGATTTGAAGGGGATTATTTAATTCTGAACATTAAAATGAAAGCACACTAACATAGGGGGCCATAATTGGGGCCCATGTGTCCAAACAACAGGGGTTTCTTAGAAAATTCATCTGCTGTTTAACAGAAAATTGTAAAGGGTTCTAAAAGGTTTATGAAAATTTTACTTTATGGTCACACTAATTGAAACTGTATAGATTTATAAAATTTTATTTAAAAACTAGCCTTAGCATTAAAAAGGCACTAATGCAAAAATAAAATTTGGTTTTCTCTTTTGAAAATATTTTTATGTAATATTAAAAGATAATGAAAGGTTTTTGTTTGCTCCTTTGGGTAAATGGCAGGGAAAAACGGGAGGTGAGAGAAGAGACAGACTTTGTTGGCTTCATGCTGCCCTCATTGGGTCTTGTTGTTTGGAAAGCTGAGTCTCCTACCAGAGTAAAGGTTTTTCTTTTTTTAAAATTTTTGAGGTACCATTTTAACTAAATGAATGACTTACGGTGATGTGAGATTCTATTTTGTGATATCTAGTGTTTTACACCTCTGATATTTGATAAACCTTACAGGATCAAATTCTAAATTTAAAAAGTAATTGATTAGGTTCCCTAAAGTCCAAAAAGACATTAGGCTTATTTAATGTATCAAAACCATACAGGAAACATTATTGAATATAAGATGGTGTTTAACTTTCTTTGGGTTATATTCATATAAATATGTTATTAGTATGTGTTACAAAATTGTATAAGATTCCTATAATTCTAATATGGTTCAGTATATATTGTCAGTAAGAATTATAATTGTTATGTTAAATTATTGTGTGCCACAGAAGTAACAAATTTCCTTGTCAATTGTGTCTTTGACTGTGGCTGCCCTAAAATGTTTTTGTCATCCACAGACAATTGTTGTCCCATTTTGGTCCTCTTGAGAAGATGGTTTTATAATCAGTTACAAAACTTTTGACAGGTGCTCTTAAATGCAAGTTTCTGTTAACTTTGGAGATTATGACATTAGAATAAAGGAAAAAAACTGTCAGGACTCTCATGGAGAGCTGAAATGTTCATGAATATCAAGTAGAATAGGAGTTAAATGAATGGACTGAACTAATAGAAAATTGAACTAATATTTTTTTTGCTTTTTTTGCTCAAAATGCTGGCGATCCTTTTTTGTTTTCCAGAGCCAAGAAAACTTTTCTATTTACAGCTTTTTTTTTGGAAACGCTTTTTTTTTTTTTCAGACCCTACAGTTGATGGATCAGCTGGCACTACCCAGATTGATAAACTTGCTCATATGATCTTGTGGCCCCCATCCAGAAACTGGATGACTCTGCACGAGACTCAGCACAAGAAGACAGCTTTGACTCCCTGTGATTCCGTCTCTAACCAATCAGCACTCTTAGCTCACTGGCTTCCCCCCACCCACCAAATTATACATAAAAACTCTGGGCCAGGCACGGTGGCTCACGCCTGTAATCCCAGCACTTTCAGAGGCCGAGGTGGGCGGATCATGAGGTCAAGAGATCGAGACCATCCTGGCCAACATGGTGAAACCCCGTCTCTACTAAAACTACAAAAATTAGCTGGGCGTGGTGGCACGTGCCTGTAGTCCCAGCTACTTGGTAGGCTGAGGCAGGAGAATCGCTTGAACCCGGGAGGTGGAGGTTGCAGTGAGGTGAGATCGCGCCACTGCACTCCAGCCTGCTGACAGAGTGAGACTCCATCTCAAAAACAAAACAAAAAACAAAACAAAACAAAACAAAACAAAACAAAACAAAACAAAACCTCTGATCCCTGAATGTTCAGGGAGACTAGCTTGAGTAATAATAAAACTCCAGTGTCCTGCAAAAAAACAAACAAACAAAGAAGACCAAAAAAAAAAATCTGCTTATTCTAAGGTCAAGGAGATAGTCTTTCAGAAGCCTTATTGCTTGCCTTTCGTATTTAGAATTACAATCCATCTGAAATTTATTTTGTGTATAGTGTGACAGTTGAAAATATGTCATTGTGTTGTCTTTTGGCTACCATAGTTTCTTGACAAGAGGTCCATTATAGTCTTTTTTTTTTTTCCTATGTGTAATGTGTTTTTTTACTCAGGCTGCCTTGGAGATTTTCTCTTTGTCTTAGATTTTAATATATGTTTAAATATGATGTGCTTAGGGTGTGTGTGTGTGTGTGTGTGTGTGTGTGTGTGTGTCTTCACACTCCCACCCTGTCCCTGTAGGCCTGCTTGCTTCAAGGTGGTCGGGGACAGGCATGTTCCATGGTTCTGACTGAGATCTTAGGGATCCTGCCTGCCTTGGTTCTGGGTCCAGCATGTCTTCCTGTCTCACCACGGATGGAGGACTTTTTCCATTCCCTTGACCAGGCTGCAGTAGGGCTTCACCAGTACCATAAAGGCCACGGACTGTGTTGCCCTTCCCCTGGAAGGCAAAGCTTTTGCTCTGTGGCAGGAACAGGGTGAGGGAGCAGGGCAGGTTCTGGGCATTTCCCTTGGTGGCCGCATCACCAGGATCCCTTCCTCAGGACTCTATCACAGTTGTGTGAGCACCCAAGTGGAAGGAGGTGGAGAGAGCCTGCAAAGTAGGTCCAAATCCTTCCTAAATCTGCCTGCTCTGGCTAACCCACACTAAGCCTTGTTGGGCAAAAATTTTAGAAGGCCACTGTTTTGAACTAAACTCATGTACAAGTCCCCAGCAGTCCACGCTGAAAATCAACATGGAATCACTCATGCTAAAGCTCCATATCACCAAACCCAAACTAAGTTGTTATCTGACCCTCCAAGAAATTGGAGAGAGATAACAGCCAGTTTTCTGAATAAGCCAGTCTCAATCTCCAGTGGGTGTGACAATGAGGTTTCCTTTCCATTAATCCTCACACAAAAGAAGCAGAACCTGATGGTCACTGATTAGTTATTTTCCTATTGTCCTGACTCCCTGTTCTCCTTTTACAAGAAAAGTAGCTTTAAGATGACTGATACACTCTTTGTTCTTTGTTTCTGCTTTCTTCAACCCTTTGTCTGTTTATAAAACCAAACTCAGCTCATTGGAACACATCCTATTTCATGGAATGGAGTGTTGCCCAATCCTATAGTCACAATAAAGCCAATTGACACCTTGAAGTTAAATGTACTGTAATTTTGTCCTTTGCCCACTGTTAGCAATGCATCATGTATTTTAGCAGAATCCTTACCAGTATCCTGGGGCCTCTGACGCAGGTAAGCAAGTATCTGTGTCTGTCTGTCCTGGGAAGTGACTGTATTTCCTGTAATACCCGGTTATTTGGCTGCCCTCCAATCTCAAATCTCAGATGGGTTCAGGAAAAGTTGTGAAGTTGTAGATTGCTCTGAGTTTGTTTTGTTGTTGTCAACTGAAGAATCATGAGGTTCATACATTTGGAAAGGAGGGCTTTATTTCTCACAAAGGGTTGCAGCCTGCAGGCTAGCCACGCAGTAGGTTTGGAAGCATGGCCTCTGGCAGAGACCATAATAAGCAGGCACTTTGAGAAAGGAACGAGTGGAACAGGAATGTATACCCAACGGGTTGGCTAAGTGTACTTATTTATCAGGTTACAGGAGGAGCTATGAATATTCACAAGGTGGGGCGTGTGCATAGTTAAGAACACATGCGTGTTACATACATCCCATGTTCACTTTGGGCGGAGACTTAACACTCGATGCAGTAAACATTAACTTAATGTTTAAATGCAGTAAAATTAGGCTCTATATGTCAACAGGTAAAACAGAGGACAGAGGCATCCTGTGCTCAGTCTCTGTAAACCAGCCAGATCCAGTCCACTTCGGGTCGGTGGTCTCTTAGCAGAGGGAATGCTGGTCAGTTGTTGTGTAAATCAACAGTGGAGCAAGTCTCTCCAAAGGGCTGGGTTTGGTTTAACCCTTAGGAAGGGAAGTCTAATGGTGGTTAGCAAGGTGGCGTACAGCAAGGCGTGCTGACCTCCCTTCCTGTCCTGGCCCAGAACTCAGTTTTTAAGGTTTCTCTGAGGTCCCCTTGACAAGCGGGGGTCCATTCAGTTAGCTGAGAGCCTTGGGATTTTATTTTTATTTCTCACTGTTGTTGCTGTGGCTCTTATAAGGGGTGGAGGTGAGGGGTGGGGAGTGGGAAAACTGCTCTTTCCAGCCTCCTATATCCCTAGCGGAGCCAGGAGTCCACATCGTTTTTGCATACTTTTTCTTTTCTTTGAGTTTTAACTATCATTTTTGTTTTTTTAATCATACCTATTTTATATTCTTTTTCAGTTTGTCATCCTCTTAAGTACTGGGGGTTCTAAACCTGCTGTCTCCATGTGATCACTAAAACTCTTGGTGTTCATGGCGGGTCATCTATAACCACTTTGGTTTTCAGTTTCCACTTTATTCTTCAAATCTGATAATGTTTGTGATATTGTATCTAGATTTTCTAGAATTTATAGAGAGACAGTATTTCAGTAAAATAGATTATTCTATTGCAGAACCCAGAAGTCCCAGAAAATAGTGTTCAACCTATCAAGTGTGAGGGGAGATTAATAGATAATTAATAGATAGTTTACATCTCATGCATTCTTTCTTAGGAATTCTTGAGGATATTCTCTAACGCAGGGGTCCCCAGCTCCTGAGGCATGGGCCAGTACCAGTCTGTGGCCTGTTAGGAACCAGGCCACACAGCAGGAGGTAAATGGCAGGCAAGTGAGCATTACTGCCTGAGGTCTGCCTCCTGTTAGATCAGCAGGGCATTAGATTCTCATAGGAGTGTGAACCCTATTATGAGCTGTGCAAGCGAGGGATCTAGGTTGCAATCTCCTTATAAGAATCCAATGCCTGATGATCTGAGGTGGAACAGTTTCATCCTGAAACAATCCCCCAACCCCCATCTCAGTCCGTGGAAAAATTATCTTCCACAAAATTGGTCCCTGATGCCAAAAAGGTTAGGGGCCACTTCTCTAACCAGATGAGGGAATAAACCAAGAAAGAGGAAGGAAACAGGGGCTCTACCCCAGAAGAGCATTAAGAAGTCCAAAGGTGACGGTAGTGGACCCGCCTGGAGAGAAAGTCAGGGGCAATCTGAAGTAGGAATGGATGGTCTCCCCAGGGAGGTCTCTAGGGGAGAGGAAGGACCTCACAAATAAATTTTATGATATAGTGCTTGAAAAAGAATTGAAGTTATAATAAAGGCAAATAATGTAAGAAAAAGGGAGACAATAAGGACTTCCAGGGAAAAAAAAGAAGTCCAGAAATTCATGGTTTAAAGAAAAGGTAAGCACAAAGTAAGGCTGCTGACATCCAGCTCACAAGCCCAGAGCTTAACCCTGTTGCCAGTGTGGTTAGGAATGCAAGCAGAGATTTAAGTCAATTGTGCAATGTTATCCAGCTAACCAATTGAAGAACAAAAATCCAATGGTGCAATATCACGATGGGAGAAGAGGAAGTGAGGAGTGGCGGGGTTCAAGGGGTGGGTACTACACCCTTGTTATAATTTCAGGTAACTGCCTGGGTTCAGAGTCAAGAACTAGAGGTGAGTAGAAAGGGAAACAGACACAGTGGGAGTGGCCCGAGTGGGAGGCTGCAGGGAAGTGCAGGCTGCCACTTCCATACTAGGCGCTCTCTTGTAGTTCATGCATTGCCTTGGACGTATATTACTTTCATAAAAATAAAAATGTAGAAAAACCCCATAGTGGGCCGGGCGTGGTAGCTCATGCCTGTAATCCCAGCACTTTGAGAGACCGAGGCAGGCAGATCACGAGGTAAGGAGATCAAGACCATCCTGGCTAAGACGGTGAAACCCCCGTCTCTACTGAAAATACAAAAAATCAGACAGAGGTGGTGGCGGGCACCTGTAGTCCCAGCTACTCGGGAGGCTGAGGCAGGAGAATGGCGGGAACTCGGGAGGTGGAGCTTGTAGTTGAGCCGAGATCACCCCAATGCACTCCAGCCTGGGCTACAGAGCGAGACTCTGTCTCAAAAAAACAAAACAAAACAAAAAAACCCAAAAACAACAACAACAAAAACCCCATACTGTGCAATCCATCAACAGTATTCCCATAGTTACTGTGCATAACACAATGTTACAAAGATAAAGATCCAGAAGCAGAAATAGTGAAAACAAGAGAAGGAAGGAGAGATTTGTTGTGGAAGTAGGGTTGAGAAGATAAAAGGACAGAGCAACAGGAGGAAAGACAAGCCCTACTGGAGACTGCCGGAGAGAGCCGAGCAGGGGGTGATGCAGAGGATGGAGTTGCCTCAAATTCAGGGAAACACTTGGTTGCTTGAGTGTTTTAGGCGCTGGTGAGCCCAGTTTTATATCTGAAAGTGGATTCGATAAGTGCTTTCAGAGGCTGGAAGCCTGAGCAACCTGGATGCCCAGCCATCCTCTAGCTGGATGCTTGACAGCTCTCAGGTGGATCAGGGTGAAATCTCCATCTTCAGTTTCTAACGATCATAACAAAAATCCAAAAGGTGTATAAAGTAGCCTGCCCCCACTCCTGCAAAACCTTAGGAGTGGCACAATGTATATTTTTATTTTATTATTTTTATTTATTTTTTATTTTTTTGAGACAGAGTCTCGCTCTGTCGCCCAGGCTGGACTGCAGTGGCACAATCTTGGCTCACTGCAAGCTCCGCCTCCTGGGTTCACGCCATTCTCCTGCCTCAACATCCTGAGTAGCTGGGACTACAGGCGCCTGCCACCATGCCTGGCCAATTTTTTGTATTTTTAGTAGAGACGGGGTTTCACCGTGTTAGCCAGGATGGTCTTGATCTTCAGACCTCGTGATCCGCCTGCCTCGGCCTCCCAAAGTGCTGGGATTACAGGTGTGAGCCACCGCGCCCGGCTGCCCATGTATATTTTTAAAAGAATTCCGCTTCAAAAAAAAAAAAATGAAGAAAAGAAAAAAACTAAAATAAAAGCATCGCAGAATGTGTCTTAAAAGGAAAAATTCTGCCAAGTTCTCTTTAACCTTTAATCTCAAAATACTCAGATAATTTAATGAGGCGAGAATAGCACTTAGATATTTTTCTCCCTTGACATAACTCTTCGGTAGTTAGGAATAATAATATCAATGATCTAGAGCTATTTTTCTCAAAAGCCTATCATCTGTCAAAACGCATCTGGCAGAGCCTTGGGGGAGAGGGAGGATGAGGAAGGGAGAGGAAGGAGAGCCCCAGCCCATCAGCAGCCTAAGTGCAGGGTGTTCTACTCTCTGCTGTTTAAGAACTTTAAACTTCAGAAGAGGTGGCAAGTAGCAGAGAATAATGGGAGCTACTTAAGTACCTGCTGAGAGAACAAATGTATTGCTGTAAATTATTTAATGAATTGCTTTGTTCTAAGAAACGGCTTTGGGAAGTGGGGTGCTGCAAATGGGTGAGAGGAGCGGATTGCAACGCAGCTGAGAGTCTCATAAAACACTCAGGTCGCTTTAGTAAAGGGAAGGAGCAAGCAGGTGGCAGCAAACAGTGAGCTGCATAACTAAAGAAGAAGAAAGTAACATTTACTGAGCACCACGTGTGTGCAGCACTGTGCTTGGCTTAAGCAAGTGGCTCAGCTGTCTGCTCCCTGGCTGACGAGTCCCCTGGTGGGAGGAAAAAACATCAAAGTGGAAGGAAAGGCAGGCACCTTGAGTTCAGCCTCAGCTCTGCCCTAACGTTATAACTACCGTGATGGTGTTGATGAAAACAGTTGAACTCTGTAAAATATTTAAGGAGATTTATTCTGAGCCAAACATGAGGACCAAGACTTCTGACACAGCCTAAGGAGGTCCTGAGAACGTGTGCCCAATGTATACCTCATATGTATTGATTGATGCCTTATGTCTCCCTAAAATATATAAAACCAAGCTATAACCCATGGAGACATAAGACTTCAATCAATCCGTGTGAGGTATACATTCGGTCCTGAAAGGTGGGACAACTGGAAGGCGGGTGGGGTGGGGGCTCACAGGTGGATTCAAAGATTTTCTGATCAGCAGTTGGTTGAAAGAGTTATTATCTAAAGAGTTGAAGTCAGCAGAAAGAAATGCTTGGGGTTAAGATAAGGCGGCGGTTATGGAAGCCAAGCTTCTTGTTACATAGGTGAAATCTCTAGGTGAACTCCGTTAGAGGCAATAAATAGCAAATGTTTCCTGTTCAGACCTTTAAAAGGTGCTAGACTCTCAGCTAATCTCTTCAGGACTGCGAGGGCCTGGAAGGGGAAAGATCTAGTTATGTGAATAGAGATTCTTTTTCTTTTTCTTTTCTTTTTTTTTTTTTGAGATGGAGTCTTGCTCTGTCGCCCAGGCTGGAGTGCAGTGGCGCAATCTCAGCTCACTGCAAGCTCTGCCTCCTGAGTTCACACCATTCTCCTGCCTCAGCCTCCAAAGTAGCTGGGACTACAGGCGCCCGCCACCACACCCAGCTGATTTTTTGTATTTTTTAGTAGAGACAGGGTTTCACCATGTTAGCCAGGATGGTCTCCATCTCCTGACCTCATGATCCGCCCGCCTCGGCCTCCCGAAGTGCTGAGATTACAGGCATGAGCCACCATTTCGGCGAAGATTCTTTACAGATGAAAATTTTTCCCACAAGAGACAGCTTTGCAGGGTCGTTTCAAAATATGTCAAAGAAATATATTTGGGGGTAAAATGCTTTGATTTCCTTCAGGGCCTGCTATCTGTCATGTGATGTTATACCACAGTCATGCTGGAATTCAGTATCTTATTGCTACAAAATCTGTTGTGTCAGTCTTAGGATCTCTAGTTTAATGTTAATGCTGGTCATCTGTATGTATGCTCCAAAGGGAAGAGGGCATATAAGGAGGCATGTCTAATCTCCCTTCCCATCGTGGAATGAACAGTTTTTCAGGTTTCTTTGGGTCTTTTTGACCGAGAGAGGGGTCCGTTCAGCGGTTGAGGGGAGGGATTAGGTTTTTTTTTTGGTTGTTTTATGTTTCTTTTTTTTTTTGAGACGGAGTCTCGCTCTGTCGCCCAGGCTGGAGTGCAGTGGCGCAATCTCGGCTCACTGCAAGCTCCGCCTCCCGGGTTCGTGCCATTCTCCTGCCTCAGCCTCCTGAGTAGCTGGGACTGCAGGCGCCCGCCACCATGCCAGGCTAATTTTTGTATTTTTAGTAGAGACGGGGGTTTCACCTTGTTAGCCAGGATGGTCTTGATCTCCTGACCTCGTGATCCGCCCACCTCGGCCTCCCAAAGTGCTGGGATTACAGGCGTGAGCTACCGTGCCCAGCCGGGATTAGGTTTTTATTTTTGGTTTACAATGGTAACAGCAAACATCATGGTTATGCATATGGAAAGCTTGCTGTTGACTAGATACAGTTAAAAGTGCTTTGTGTACATCAACTCATCTAGGCTTCACAACTGCATGAGGGAGGCACTGTCATGACCCCGGTTTGCAGATGAAGGACCTGTAAACTACTGTTAGAGTAGGTAGCTAGGTAGACATGAGCAGGGCAGGAGAGGGTCCCCCCAACCCTGCCAAGGAATGTTGGTGGGTGACCATAAGGTGATGGTCAGGTAGTTGTTAAACTGTCTCTCTAAAACAATAATTGGTCGCAGCTGGCACCAGGGAAAGGCACTCTCCCAATGGATAGAAAACACCTGAAGCTGTGATCAAGCCACTTCCCAATAAGATTTCAAGAGTTGGGCAAGTGGACTCAAGCATGTGCATTAAGAGGCAAAACGGTGGAATTTAACCGATATATGACCTTCCTCTAGGAACACTTGACTGGGAAGGGAAAAGTGCCTCAAATGAGCATGCACACAACTTCAGTAAACACATTGCACATACGGCCCTTCCCAAGTGCTGGCAGGCCACTGTGCATGTGGACAACCTACCTCAAGGGAAGAATCAGGGGAGAAGCAATGCAAATCCTGGAATCATGCAATGTAGACAACCCCAAGTTGAGGGCCGAACAGCACACTTGGATCGCTTAGGTCACCTGTTTGACCACCTTCCAGGTATACTTTACTTCCTTTCATTCCTGCTCTAAAACTCTTTATTTTTTTTCCTTTTCTTTTTAAGATGAAGTCTTGCTCTGTTGCTCAGGCTGGAGTACAGTGGCGCAATCTCAGCTCACTGCAACCTCTGCCTCCCAGGTTCAAGCGATTCTCCTGCTTCAGCCTCCTGAGTAGCTGGGATTACAGGCATGCGCCACCACGCCCAGCTAATTTTTTTGTATTTTTAGTAGAGTCGGGGTGTCATCATGTTGGTCAGGCTGGTCTCGAACTCCTGACCTGATGATCCACCCATCTTGGCCTCCCAAAGTGCTGGGATTACAGGCGTGAGCCACCGCGCCTGGTCTTTTTTTTTTTTTTTTTGAAATGGAATCACGCTCTGTCGCCCAGGCTGGAGTGCAGTGGCACAGTCTCGGCTCACTGCAGCCTCTGCCTCCCAGGTTCAAGCAATTCTCCTGCCTCAGCCTCCTGAGTAGCTGGGACTACAAGCACGTGCCACCATGCCCGGCTAATTTTTTTTTTTTTTGTATTTTTAGTAGAGACGGGGTTTCACCGTGTTAGCTAAGATGGTCTAGATCTCCTGACCTCGTGGTCTGCCCGCCCCAGCTTCCCAAAGTGCTGGGATTACAGGTGTGAGCCACCATGCTCGGCCCTGCTCTAAAACTTTTTAATAAACTTTCTCTACTGCTCTAAAACTTGCTTCAATTTCTCTCACTCTGCCTTATGCCCCTTAGAGAAATTCTTCCCTTCAGGAGGCAAGAATCGAGTTGCTGCAGACCCATATGGATTTGCCACTACCAACACTACTAGCCATGAATATAAACAAGCCACCTCATTTCGTTTAAGAAATGTCCTGTGCCTTTGTATGAGATCAGATTTTGTACAAGATAAAACTGTGCATCACGATGCATCTAATCTAATCTTCCCAAGTGTCCTCCAACGAGTGGCCCACCTGGGAATTCATAACTACCTATATGGGGAGCATCTTCTCTCATGTGTCAACACAACCTGCAAAATTAGCCACTTTTTAAGAAAAAAGTAATCCTGGCCGGGTGCGGTGGCTCACACCTGTAATCTCAGCACTTTGGGAGGCTAAGATGGGTGGATCATGAGGTCAGGAGATCAAGACCATCCTGGCTGACACGGTGAAACCCCGTCTCTACCAAAAAATACAAAAAATTAGCCGGGCATGGTGGCGGGCGCCTGTAGTCCCAGCTACTCAGGAGGCTGAGGCAGGAGAATGGTGTGAATCCGGGAGGCAGAGCTTGCAGTGAGCCAAGATCGCACCACTGCACTCCATTCTGGGTGACAGAGCAAGACTCCGCCTCAGAAGAAAAAAGAAAAGAAGAGAAAAAAGTAATCCTAATCCCTTAGTGTTTTTTCCACACTGCTCCTGCTTATAACTAAAGTTTTGTGGGCCTTCTCCTTTTTTTTTTTTTTTTTTTTAAAGACAGAGTCTCGTTCTGTCACCCAGGCTAGAGTGCAATGCTGCAATCTCGGCTCACTGCAACCTCTGCCTCCTGGGTTCAAGCGATTCTTCTGCATCAGCCTCCCAAGTAGCTGGGATTACAGGCACCTGCCACCGTGCCCGGCTAGTTTTTGTATTTTTTTAGTGGAGATGGGGTTTCACCATGTGTTGGCGAGGCTGGACTTGAACTCCTGACCTCAGGTGATCCAAAGTGCTGGGATTATAGGCGTGAGCCACCGCACCCAGCCTTTTTTTTTTTTTTCAGCTGCCAAAGACTTCCAGAGTTTAAAAGAACGCTGGAGACCATCCACGGAAGAGTATGACCCACACGCTCAGGGATAAGTACAGGTCCAGATGTAGTTTGAAACTGAGGAGAGTTGACAGAGGGGATGGAAAGAGAGCAAAGTAGAGCCAGCCAGTATGCTGGCCGAGTACCCCCTGGGGGGCTTCTGAACGGGACCAGGAGCAGTACCCAGTCTCTGGTCTTGTTGCTTCCGGCATCTCTGGAAGTGATGACATGCCTCTGCCATATGGGTAGCTTCAGCTGGGTTGAATCAAGTCTACTTTCCTCTCTACCTTCATTCAGATATTACTGGCCATGGTTCTTACTCCTTTATAGGGTTTGCTTTTGAAGCCATGGTCCTAATGGCTCAGTCTCAGGGAGACTGGATCAAAGAAACTCAGCCTCAGCAACAGAAAAGAAAGTTCAACATAAATTATTGTGTTTTTAGCTCTGTAAACAGGATATTTAACCTGCAGCAACTTTTTTTTTCTTTTTTTTGAGATGGAGTCTCTGTCGCCCAAGCTGGAGTGCAGAGGCGCAATCTCAGCTCACTGCAACCTCCATCTCCCGGGTTCCAGCGATTCTCCTGCCTCAGCCTCCTGAGTAGCTGGGATTACAGGCGCCTGCCACCATGCCCAGCTAATGTTTGTATATATATTTTTTTGAGATGGAGTCTTGCTCTGTCGCCCAGGCTGGAGTGCAGTGGCATGACCTCCGCTCACTGCAAGCTCCGCCTCACGGGTTCATGCCATTCTCCTGCCTCAGCCTCCTGAGTAGCTGGGACTACAGGCGCCTGCCACCACGCCCGGCCAGTTTTTTGTATTTTTAGTAGAGACGGGGTTTCACCATGTTAGCCAGGATGGTCTCGATCTCCTGCCCTCGGGATCCGCCCACCTTGGCCTCCCAAAGTGCTGGGATTACAGGCATGAGCCAGGACGCCCGGCCTAATTTTTGTGTTTTTAGTAGAGACGGGGTTTCACCATGTTGGCTAGGATGGTTTTGATCTCTTGACCTCGTTATCCGCCTGCCTCAGCCTCCCAAAGTGCTGGGATTACAGGTGTAAGCCACCATGCCTGGACAGCAACCGTTTTTAAAACTCTCCTTTTCTTATCAATTTATATTTAGGTGAACACATAGTTCATCATTTAAACCAGGAGGAAGCACTAGTAATACTACTATCATTCAGGGCTCTATTGGAGAAGCAAGCCCACCATGAATGATACGGAGGAAGGAATTTATTGTGGAGCCAACCTCTGCAGTTGTGGGAGCTGATGACCAAGTCCTCACAAGGCTGTTACACACATGGACTGGGGCCTGCAGCTGACACACTGCTGCCTTCCAAAGTGTGCTCACGTTTCTCTTGTGCCAACCCTAACCTGGAAACATACAGGATAAAGAATTCTGGGAAATAAAGCTCCCACTTAGCAAAATTGAAAGGATGCAAAGTCACCAGAACAGAGCACATAGGGCGAGAGTGCCCAGGCAAGCTGGACGGCTGCACCCACCGGTCCCCCAAAGCCCCTGTGGCGCCCTCCTAGGAATTCCTCTCTCAGTCTTTGCCGCCTCCCTGTCTGGCTTACAAAGCCCAAAGAACTGGCCCGAAAAACCTTGTCTGTGAGGGTGCTGAGGGGCAGACTTGGAACTCCGGGAGGCTCAGGCGTCAGCAAGTTCAGTCCCTCTGTGTCGGGATGTGATTGGACAATTCAGGCTGCTGCTGGGCATAAGTGCTGCCTAATTCTCACTGTATGCTTTCACTTTTCCAACTCCCCCTTTATATATTACTTGGTCCATTTACCTAATACATGTGCTCTGTGCTGGGCACTGCCTGCTTTCTGCACTAGACAGGAGGGATTCTGTCTCAGTGGAAGCTGCGTCCTTAGCACTGTGCTTGGCTGTGTTCAGTATGTCTTCTGAATGAATCAGTGAGTGAATGAATGAACCAATAAACACAATGGAGCGCTCTTGAAAAGCAGGGCACCTTTCCGAGGAAGTTCATTGTTTTGTCAATGAAAAGTGGGGAGAACTGTTCCGAAACTCTTGCCCCCAGGCACATGATTCGGGCCTTTGTCACTTTGCAATCCAGGCACACATGGAAGGCAGGGCCCAGCCGACCTGGGGAGACTCAGATACAGTGGGAGTTCTAGCTGTGAATTTCATTCAGGACCTTAATGGCATTTTAAAATGGCTTTTGTATTTAATTATAGATAACATAGGTAAGTATAGGCAAGTGATTACTTAAAGGCATGCAGACACAGGAAATCCGAGAACACTAATAGGTTTTTAATGACCAGTTATTTATTGTATTGCAAGTTTAATTAAATTGCTTCCTTCAAATGCAACACAGTGCTGATTAATAAAAATATGTTTTCTATTTATGTGATATGAATACTTATTATCCCATCATACTTTACAGGCAAAATAAGACTTCATAAATGTGGATGCAAATTATATTTAACTTGTACCAATAGATTAGAGATTCAACTACACTAATCCTGATGCAATTAGGTGAATTTAAAAGGACTTTGAATCAATTTTATTTTCATGAAGATAGTAGTCTTGGAATGATTCTCACACTTTTCTATGGCCCTTATGTTCTTATCTCTATAAAAAGAATGCTTGATTTTAAATTCTGCCACCCCCAATATGGGAAATTGAGCACGCACCCCCCACAGCCCTCCTTTCCCTTGGTTCTGTGCTGAAAGTTGTTTAGAACAGACCCTGAAAATAGGAGACAATCACTTCTGGTAGAGCCACACGGAACCTCTCCTCTCAGATCCTGGAGATCTGAGACCCCTTCACTTGCTCACTTAATCTCCAGGTCTTGCTTGAGACAAAACGCTGGAATATAGAGCAGGGAGGCTGGAGTCTAGCACACACAGGCATTTTTGTGCAATGGCATGTAGCAAATTGTAAATGAAATCCTAGTTGCCCAATAATGCCCCGGTGTCTATCCTGCTGGGGTCTTTAGTAAATAGGAGGCATTGTTTGCCTTCCTGGCAAGCAGCGCTTGTGCTATGAGTGGGTGAGACTGCTCTGGGGGCAACAGTTAGGATGCTGGAAATTACCAAGAGGCCTGATCGTCTCTGAACCACTAACCCAGGCAGATGGCATCTACCATCATTGGAACTTGGCAGATTTCCAACATATCCGTGTCCTTAATCTTGCGATCACTTAGGCATGGCATTTAGAAAGGGCTGGAATATTTGCGAGCTCCCTTTCAAGCCATAAGGTAGATCAGTAACATCACCCATAAAAATAACACCTGGAACTGAGGGAGACATCCTTCCCACCCACTGTCTCGGCAAGGTTTAAAATTTAAATATACTATTGCTATAAGTGTAGAATCTTAGAGTTGTAGGCACCTTAAAGATAATTGGCCCAATCTCCTGGCCAATGCAAGAGTTTCATCTGCACTCTGTCTGGGACAGAGGCGGCAGGCCAGTCACTAAAAAATTTCATGTTTCTGTTTCTCTGGTGTGGAGCTGTCTGGGAGACAGCTGTCCATGCCTTCTTGGATGCAGGTGAGATCAGGTGGCTACTTCACACTAGTGGATGGAGTGGAAGTGACATGTGTCACTCAGGCCTGACTTGTTGCTGTGCACAGTCCTCTGGCTAGAAGCAGAGGACTCTAAGACCCCACAGTGTGGCAGAGCAGCAGAACGGGGGTGTGAGTTCTGCATCACTATTTGCAGGGTAGACACCTGCTGACTATGATACCATGCTGGACATGATCGGAAACCAACTTTCATAGTGTTAAGGCATGGACATTTTGGGGTTGGGTGTGTTACAGTTACTAGCAGTACCCTAGCTAGTGCACAGATGATCATCCAGTTACCTCTTGAACATCTCATGCTGAAAGTCTTACTGCTTTACAAGGTAGCCCACTCTATTTCTGGATTAATGGACCAGCATTCTTTATCATGAATCAAAATTCCCCTTCCCTCTACCTACCATGTACTGGCCTCAACTCTGCCACACACAATAATTCAAATCCCATTTTTTTCGAAGCAGAACTTGTATTTTCAAAGGTTTATATTTACTGATAGTTGAAATATAGCTTTATTATGGGAATACTGAAGGACTGGGAATGGTGTTATACACCCATTGCACTACTGAGCATTTGAATATCAGGATGTGACTAGATCAAGCTTATGGGTAAAACTGTAGGGAATGAATCATAGCCTCTAAGGATGAAATGCACAGGCTTCAATCTGAACTCTATACTCTGCCACACTGACTCTGAGTCTCATTCATCTCCTTCAGCATTTCAGCAGAAGTCCATCTCTACAATGGTGTTGCAAACTCCCTGCATTTTGGAGATGGCATTTTTCTTTTCTTTTTTTTTTTTTAGGTTTTTTTTAATTTTTAAAATTTTTGTTATTATTATTATACTTTAAGTTTTAGGGTACATGTGCACAATGTGCAGGTTAGTTACATATGTATACATGTGCCATGCTGGTGTGCTGCACCCATTAACTCGTCATTTAGCATTAGGTATATCTCCTAATGCTATCCCTCCCCCCTCCCCCCATCCCACCACAGTCCCCAGAGTGTGATGTTCCCCTTCCTGTGTCCATGTGTTCTCATTGTTCAGTTCCCACCTATGAGTGAGAATATGCGGTGTTTGTTTTTTTGTCCTTGCGATAGTTTACTGAGAATGATGATTTCCAATTTCATCCATGTCCCTACAAAGGACATGAACTCATCATCTTTTATGGCTGCATAGTATTCCATGGTGTATATGTGCCACATTTTCTTAATCCAGTGTATCGTTGTTGGACATTTGGGTTGGTTCCAAGTCTTTGCTATTGTGAATAGTGCCGCAATAAACATACGTGTGCATGTGTCTTTATAGCAGCATGATTTATAGTCCTTTGGGTATATACCCAGTAATGGGATGGCTGGGTCAAATGGTATTTCTAGTTCTAGATCCCTGAGGAATCGCCACACTGACTTCCACAATGGTTGAACTAGTTGACAGTCCCACCCACAGTGTAAAAGTGTTCCTATTTCTCCACATCCTCTCCAGCACCTGTTGTTTCCTGACTTTTTAATGATTGCTATTCTAACTGGTGTGAGATGGTATCTCATTGTGGTTTTGATTTGCATTTCTCTGATGGCCAGTGATGGTGAGCATTTTTTCATGTGTTTTTTGGCTGCATAAATGTCTTCTTTTGAGAAGTGTCTGTTCACATCGTTTGCCCACTTTTTGATGGGGTTGTTTGTTTTTTTCTTGTAAATTTGTTTGAGTTCATTGTAGATTCTGGATATTAGCCCTTTGTCAGATGAGTAGGTTGCGAAAATTTTCTCCCATGTTGTAGGTTGCCTGTTCACTCTGATGGTAGTTTCTTTTGCTGTGCAGAAGCTCTTTAGTTTAATTAGATCCCATTTGTCAATTTTGGCTTTTGTTGCCATTGCTTTTGGTGTTTTGGACATGAAGTCCTTGCCCATGCCTATGTCCTGAGTGGTAATGCTTAGGTTTTCTTCTAGGGTTTTTATGGTTTTAGGTCTAATATTTAAGTCTTTAATCCATCTTGAATTAATTTTTGTAAAAGGTGTAAGGAAGGGATCCAATTTCAGCTTTCTACATATGGCTAGCCAGTTTTCCCAGCACCATTTATTAAATAGGGAATCCTTTCCCCATTGCTTGTTTTTCTCAGGTTTGTCAAAGATCAGATGGTTGTAGATATGCAGCGTTATTTCTGAGGGCTCTGTTCTGTTCCACTGATCTATATCTCTGTTTTGGTACCAGTACCATGCTGTTTTGGTTACTGTAGCCTTGTAGTATAGTTTGAAGTCAGGTAGTGTGATGCCTCCAGCTTTGTTCTTTTGGCTTAGGATTGACTTGGCAATGCGGGCCCTTTTTTGGTTCCATGTGAACTTTAAAGTAGTTTTTTCCGATTCTGTGAAGAAAGTCATTGGTAGCTTGATGGGGATGGCATTGAATCTATAAATTACCTTGGGCAGTATGGCCATTTTCACGATATTGATTCTTTCTATCCATGAGCATGGAATGTTCTTCCATTTGTTTGTATCCTCTTTTATTTCATTGAGCAGTGGTTTGTAGTTCTCCTTGAAGAGGTCCTTCACGTCCCTTGTAAGTTGGATTCCTAGGTATTTTATTCTCTTTGAAGCAATTGTGAATGGGAGTTCACTCATGATTTGGCTGTCTGTTTGTCTGTTATTGGTGTATAAGAATGCTTGTGATTTTTGTACATTGATTTTGTATCCTAAGACTTTGCTGAAGTTGCTTATCAGCTTAAGGAGATTTTGGGCTGAGACAATGGGGTTTTCTAGATATACAATCATGTCATCTGCAAACAGGGACAATTTGACTTCCTCTTTTCCTCATTGAATACCCTTTATTTCCTTCTCCTGACTAATTGCCCTGGCCAGAACTTCCAACACTATGTTGAATAGGAGCGGTGAGAGAGGGCATCCCTGTCTTGTGCCAGTTTTCAAAGGGAATGCTTCCAGTTTTTGCCCATTCAGTATGATATTGGCTGTGGGTTTGTCATAGATAGCTCTTATTCTTTTGAGATATGTCCCATCAATACCTAATTTATTGAGAGTTTTTAGCATGAAGAGTTGTTGAATTTTGTCAAAGACCTCTTCTGCATCTATTGAGATAATCATGTGGTTTTTGTCTTTGGTTCTGTTTATATGCTGGATTACATTTATTGATTTGCATATATTGAACCAGCCTTGCATCCCAGAGATGAAGCTCACTTGATCATGGTGGATAAACTTTTTGATGTGCTGCTGGGTTCGGTTTGCCAGTATTTTATTGAGGATTTTTGCATCAATGTTCATCAAGGATATTGGTCTAAAATTCTCTTTTTTGGTTGTGTCTCTGCCCAGCTTTGGTATCAGGATGATGCTGGCCTCATAAAATGAGTTAGGGAGGATTCCCTCTTTTTCTATTGATTGGAATAGTTTCAGAAGGAATGGTACCAGTTCCTCCTTGTACCTCTGATAGAATTCGGTGAATCCATCTGGTCCTGGACTCTTTTTGGTTGGTAAGCTATTGATTATTGCCACAATTTCAGAGCCTGTTATTGGTCTATTCAGAGATTTAACTTCTTTCTGGTTTAGTCTTGGGAGGGTGTATGTGTTGAGGAATTTACCCATTTCTTCTAGATTTTCTAGTTTATTTGCCTAGAGGTGTTTGTAGTATTCTCTGATGGTAGTTTGTATTTCTGTGGGATCGGTGGTGATATCCCCTTTATCATTTTTTATTGCGTCTATTTGATTCTTCTCTCTTTTCTTCTTTATTAGTCTTGCTAGCGGTCTATCAATTTTGTTGATCCTTTCAAAAAACCAGCTCCTGGATTCATTAATTTTTTGAAGGGCTTTTTGTGTCTCTATTTCCTTCAGTTCTGCTCTGATTTTAGTTATTTCTTGCCTTCTGCTAGCTTTTGAATGTGTTTGCTCTTGCTTTTCTAGTTCTTTTAATTGTGATGTTAGGGTGTCAATTTTGGATCTTTCCTGCTTTCTCTTGTGGGCATTTAGTGCTATAAATTTCCCTCTACACACTGCTTTGAATGTGTCCCAGAGACTCTGGTATGTTGTGTCTTTGTTCTCATTAGTTTCAAACAACATCTTTATTTCTGCCTTCATTTCGTTATGTACCCAGTAGTCATTCAGGAGCAAGTTGTTCAGTTTCCATGTAGTTGAGCAGTTTTGAGTGAGTTTCTTAACCCTGAGTTCTGGTTTGATTGCACTGTGGTCTGAGAGACAGTTTGTTATAATTTCTGTTCTTTTACATTTGCTGAGGAGAGCTTTACTTCCAAGTATGTGGTCAATTTTGGAATAGGTGTGGTGTGGTGCTGGAAAAAATGTATATTCTGTTGATTTGGGGTGGAGACTGTAGATGTCTATTAGGTCCGCTTGGTGCAGAGCTGAGTTCAATTCCCGGGTATCCTTGTTAACTTTCTGTCTCGTTGATCTGTCTAATGTTGACAGTGAGGTGTTAAAGTCTCCCATTATTATTGTGTGGGAGTCTAAGTCTCTTTGTAGGTCACTCAGGACTTGCTTTATGAAACTGGGTGCTCCTGTATTGGGTGCATATATATTTAGGATAGTTAGCTCTTCTTGTTGAATTGATCCCTTTACCATTATGTAATGGCCTTCTTTGTCTCTTTTGATCTTTGTTGGTTTAAAGTCTGTTTTATCAGATACTAGGATTGCAACCCCTGCCTTTTTTTGTTTTCCATTTGCTTGGTAGATCTTCCTCCATCCTTTTATTTTGAGCCTATGTGTGTCTCTGCACATGAGATAGGTTTCCTGAATACAGCGCACTGATGGGTCTTGACTCTTTATCCAATTTGCCAGTCTGTGTCTTTTAATTGGAGCATTTAGTCCATTTACATTTAAAGTTAATACTGTTATGTGTGAATTTGATCCTGTCATTTTGATGTTAGCTGGTTATTTTGCTCGTTAGTTGATGCAGTTTCTTCCTAGCCTTGATGGTCTTTACAATTTGGCATGATTTTGCAGTGGCTGGTACCGGTTGTTCCTTTCCATGTTTAGTGCTTCCTTCAGGAGCTCTTTTAGGGCAGGCCTGGTGGTGACAAAATCTCTCAGCATTTGCTTGTCTGTAAAGTATTTTATTTATCCTTCATTTATGAAGCTTAGTTTGGCTGGATATGAAATTCTGGGTTGAAAATTCTTTTCTTTAAGAATGTTGAATATTGGCCCCCACTCTCTTCTGGCTTGTAGAGTTTCTGCTGAGAGATCTGCTGTTAGTCTGATGGGCTTCCCTTTGTGGGTAACCCAATCTTTCTCTCTGTTTGCCCTTAACATTTTTTCCTTCATTTCAACTTTGGTGAATCTGACAATTATGTGTCTTGGAGTTGCTCTTCTCGAGGAGTATCTTTGTGGCGTTCTCTGTATTTCCTGAATCTGAATGTTGGTCTGCCTTGCTAGATTGGGGAAGTTCTCCTGGATAATATCCTGCAGAGTGTTTTCCAACTTGGTTCCATTCTCCCTGTCACTTTCAGGTACACCAGTTAGACGTAGATTTGGTCTTTTCACATAGTTCCATATTTCTTGGAGGCTTTGTTCGTTTCTTTTTATTCTTTTTTCTCTAAACTTCCCTTCTCACTTCATTTCATTCATTTCATCTTCCATCACTGATACCCTTTCTTCCAGTTGATCACATCGGCTCCTGAGGCTTCTGCATTCTTCACGTAGTTCTAGAGCCTTGGCTTTCAGCTCCATCAGCTCCTTTAAGCACTTCTCTGTATTGGTTATTCTAGTTATACATTTGTCTAAATTTTTTTCAAAGTTTTCAACTTCTTTGCCTTTGGTTTGAATTTCCTTCTGTAGCTCAGAGTAGTTTGATCATCTGAAGCCTTCTTCTCTCAACTCGTCAAAGTCATTCTCCGTCCAGCTTTGTTCCATTGCTGGTGAGGAACTGCGTTCCTTTGGAGGAGGAGAGGTGCTCTGCTTTTCAGAGTTTCCAGTTTTTCTGCTCTGTTTTTTCCCCATCTTTGTGGTTTTATCTACTTTTGGTCTTTGATGATGGTGATGTACAGATGGGTTTTTGGTGTGGATGTCTTTTCTGTTTGTTAGTTTTCCTTTTAACAGACAGGAACCTCAGCTGCAGGTCTGTTGGAGTTTGCTAGAGGTCCACTCCAGACCCTGTTTGCCTGGGTAACAGCAGCGGTGGCTGCAGAACAGCAGCTTTTCATGAACCTCGAATGCTGCTGTCTGATTGTTCGTCTGGAAGTTTTGTCTCAGAGGAGTACCCGGCCGTGTGAGGTGTCAGTCTGCCCCTACTGGGGGGTCCCTCCCAGTTAGGCTGCTCAGGGATCAGGGGTCAGGGACCCACTTGAAGAGGCAGTCTGCCCGTTCTCAGATCTCCAGCTGCATGCTGGGAGAACCACTGCTCTCTTCAAAGCTGTCAGACAGGGACATTTAAGTCTGCAGAGGTTACTGCTGTCTTTTTGTTTGTTTGTGCCCTGCCCCCAGAGGTGGAGCCTACAGAGGCAGGCAGGCCTCCTTGAGCTGTGGTGGGCTCCACCCAGTTGGAGCTTCCTGGCTGCTTGGTTTACCTAAGCAAGCCTGGGCAATGGTGGGTGCCCCTCCCGCAGCCTCACTGCCGCCTTGCAGTTTGATCTCAGACAGCTGTGCTAGCAATCAGCGAGACTCCATGGGCGTAGGACCCTCCGAGCTAGGTGCAGGATATAATCTCCTGGTGTGCCGTTTTTTAAGCCCGTCGGAAAAGTGCAGTATTAGGGTGGGAGTGACCCAATTTTCCAGGTGCCGTTTGTCACCCCCTTCTTTGACTAGGAAAGGGAACTCCTTGACCCCTTGCGCTTCCCGAGGGAGGCAATGCCTCGCCCTGCTTCAGCTCGCGCACGGTGCGCTGCACGCACTGTCCTGCGCCCACTGTCTGGCACTCCCTAGTGAGATGAACCCGGTACCTCAGATGGAAATGCAGAAATCACCCGTCTTCTGCGTCGCTCACGTTGGGAGCTGTAGACGGGAGCTGTTCCTATTCGGCCATCTTGGCTGCTTCCACCCAGCATTTTTCAAAAAGCAAGGCTACAGTAATATTTTCGATCCTGTGTATTCTTCTAAAACCTTGCCCACACTCATCAGAAAGTGGAGTCTATTTCTCTGATCCTTTCTCTGGGTGTGCTCTTGTAACTGCCTTGAGGAACAGAATGCTGAAGAAGTGCCACTGCCTGCCCTCTGAGGCAAGATTGTGAAAATGAGACCTGGCTCACTCTCCAGGGTTGCGCCACCCTGGTGCTCAGTTAACATGGAAAGGCCACATAATGGCGTCTGGTGAAGATCAGCCAGCACTGACTGCAAGGCACAAAGGCCTTCTGCGGACCCTCATATCCAGCCTTTGGGCTGAGTGGAAGAGAGATAAGCTGTTTCTACTGAGTCCTGCCCAAATGGCAGATGCATGAGCAAAATAAACAGCACCATCATTTTCAACTACCACATTTTGGGGTAGTTCTTTACTCCACAAAAGACAACTGCAACATTTCACTCTGACATCCTGTGACAAAGCCATATAAATGCTGCTCCTGTTCTGGGTGTGTAAGAACAGGCACGACAACACAGCTATCCCAGGCCCACCAGATGATTTTCTGGCAAAGAGCAAACAAACAAAAAGAGGGCATTAGCTGCGGGGGTCTGCCTGCAGACCCTGACCCAAACGACGGATGAATGAAATGTACACTGACACACAGATACACTGTTTTGCCAGTCCTGCTGAGTGTCCGACTGCCTACACACCAAGAGAGGTTTGTCCACCGCAGCCGGCCACTCAGCTGGACTGGCAAAACAGAATATCTGCGTGTCAGTGTACGTTTTATTCATCTGTTTTTTGGGTCAGGGTCTGTGGGCAGACCCCTGCAGCTAATGCCCTCTTGTGAGGAGCAATACCTCAACTGGTGCCCTCTCTGAGGCTCACAATACCTCAATAAGTCATGATTTCAAATATTTGGAGAGTCATGTGGACAAGGGACCAGATTTCATTCCCAGTTGCTTAGAGAAGGGAAAATAGATAAAAGTTTCTGAAAGATGGACACATGCCTGGTATGTGGAAGGACTTTCTAAGTCGTGGGATCCCATAATAAACCAGACTGTCATTTGAGGGGGTGAGGCTGGCAGTTCTCCATCACTGGCAATGTCTAGGCAGAGGTGGTGACCACCTGGCTGCAGGGGTGGTGGTGTGAAACCAGGATGGTTGAATGAGGGAAGTTTTAAATTTGACTCTGCGATTCTATAACGGACTTGCCTTTGCAGCATCCACCAGGCTTTTCTTGGAAGGCATCGTCCTAGGTGCAATGAGGCTCTGACCTGGCTTTTCAAGAAATATCTGAGAGCTTGGTAGGAGCTCTGGGGAAATGCTAAGACACTTTGTCAGGCATGGAGTTCCTGGACAGAATGGCCACTGAAATGTTCAATATGCATTTTATTCTAGAAAGGTCTATGTATTTAACTACAGAGCAGAATGGACACAACTCTTGGCACATTCACAATCCATATCTCTCTCACAAGGAAGGGACCACCATCATCCTGTCCGTGAAACAGTCCCATTGCTCTTCCCCCGAGGTTGGTTATTCTACTTTAGCTCTATATCTTTCATAAAGGATTTCACATTTTTCTAAAATACACATGAGTATTATTTATAATTGACAATCTCCCCTTGGATGATTTAGGATATACTTCTGCCAAGACAAGAATTCAGATATTAAATATTATTCAATGTCAATTATGCTGTGATTATGCTGGAAGCTTTTTTTATATTCAATTTTCATTCATTCGCTCATGACTGTAATTTAAATAAGGGATTTTCTTTACTGCATTAAATGTATTATCAATGCAGTGCTATAGCTTAATAACTGTACCATGCATACAAGTTTAAGTATTTTCTAAGATCTTAAGCCAAATTAAAATAAAGTATATTATGTCTCCAAATTGGAGAAGAAAATTTATTATAATTCTTTTGAAGACTGCAAAAGAAAACAGAGACAACTGCAGGATTATTTTTAATACTGAAAAAGATTTTGAAATATTTTCGTCACAGTGCTATGGAAACTGCAGTTGGTAACAAGGAGATACCTCATCAGAGTAAAATGTACATTGCTTTAAGTTGAAAAAATTGCCATTGTTTATGAAGATTTTTATGGACCAAAAGAAATGTAATTGAATGATGTATCCCATGAATTTAAACAAATTCATATTCAAAATGTTCTTAATGTTCCAAGTAATCATTCAGGCCTTCACCTGATCAGATTAAGAGAAGTCCAGATATTTGTCTTGGGTCCTCCCTCTGAATTGTCCAAGAACTATGCAGCCTGAAGGGGCTGGCTCCAAGGCCATGCAGAGTGGGAACTTCAGGATGTGACTACCCACTGGGTTCCTCATGGCATCCCTGCTCACTGCAGGCTACCTGTAGGGTGGAGTCACCTGGCCCAACTCATTTGTAAGAGGAGGGGGAGGGCCTCCCAGTATAGGCCCAGCTGGCCTGGCTTACCCTGCCAGGGGCCTGGATTCACTCTGTTTAACAACCAGGGCTTTGGTGGATGACCAGGGACTCTTCCAGGGGTCAACCCCTCCCCTCAGGCCACCTGGACCCCAAGGGCTTCCTCACAGGTGAATATGCCACATTAGCCTCGCATACTCAGCTGTGGTCCCCAAGGATGTAAGGTAGAGACGGACTTCCAGCCTCAGCCAAGTGCTCAGCCAGGTTGGCCTTCCCATGACCGCCCTCCACCCCCAGGGTATCAGACCAACCTGCACTTCTTCTTGGATGAGTGGGCACCTTGTGCTCTAGGTGACCTTTCCTTCCAGTTCACGTCCATCAAAAAGGCCTCCATGTGGTGAGCCGAGATCGCGCCATTGCACTCCAGCCTGGGCAAAAAGAGCGAAACTCCGTCTCAAAAAAAAAAAAAAAAAAAAAAAGCAGCCTCTAGGTGAAGGGTTGAGGAGGCTGTGGAAACTGACTCACCACCGCTCAGCTTTGTATACCAAGAGGTACGGGGAGGAGGGGTCCTGTTGACTTTCCCCAGGCAGCGGATACCTACTTCCCTCACATGTCCAAAGCCAAGGGAAACACTCAAGTACTTCTTCCTGGTACAGAGAAGCCCTGCACCAGGTAACTGGCAGCTTTGTCTACACAGTAAAGAGGGTGGCAACTCATGCAGTGCAGCTGTTGCAGGTTAAGAAGTGAAGTTCTGGCTGGGCGCGGTGGCTCACGCCTGTAATCCTAGCACTTTGGGAGGCCGAGGTGGGCGGATCACAAGGTCAGGAGATCGAGACCATCCTAGCTAACATGGTGAAACCCCGTCTCTACTAAAAATACAAAAAAAATTAGCCGGACAAGGTGGCAGGCGCCTGTAGTCCCAGCTACTCAGAGGCTGAGGCAGGAGAATGACATGCGCCCAGGAGGTGGAGCTTGCAGTGAGCTGAGATCGCACCACTGCACTCCAGCCTGGGCGACAGAGTGACACTCCATCTCTCTAAAACAAAACAAAACAAAACAAAACAAAACAAAACAAAACAAAACAAGAAGTGAAGTTCTACCTAACCAGGGACCTGGGTATCTGAAAATTAAAAAACAAAGTCTTAATTTTAACTCCTTTCTAGGAATAAAAAAAATCCTTCACTTGCACTAATGATATTTACACCGCAATTACCTAGAAAAAATACCTGCAATTAACTGCTTTAAAAGGTTAAACAGGTGCACAGCATCTGTTTCTCAAACTTAAGAACTTTCCTCTGTCACCTTCTTTGTCATAGGAATGGCAACATTTGTGTAGCACTAAATCACATCTGTAAAGCATTTTGCAACCTGCAGATGGAGAGTGTTCTGAGCAGCTCAGTGACTGATGAGACCCCCTGCTACACGTTCCTCCCGATCCTCTGTCCTCTGCTTAGCAAGTGGGAAAGACTTTACTGCAGTTTCCAGAGTAAAAACCAGGGGTTACTCTTCTCCCTGTAGGCTTCATCTATCACCTCCAGGAAAATGACTCCCAGATGCACACCCCCAACCCTAACCTCCCTCTGGAACTCTGTTTGAATCACATCTCTAACTGCCAGACATCTGTACCTCCCTGCCTGCCAGCACCTCTAACTTATGTGTCTAAAATAAAACTTCTCCTCCTGCTACCTCTGGCATCTAATCAGTGGCCAAGGAGGCTATCTTTTTTCATATGTGTATTCAGCAGGTGTCTACTGAGTACCTGCTGGTGTAAAGCACTGTGCTTGCTAGTGGGAAGGATACAAGCTTGAGTCTGCTACTCAAGGAGCTCAGGTTCAAGAAAGCGAGACAAAGCAACTGTGCTACATGGGAGAGAGGGATCAAGTCAGGATGAGGAGAACAGATGTGGTTTCAGAAGGGATTCAGGAGGGAACACGCTTTTGTTGAAAGAAATTTACAGGTAGTGAGTGCCCATTATTTGCTCAATATTTTCCACACGGCTGTGGTTTCCCAGAAGCAGATCTTAAGGGAAGGATTTGCGGGCAGGTAGTTTATTTGGGAGGGGACCCTAGGAAACATCAACAGGGATTGGAAAGGGACTTAGAAAGGAAGTGCCAGCCAATCAACAGGTTCACTGTGGGCAAGTTAGCTTGGATGAAGCTTAACCCTGCTGGGGGACAGTGTAAAGCTATTCCTCCCGAGGGGCAGGAGTGCTGTCATCTGCCATTGCTGAGGACTGCCCCTGGTGTTTGGAGCCTGTGCATGTGGGCACAAGCCCAGAGGTGTTGGGTAGCAGGGATAAGAGAATTCAAGTGTGGCTTGACAGCCTCCACTGTATGGGTTTGGTCTTACTAAAGCCCCCATCAACACAGTAATTTAGGCCAGCTGTGGTGGCTCATGCCTCTAATCTTAGCACTTTGGGAGGCCAAGGTGGGAGGACCACTTGAACCCAGGAGTTTGAAACCAGCCTGGTCAACATAGCGAGACCTAGTCTCTACAAAAATTAAAAAAAATTAGCCAGACATGGTGGCATGTGCCTGTGGTCCCAGCTACTCAGTAGGCTGAAGTGGGAGGATCCCTTGAGCCCAGGAGTTCCAGGCTACAGTGAACCATGATTGTGCCACTGCGCTCCAAACTGGGTGAAAGAGGGAGACCCTGTTTCTTTCACACCCACACCCACACAAAAACCCAAAGCCCAAACCAAACAATAAACAAGATAATTTAACACCATAGTGTTTAATTCCTCTCACCTCAAGTTGTGTCTTAGGCAGCCTCGGTAACTTGCACAGTGACGGTGAACTAGTAACATGAGAAACAGGCTTGAACTCATGCCTGGTGGACGATGTAGCCCACAGTTGTGCCTGACATCACACAGCTGGGAGATCATGGAAGACTGCAGGGAGGAGGAGGCATCAGAGAGGAGTGGTGAATGCGTGTGGCCATCCTCAGAGTGCAGGTATCAGCCGTGGCTCAGAGGTAGTGACACCCTCATATCCATCTCCCTCTGGGTGCTAACTAGACAGGTGCCCTGAGCTCTCACCACCCTCTTTTGCTCTTTCCCAAGCCTTGTGTCATCCCAACTCAGCCTTCCTCACTGTGGCTTTTCTTTCTTTCCTTCCTTCCTTCCTTCCTTCCTTCCTTCCTTCCTTCCTTCCTTCCTTCCATCCTTCTCTCCCTCCCTCCCTCCCTTCCCCTGAAGCACAGTGCTCCCTGGGGTCTGCCCCAAGCATGCCTTTCTCTCTCCTCCATGGATGAAAGCATTTGCTCCTCTGGGTCTTCCTGCTGCCTATATGCGGATGAATTCAAGTCTGTATTTTTAGCTCTGGTCTTATTCATGAGCTCCAGGGTTTGGGTGGATGTAAAATATAGACTCAAGTCCCCCACTTTGGATGCAAGTCTTGATTATTCCACTCAGTAGCAATGTGACATTGGATTGGTTACATATTCCCTCTCTGCCTCAATTTCCTCACTTGTGAAATGGAGGTACCACATTAATACTTGCCTCATAGGGCTGGGTGGTGGAAGAATGAGTTCACCAGGATGGAGAGCATGGTGCTGTGGCTGGCTGCCAGTTCTCACCCATGGCTGCACCTGTTTTGGACAGTTTCATCCTGCCCTTCTAGAATGCCAGTGCTTCAAGGGAAGGGCTAGGACCTTGCTGGTATACAGTTGGTGCTCAATTTATAGGTTGTTGAATTAACTCCCATGGACATAACTGAAACCAAGGTTCTTAGCACTGGACTCTCTACTCCTATGCTATTTTCTTTTCAGTTTTATTTATTTATTTATTTATTTATTTATTTATTTATTTATTATTTTTTTGACACAGTCTAGCTCTGTCGCCCAGGCTAGAGTACGGTGGCACAATCTCAACATGCTGCAGCCTCCACCTCCCGGGTTCAAGCGAGTCTCATGCCTCAGTCTCCTGAGTAGCTGGGATTAAAGGCACATGCCACCACATGTATTTAATTTTTTTTTTTTTTGAGACAGAGTCTCGCTCTTGTTGCCCAGGCTGGAGTGCAATGGCACAATCTTGGCTCATTGCAACCTCCACCTCCTGGGTTCAAGCGATTCTCCTGCCTCAGCCTCCCAAGTAGCTGAGGTTACAGGTGCCCACCACCACATCCGGCAAATTTTTGTATTTTAGTAGAGACAGGGTTTCACCATGTTAGTCAGGCTGGTCTCGAACTGCTGACCTCAGGTGATCTGCCCGCCTCGGCCTCCCAAAGTTCTGGGATTACAGGCGTGAGCCACCGTGCCTGGGCTAATTTGTTTTATTTTTAGTAAAGACAGGGTTTCACTATGTTGGCCAGGCTGGTGTCGAACTCCTGACCTCAGGTGATCCGCCCGTCTCGGCCTCCCAAAGTGCTGGGATTACAGGCATGAGCCATCATGCCCGGCTGCAGTTTTGTTTTAAAAATTGTCAGAAAATACATAACATAAAAGTGACCATTTTACCCATTTTAAAGTGTACAGTTCAGTGGCATTAAGTGGATTTGCTTTGTTGTCGTCCTGTGTTAGTTTTTAACCAGTAACTTCCAATCTTGTGTCTCCCTGTATCAGATTTCTTCTTGCCCCAAATGAGTACGTTTAGGGTTGCCTGACTAAACCTTCCTCAACCCCACACGGTGCAATGCCTGGCGGAGATCCTCCAGGGTTCTGCAACTATAGCTGCTGTTCAGTGCAGTGATGATTGTCTCATATAGAGGGGCTTTGTTTATCGTAAATAATGTGCATCAATTTGGGTTCCCAGTTGAAAACAACAAAAATGGACTCTGGTTGATTTAACGAAAAAGAAACTAAGGAAATGAAATTGGAAAACCCATAAGATCAACAGCAAGGCCAGGAAAGCAGTGGAGGCTACAGTCCAGGCTCACCAGGCAGTCAAGTCTGGGGTTGGCCTGTTGCCAAGGCGTGCCCCCACTCTGAGATGCTACAGGCTGCAGGCACTGCTGCTGCCAGCCACCTGCCCCATAGCTGCTGAACTCTCGGTGCTTCCTCTGCCCACGTCCCTCCACCTCCCAGAGTGTGGTGGGGGAGGGGCAGCTTTTGACTAGCTGAGCCTGTCACATTCCCACACCTTAGCAGAGTTGGTGGGGGGGTTAGAATTATCTGACTATCACCATGTGGAGCGTCTTCCAAATCTAAAAAGAAGTTCAAATTTTGGGCCGCCAAAAACCTGACATACAGCCGTCCAGTCCTGTTTCCTCTGAGCTTTTTCTCCTTTGGACAGACGCCCTGTGTTCCTTCAACTGAAACTCATGGATGAGGCCTCCGGATCCCTTACCACATCGTCATTAATTTTTGGTACCCAGAATTGGAAGTAATCTCACAAGTCTGAGGTACAATGGGATTATTTTTTTCCAAACCCTGACCACCCCCCACCTTAACTTTCATGAAGGCATCCGAAGATTTCGTTACTTCTCTAGTCAGCCATAGTACATAGATGACTCATGTTGGCTCATACAATGCTTGTGGTCAACTGAAATCCCCAGATCTTTTTAGGAATGGCTGTAAAGCCAGGTCTTCTCAATTATTTACTTATATAATTGGCTTATTGAACATGTGCAAATTTAACCGAGTAACATAAGACTGTATTTGTAATACTTCAACTATTTAGTTCACACCCTCAAATTCCCTCACGCTGTAGCACAGTGTACTTGGCTACTTCAACCAGAAATTGTAAACTGGCGGTCTGTAGGCCAATTTGACCACACATTTATTTTGTTTGGCTAATATGGTGGTTTTTGAGAACTAAATCGGTTGCCAACTGTTGAACATCAGGAGATGTCATGTAAAAAGCAGCACTTCCAACTTCTCTTGAAAGGTATGAAGGTCTAGCAACATTTGGTCGTCATTCCCCCAGGGCTGGAGCTGGGCAGCAGCTACTTCCTCTGAAGGGTGCAGACAAAGCTCACTGCAGTCCCCACCAGGCCCTGTTGCCTGGGGTTCACCCTGCTTCGTTAATTTCATGCCCTGCCCAGTCACTGTGGACATCTGGGTGCATAGTCTGTGTGTCCTGTGGGTGCTGGTTATGGCAGGGGCAAAAGGGGTAAAGTGGAGAGAGAAGAAAGCTGGGAAAGGTGGGCTTAAGTGGCTCTCTCTTGCTCTTGTCTGTCTTGGGTCGTGCAAGATAAAGATGTACTGAGGGCAGAGATGTGGCGGTGAGCTTCTGGCACGGGCATCTGTGGTTCTGACTGCCCAGCACGGCAATTCTTCTGGAAATTCTCACTTCTCCTGTGTGACTACAGAGAGTGCTGCCAGGTTCCAGATGATCCTGCTCCTGTGGCCAAGGCACACGGGTCCAAAGAGTGACCACTGGTCCATACTAGTGATAGAGTTTTAGAACTTCCAGGAGTGGCTGATGTTGTTGGAAGAAAGGCTCATGAAGATTTGACCGCATTTTCTGTCATGTGGGTTGGGAAGCAGAGGCAGCTGGTGCAAGAAAGTGAAGGGTTGAGTCATCAACTAGAGACAGGGACAGCAACACACACTGCAGGCTCTATCTGTGCTAATCTGGCTCAGCTCTTAGCCTGGGATCCTATGAGATGCCTCGTATTATTAGTGTATATTCTGCTCCCTTTAAAATTTACCTAGAGTTGGTTTCTGTTGCTTGCAACCAAAAGCACCAGGGCATGTCGTCACAGGCCGTCCTTGCTCTCTGTGAGCCCTTCCAGTGCCTGATGGGTCCCCTCTTTATGCTCCCCCTTGTCTACCATCTGCTCTTGGATCAAGCATCCTGGGTGCTCTAAAAAATTCCCCTTGTTCCTGAGCAAGGGTAAGAGTGAAAGGTGGCTCATGTGAACATGTTTCCATGCACTGCGAGGTGTGTGCCCTTCCTTCGGCCCTCAAGGGAAGCCAGGCAGCTCTGGGATGCTTTCCATCTCACCCTGTTGTTGGCGCTGATGTAAATCATACAGATGGAAATCCACATTGCTGAGAGACATCCAGGTTAAGAAAGCCACCTGCTGCTATCAGAAGCAAAGTTTCCAGGGACTAGCATCCTGATATAAGCACAGGATATGTGTAATTGAGATACTAAGATCTGCCTTCAAATCACCAGTAGGTGATGAGAGAGAGAGAGAGAGAGAGGGAGAGAGAGAAAGAGAGACGTATCCTTTCATTAATTCTACAAATATTTATTGAACACCTACTATATGCTAGTCACTGCCCTAGGCACTAAGGATATTACAGTAGAAAAGATCTGTAGCTTACAGAGAGCTTACATTCTAATGGCATGTAAACTTTATGTGTTAGTTCTGTGGATACAAAAATGAAAATTCAGCCCCAATGGCTTTACAAGTATGAATATCACTTTCCTCATTTGTAAAATGAGTTTAAAATAATTATCACAGGTTGGGCACCGTGGCTGGCGCCTGTACTCCCAGCACTTTGTGAAGATGAGGTTGGAGGATCTCTTGAGCCCAGGAGTTTGAGACTAGCCTGGGCAACATAAGGAGACCCTGTCGCTACAAAAAATTTAAATTAAAAATTTAGCCAGGCGTGGTGGCGCACCTGTAGTTTCAACTATTCAGGAGGCTGAGGTGAAAGGATGGCTTGAGCCCAAGAGTTTGAGGCTGCAGTGAGCCGTGATAGCACCCCGCGCTCTAGCCTGCCTGACAGAACGAGATCCTGTCTAAAGCTATGGAAGTAAATATAAATAAATAAAATAATTATCTGGCAGAGCTGTTTAGAGGATTAAATAATATATAGCACGCTCTTGGCCTTTTAGCCTCAACAAATACTACTTTTTTCCTTAATAATAACAGAAAGATCATACAACTTCACAAACCACAAGGACAGGCTGGCCGATAGGCAGGCCCCCCACGACTCTTCTGATGTTAGCCCTGACTGAACTCGCTGTGCAGCGTCCAACCAATCCTGGTTTGTGCTGGGCCCTGGACTGGAACCCAGCCCTTCCCGACGGGAACGCAAAGCGGCCACGAGGGGGCAGCGCACGGCAGGGAATCTTCGCCGCCGACCCCAGCCCACCGCCAAACTTCCCTGCTGCTCTCGGTCCTCCTGTACGTACTTCCGTTGCTCTGACGCTCCCAGAAGCCGGGGCGTCGGGAAGGAGAGCGCGAATTCACCCTCCTCTGCGCCTCCGTAGGAAAAAATTGGAGCGGGGGTTCACGAGACTGCGCCGCGGCGGGCGCTAGAGCCCCTCGCACAGCGTCGCCAAGGGTGCGGCGTGGAGCCGGGCGCCTGGCGCCAGGGTGCTGGTCGGCGGGCAGCGGCGCCAGCCTCCGACCCGCGACTCCGGCGAGCCAAGGCTGCGCCGGGAGGAGTCGGCGCGGGCCCCGGGGTGCCCCCTTCAACTGGAGCGCCTTCCCCTCCTGCCTTGCGGCGCATCCCCACACCTACACCGGAACGAAGCTCCGGGGCTGTCACTTCTGCGCGCTTCTCGGAAAGGAGTCTGAACTGGGAGCGCTCCGGGGGGTCGTCGGGGAGGATGCCCGGGCGTCGGCTGTGTCCCCAAGCTGCTCGCCGGCGCTGGCGAGGAAGGCAGTCGGGATAACGCCGCCCAAACTTTCCTTCGCAGCAGCGTTGGCAGGAAACGTCCCTCTCTGAGGCTCACGAAAAGCCGAAAAAGACTCGGACGCTTGGAGGAGGCAGGGCCAAGCCTGCGCAGGAGAGGTTCCCCGGAGCCCTGGAGATGTCCTAGGGGACCAGGCTAATCGCCGGCTTGCGCCCAAGCGAAGGGAAGTCCTGCAGGCACGGCGCCTCCTTCCCTGAGCCCCGCAGTGACCGTGACCTCCGCGCGCACCCCCGCGCACGTGCTCGCGGCCGAGGAAGAGGAACGGTCCTGCTGAATCCTCTGGAGGACAGCGACTAGCGAGCAGGCCAGGGGCGCATGGAGGTGCCGCGGGGGCGGTGCGGCTCGCCAGCTGCGCGGAGGAGCGTGCACGCCGCGCCCCGGCCTCCCCGGGGACCTGGCCGGCCGCTGCCCGCACTTCCTGCCGCTGGTCTCCCAGGCGCGAGCCGCCGCTTGCAGCACAGAACCCGTTGAGCTTCGTGCCCGGCAGCACCCCCGGTCCCCCGCGCGGGGCGGACTTGCGGCGGGACAGGTGTAGCCCGCAGCCGCAGGCGCTGCGCTCAGGACTGGGCGGGCTCGGCTGGCCGGTCCCCGCCACGCAGGCCGGTCCCCGCCACGCAGGCCGGTCGGTGAGCCACTTCGCACCGCCACAGCCCTAGCATCGGGCCACCAGCCGGGGTGAAGAAAGTCACGGCGGAGCCCGGCTCCCCAGTCCTGATGCTGGCTGCCGGTGGCGGGCTCCACGCCGGCCCCGGGACCTAGGCAGCCGCGCGAGACCGCTGCGGGCGCCTCCCCCATGCTGCTCGGAGCGTCCTGGCTGTGCGCATCCAAGGCGGCCGCCGCTGCTGCGCAGAGCGAGGGCGACGAGGACAGGCCAGGCGAGCGACGGCGGCGTCGGGCGGCGGCCACCGCCGCGGGGGCGGGCGAGGACATGGACGAGTCGTCGCTGCTGGACCTGCTGGAGTGCTCCGTGTGTCTGGAGCGCCTGGACACCACGGCCAAGGTGCTGCCATGCCAACACACTTTCTGCCGCCGCTGCCTGGAGAGCATCGTGTGCTCGCGCCACGAGCTGCGCTGCCCCGAGTGCCGCATCCTGGTGGGCTGCGGCGTGGACGAACTGCCCGCCAACATCTTGCTGGTGCGACTGCTGGACGGCATCCGTCAGCGGCCCCGCGCGGGCACCAGCCCCGGCGGCAGCCCGCCCGCGCGTCCCATCCCAGGCCAGAGTGCGGCCCCCACGCTCGCGGGCGGCGGGGGCGGCGCGGCAGGCAGCACCCCGGGTTCCCCGGTTTTCCTCTCCGCGGCCGCGGGCAGCACCGCCGGCAGTCTGCGGGAGCTGGCGACCAGCAGGACCGCGCCGGCGGCAAAGGTGAGTATCTGTCTCGGCGGAAGTGGCCACGGCACGTGGGAGTGTGTGGGTGGGTGCTTGGGCGTGGGGGGCAGTGATGAGGTGCGGAGGAGACCACGGGTGGTCCTGCGTTGGCCCACTCCGCTGTTGCTCTTCCTCCAACTTCGCTTGCTTGGTGGCGGCATCCGGCCCCTGGGCAGCTCGCCGCTTGTTCACGTGTGTCCCATCCTCCTGTGGAGTGGGCACGCCTTCCTGTCCCGTCGCTCACCCCCGATTCCTTGGCCGGACTTGTTACCCTGCCTCTTAAACTTAGCATCGCCCTTGCGTCTCCCTAGAAACGGGGACCTTCTTCCTCTGGGTCCCCAGACACTCCCTCTGCACACCCTGGGCCTGCCTAGAGAAAAGTTAGCCCTTAACGTTTCTGACAGGGCTCTGATGGCTGCTCTGGGAAGCCCGCGGGCCTCCTGCCTGCGGTGTGGCTAAGGAGGGGAGGGCAGAAGGCAGAGTGGGACTGGGGTTTGGAGGAATGCTTCTAGTAGTCTGGAAGGAGTTAATCTGGAGGCCCCAGGAGCCTTTTGACCCAGCCCTTTTGGACTTGGCAGTGTCTAACCAGAAGCCAAGGTCTTCTCCTGGGCTCCCAGGCAGGGTTGCATTCCCACGGGGGTCATTTATATTTATTATTATTATTTTTGGTACAGCCGCATTTTAGGGCCTTCGCTGCTTCTGTTTTAGACGAAAGATCTTCTCTGGATGGCTTCAATGATTTGGTTTTAAAAGCTTCTTACAGCTTCTTATTACACACCCTTGCCACCTTGTGAACAGTTACCAGGAGAGAGGGCATGGGATGCTGGTTTAAATGAGAAAAGAAAGGACCCGGGTTTTGTTAATTTCTTTAAATGGAGAAAAGCACTTAAATGTTAAAAAAAATACATTATCTATTGGAATAATCATTTGCTTTAGAAACACAACTTTATTCCTCTACTTTTGACCATTTAAGGAGTTGGTGATGCCTAGTCCTTCCACTATGTGTAATCCTGAAATGCTGGGAACATTCTAGCACCTGGATTAGGCAGTACTGCAAATCTCTAAGGTTAAGGTTAGGAACTTAAACCCTTGGATGTTGAGCTTGAGTTAAATGCCATACTTTGCTGCAATGGGTTTTTTTTTCTATGGATCAGGAAGAATGGGGACAGTCAAGGATAGTCACTGGGGGTCACTTGGGGGGCACTGCTGAAGGGGAATTTTTTTCTTTGGTTTTAATTGTGATTAAATCCAGCTAAATGCTTGCGTTAGAAATTTTCAAACTTTTCCTTCCTGGCCTTGCTGTTTTTGATGTAAGGTATTTATAATTAAATATCTTTATTTGCAGAATAAGTGGGTTACCTTCTTCTGTTCTGATAAATTATGTGATATTCGGAGCCCCGCTTCTAGTAAAACGCTGGGACATTCTGATGACCATCTGTTTACAGATGTCCTCTCAGTTTATCTTGGGGGACTTTGTGTTTGACCAGGAGGTTAGGAGGTAACCTCTGACATGTGACAGGCTGAAGCTTTGATGCCACTCCGGGAATTCTGTGGCATTTGTAGTACCTTTTAGAACTTGTCAAAGGGGTTGAAGCTTGGAACTTTTTAGTAGTGACATTTAGTATTAGCAGGAAATTGATGTTTTACTCACCATATGTTGAGACCCTTGGTTGACTTTCTTTATGGGTGCATAGTCATGTTCATGACTTTTTGTGTTTTTGGGATGTTTCTGGATGTTGTTTAATAGACGAGCACTTATTTAACTAATAAGCAGGAGTCCCGCATGGTGTATTCACACTACACTAGCACTATACTACCATGCTGGGATAATAGCATTAGGTCCAGCACATGCTTCGGGAGTGGGAAGGATTGTAATAGCATATCAGGCATTGAGCAACCCTATACAGTTGGTTGACAAAGATTTCGGCTGAAAATTACTTTTGGTACTTTACTGTCCATTGGAATTGCTTGACTCCTGCCAGGAAAGTTGAATGCTGGATGTTGTTGCATGTTGTTTAATAGAGGGGCACTTATTTAACTAATATGCCATGATAGCAGGTAACCATAAATATTACAGTCCCATCATTTTCCAATTAGAAGCTCCTTACATCTTCTTTTGGGCCAATTAGGGTATGTATACTTTTTAGGTATATAGGTAAGTATTGGCATAGCTTGTTTACTTTATTAATTTTGTTACGGTTCAATATTTTGACAGCTTTATTTAAAAAAAAGTTTTAATTTCTGTTTGGTTTTACTGGCAGGACACAAAACAGTGTTTTCCTGAACTCTTTACCTGTTGTTTTTCATCGGTTTTGGTGATCACCAGAGTACTTGGAGTCCCCTGACGTGGTTAGCAGAACCTCTCAGCTCTGCTCTCACCTGAGCCATTTGAGATAAAGCGCTTTTGTGGAGTCAGTTAACGATGCTGCCCCTGGAAATAATATACCCAGTGACGAGTACCCATAGCCTAAGATCAGGAGTTGGTCTTTTTATTTGCCTGTTGGCAAATACTATATGTGTGTTGCTTCTTAAAGTGTGTTCATATGTGTTACTTCTTGAAGTGACCTTTAAACAGTCCTGTTTTAATGGTACTGTCTAACCCTTGCAGTTGCTAATGTATGCTAAATTTCTCAGGCTAACTTGTTTGTTTATTGTTTTGTTTTCACTATTTTGCAAGAAAATCCCTTTAACATCCCAAGCTAGCATCAATCAAATTGTTTCAGTGCAGTGGGAGTCTTGCTAAAAGAGTTTTGTGGTTCCACATTGAGTAATTCAAAACATGCTTTTTAATGTAAGTGATTTAATAAGGACTTGAATATCAGACAATTCCAATTTTGTTTTGAAAATTTTTTAAATCCTTGACTTATATTTGAGCCTATACAGAACATCTTCTGCAGTTCATGTAGACTCGGCTAGGCACTATTATAGGTAAACAAGACTGGCTTGGGCTTTCTGGATGGAGCTGACAGTAGAGGTAGTGAGTGGTTGCAAGCTGTCTGCCCAGCTCTCAGAAGGTACCCGTGGGCACTGACCGGTGTCACTCCAGAATTCTGTGAGGGTTACAAGGAAGGACATTGTCACAAATTAAAGAATTCTAGAAAGCTTAGGCAGTGCCTTTGATGATATAAAAGTCGGCATTACAGCCTAATAAGTTTATCTGTATTTTGTATCTTGAGGTACAGTGGTATATGTTCACATTGGATCCGTTTGAAAATCTCTTCTGTGTCTCTTTGACAATGTGACTGGGACTTAATAGAGAAAATAATTTAAGTTGGAGAATCATAAAATTATATTTGTTAAATATTTTATTTTATAAGCATACACGTGTATGATTCTTCCACCATTTTTTGAGTACAGAGCTGAGGACCTTTCTTTGAGTTCCAGATTGTCTTTTTAGCTGAACACAGTCACCTTTTATGATTTTCTATTTGTTTCTTTCAAATAGAGTGAAGACTAAGATTTTCAAAGGATTCTGAATAGAGCGTCATTTAGATTTTAAATAGGACCTCTCCACTAATGTTTGATGTTCTCATTTACACCTGATTTGACCATTTTGTTAGTGTTTGAGTCTTTCATACATGGTCATCTTGATTTCCCAAGGGACAATTTTTTTTTTTTTTTTTTTGCACTCAAACTTCTTTCCCTGTTACAGACTATTGAATTATGGTGCATATTTAGCATTATGAGTACAACTTGCATTAGCATAGTTGGGAATAAGGACAACAGATCCCTGATAAGCACAGGCTTCCCCAGGCAGGAGTGGCTGGCCCAGCCTTGCCAGGCTGTAGTCTCTGGTGGGTGTGGGTGACTTTGGCTGTGTTACAGAGGACGTGGAATGTTGGTTAGTCCAGCTGGTCAGCTAGTGGAGGCCAGGATAGAGGGTGTCTATGGTATCTGGAAGCTAGTTACCATGTTCTTTGGGTCTCGACAGTTGAACTGCTTATATACCCGAGATTTTCTGTTGAACATTTACTGAGTGCCTGCTGCATGCTGGGCACTTTGACATATATCACCTTATGGAAAGTTCACAATAATCCTGCCAAGTGGCTGGTATAATTATTATTTTGAGGCCCAGAGAGATTGATATTTGGGCAAGTCAGAGAGCTAGGAAGTGATTGAGTTAGGATTCTGTTCCTCCGCCCTTCTGTCCAGTTTGGCTGGATGGTTGGGATGTTGTCGTGGTTCGGTCTTGGATATAATAAGGACTCCAGAGGAAAAGGCTGGCACTTGGGGGCCTCACCAAAAACCAGACAGCTCACAAGAGACCAAACGAGTGGTTGATATGACAGCTGAGTTACAGCAAAGTCCTGTTCAGAAGGCCCCTGAGTGTGGAAACAGCAGTTTGCAGCCAGCGAGTGAATAATCTAAATTATTATTTATTGAGCACCCAGTGGGACCAGGTGTGAATGAAGCCTCTGCTGAGGGCTAAGGGTTGAGCGGTGTTTTAAGTGTGGCTCATCTGGTCCTTACTGCAACTTGGTGAGGTTGCTAGTTACACAGGTACGGAAATTAAGGCTCCAGAATTTCCTTGCTGAGCGGCACACAGTTAATGAGGGTGTTTTTTGGAAGATTAACTTTGGCCTTGGTTAGAAGAGTCCTCTTACTCTACCACAGGCTCAGCTCGTTGGTAGCACGATTCTAAACATAAGCAGTGGCCACCCCTTCCATTCACCGTGCCTCACGGCTGCAGATGCTCTTCTATGCAAGGCTGCTGTCTTGTAAACCCACAGAGTGCACAGAGCAGTGTGGCCCACAGGAAACAGCATCAAATCTGTTGTGGCTTTGGATGCAGGTGACAGGCAGCTCTATTAATATGTAAGTGACATGAACAGGACATTAGTCTGAGTGGCCTAGCTGGCTAACCCAGCAGCTCTGTGCTCTCCTCACTGATCCATACTTGGTCTGCCCTTCTGCTCTGCTCCTCTGTTGGCTTCATTCTCATCCCTACCCAGTAGGTCTCAAATAGAGGCCGTGGCTTCAGGTGTCACAGTCCCATGACAACACCCAGTAGTGGAGACAGCAGGGTTTCTTCCCCTTGTACTTAGTCTCCAAGTCGGTGAGCAAACGGTGACCCAGCCCCAACCCCATGTTTCTTGTTACACCCCTGGGGACAGTGTTGCCTCCCAGGCTGGTGTCTGAAGCCCACACACAGGACTGCCTTTTCTCCTGAGGCGGTGGCCTGCCACCTCCCCCAGGACACGTGGAAGGAGGGGAAGGGGTGGTGGGAATCCCACTGAAGGTGGTTTTAATCTTGGCTTCCACACTTCCTCACCATCTGCCCCGGGGCAAATGGGCTAGCTTTCCTGAGACTTGTTATCAGTGAATTAGGGATGCTATCTGCTTCTTAGATAAATAGGATAACGTATGTGCAGTGCCTGGCACACGTGATTGGCTGTCGTTTCAGTGCCTGTTCCTAATACGAAAATCTTCAAGTCTCTTATCACGCGTGAGGCACACCTCAGAGTGCCTGCTTTGCTGCTGGTGGATTTGTGGTATTTAGTATTCTAAGTTAAGGGTGTGTGCGTGTACGTGTGTGGATGTGGATGTGCATGGGGGGGTGTGTGTGTGTTGTGAGTCTGATATCATGCTTTGCCTCTAGATTCAGTCAGTCCATGTTGTGGAAACTGGATCGTCAAGCATTACTGGGCATCTATGCGGAGTAGTTGCTTGAGTCTGTTGGTTTCCTTTTTAAATTTGCTCCAAGTTTATCTTTATTATCAGAGGCAGTGTTCATGATTCTTACAAACTTCATTAAAAGGGAAAAAACGTCTAAGCCATAATCTGCTTTAAAAAAACAGCAGGGGAGAATAATCCTGCTCAGTTGCTGATCCAGCCTGTTGGCAGGCTATCCTGAAAACGAGCCCACCTCCGTCATCCGTAGGACACAATAGCTTGTCTACAGCTGCCTAGAATCAGGCTGCTTGCTGTGATGGAGCTGAGCAGAATTCTATCCAATTGTTTCTTCCTCCTGGCTTTTGAGAGCCTGCCTGCTTGCTGGAGCATGACAGATTCGGGGCTCAGTTTTGCAATTGTTTCTAGTGTGCATTTCCGTTTGATCTGTATTTAATCTCTATCTTTTACAGTTAACATGATCTTTTTTGAGGTGCATTAAAAAAAAACACACACATCAGCAAGCATTTGCTGGGGGAAATGCTCTTGATAGCACCACTTGAAGAGGCCAAGGTCAATTTTTATCAGATTTGCCTTGCTTGGGAGATCTTCAGATTTGATGAATGTGAAATGCATGCTTGATGGGTATCCTATTGGAATTTTAATTAACTTTAAAAGAACAGGGTGTCGAGCTGAAGGTATTGGCAACAGTGAATGGTTTACAGATCATGCAGGCACCCCATAATGTGAGCCTCCCTTTTCCCATTGAGTGAAGTTGGAATGAAAAAGTGTATAAAGTTGCAGCATGATTTGTATTCTGCTTTCTTTAGGCTCTCCTGGCCCTTGATGGCTCTGCACATCCTTGGAGGCCATTTAGAGCTGCAGCTCTCCTTTGGGAGACCTGAAGGAGGCCCAAGAAGAGTCACTGCGCTCTTGGGTAGCACGTGTTTACATTGTTAACTGATGCAAACGAAGATATGATGGTATTTGCATTTCCACTTAATGTAATGTGTGCATAAGGCTCACATGAATTTATGTGAGTTTAAATGAATTAGGATTGACCACAGGAATTCGGATCAGGAGGAGGTGTGAGAGAATTTAGAAGCATGCTTGCACCGGGGCACCTGTAAATGTGCTGCAGCCGGGCTCTCTGAGAGCAAGACCTCACCAGAGAATCAGGGAGTTCGCAGGGAGCCATCTTTACCCTGGTTCAAGGAATGGGATGCTGATGCTTTTCTCTCTCTGGCTTCACTGCACAGATATTTAAGTACCTGCTGTGTACCATACACTACAGTGGACACTGGGGGCTCCAGGGACAGCGATTGCATTGGTCTCTATTTATAATGAAATGTAATTTTTTTTCCATTTAGTTAGGTGACCAGATATGCTGCAGAGGAAAACATGTGTCTATATCTTTTTATTCTCTGTTTATCTGGCAGGAATTTCTAATGAGGAAAGTGGTATTGGTGTGATTTGGGGCTTAGTGAGTTTGCAGTGGGTTCTCACCTCTTTTTGTTTATTCTTCCATAGTCTAGATTTGCCAAATGAAGGCTTTGCACTTCTTCTTTCTGAATCTTTCTGACTTTGTGGTGGGGAAAGAAGATGATGAGGCAGGTCCATCCCACAGCTGGAGGCTTTCTGAGAGCAGCTTGGTGTTGCGGGCAGCACCTTTCAGAGAAGCTGTCTGCTGTTTGCTAGTTCTGGAGCAGATGCTCTGGAAGTGCCACATGCTCAGGAGATAAGAGAACTTGCTGCTGTGGCTAGGACGATGGAGGTCAGGAGTGTCCAGCACGTTTTCTGAAGATTCTTTTAATTTTTTGTTGGCCATCAAAGCACACCACCTTAGGTGAGAATTATTTGGATTTATCATTTAGGATCTAAGATACATTCATGGGTGACTGCATTCCATTTGTTGCTCTAGGATGAACCCAGAGATACTGGAGAGAAAGAGGAAAGATGAGGGAGGCTTAGGCACATTTCAGTAAATGGTTGCAGGTTAACTAATCTCATTAGACACCACCCGTCCTGATCAGCCGTTGTTTTTGCGTTCAAAGACTAATCGGTTAATCCTCCAAGCTTTGCCTGCCACTGTTGCTGTTTGATTTGAAGGGTCAAGGAATCCTTCAGATGATTACTAAACACTTGGAGTGCTCACCCATGTGGGTTGAGGAAAGTACTCCTGAGGCTGGGCCAGCTAAATCTCAGGCCAGGCCGACTTCTGGAGGTGTTGCCTGTGTGGAGTGCCTTTACCCATAAATGCAATGGCAGACACATACATTTATTTCGCAGATCAAAATTTCTTTTTTTTTGAGACAGTCTTGCTCTGTTACCCTAGCTGGAGTGCAGTGGCACGATCTCGACTCACTGCTACCTCCGCCTCCAGGGTTCAAGCTATTCTTCTGCCTCAGCCTCCCAAGTGGCTGGGACTATAGGCGAGCACCACCACGCCCGGCTAACGCCCGGCTAATTTTTTAATATTTTTAGTAGAGAGGGGGTTTCACCGTATTGGCCAGGCTGGCCTCGAACTCCTGACCTCGTGATCCGCCCGCCTTGGCCTCCCAAAGTGCTGGGATTACAGGTGTCAGCCACTTCGCCTGGCCTCTCAGATAGAAATTTCTAAAAAATCTGTAGGGAGAAAGTAGTGGGGTTTCAGTTTTGCATGTGGGAAAAACAAAAGGCTTGGGAGTTTAGCTGTAAAAGAAAGGACAGTTGCTGTTGTTGCTGGGACTTCAAGGCTGTTGTAAAAATTAGCTTGGTGCTGCATTTGCTGGCAAAGTGGCAAGCAAATTTTGAGTAATATTCTGGACTTCATGTATTGTATTGAACTGGATCTTTTAGAGAGGGGTCAGGGCAGCCCCTGGGCAGCCCGCTGCTGCTGGTTCATTCTAGTCTTCCTGTTCATCTGCAGTGAGGAAGTGGGTCACTCTTCCTCTGGGTCTGCACACCCTGCCTGCAGACTGCAGCTGTAGGGAACACACAGAATGAATGGTGGCCCAGGTGCTGGGGCTGTGGAGCTGTCACCATGGCCCTGTGTGAGTGCTGCTCTTGAAGACTGGCCCAGAACGAGTGATGTTAATAATTAATTCAGTCCACACATATGTACTGACTGCCCACCCTGTTGCAAATACTGTGTTAAGCACTGGAATATACATTGTTCACAAAACCAGAAGTGATCCAGGCCTTTCTGCAACTGACCATTCAGAGGACACTGTAAACAAATAGCCAATAGGTATCTCTTGACATGTGGTAATAAGAGACATGAAGACAAGGGGCCACAGCCTGATGATGGCAGGGGACGTGGAGTCATGGGTGATGTCTGTGGATTTAATTATGCAGCTTATTTTATTTATCAAAATGTATCCACATCTTTACTCTTTTATGGATAAGCCACTGGATTCCTTAACTCTTTATAATCATATCCCAAATCTGCGTAACTTAAAAATTGCATCCTATTTTCTCTTCCCAAGCACAGCCAAAGGTAATTAAAACCAGATGTGTTTGCATGAGAAAATGCGTGCAGAGCATCAAGAATGTAGATTGTGCTAAATTAATGTCGCCTTAACAAAGATAGCCAATGAGACTGACCTTTTTTTTTTTACTGAGTTCATGATGCCCATGGGTTAATTTTGTCACTAGCAGTCATTGTCTGGACCAAGTTTGTAGTCTAAACATGTGCAGTATGAAAGGTGAATGCTCTCACACAGTCACACTCCTAATAGGAAGACAACTCTCTTGTATCCTGAGCGGCATCCCCCTTGTGCCTTCTGTGGCTGAATTTGTGTTGTGGACTATAGCAGAGGGAAAACTTCCAATGCTAGAAATCTGAGTTTTAAAAATTAATTTAAAAATGTGTTCCTTATGGAATTGGGAGTGTATCTGCTGTCTCGGTTTGACAAACTAAGCTTTGACTTGTGTACAGTAACAAGAGTTTTCCTGGATTTAAAGTTGTTGTCCCCAGCATATCAAATGAGGTGACGTATATCAGATCCTGTGGTTGAGCCTCACAGTGCAGAAGGGCACCTGCTATGGGTCAGCAGCCCATTGAACAATGGAGTTTAAGACTTGCAGTTTTTGAGCTTTTCAATCACCTCTTTGCCAAAGACCAATGTGTCCATTGCTTGGCAGTTTGACATCTGGAGTCGTGTGGACAGGGGTCTACATCCAAAAGGCAGCGCCACTGGGGCTTAGTTTGTTCAGGTTTGTGTTCCTAGGCAGATGGAGGCTGTTTGTCTCAAATATAGCTGCTTTAAAAAAACAGGAGGGTTTATTGATCAGAGGTAGTGACTCATGACGTTGAAACTGTGCCTACATAACTCACATGACAAGGCTGGGGTGAAGAGGACAGGTCTGCGGAAGGCTTTCCACTTAGTCCTGGGAGGCCCCTTTTCCCTCTGTCCACCGTCCCCTCCTGCACCATCACTGTCACTTCTTTTCTGAAGGCTGCATTGATGCACATGGTTGGTGCATATGGGTCGATTGATGCACGTGGTTGCATGTGGTTGACGCACGTGTTTGGAGTTCTCTCTCTTCCTGAGATCAGCTGCATCCAGCCATGGACCTTCTCTTTTGCCGGTTCTTTGTGAATCATAAATCTACTTATAATGCCTTTACATACTGATGTTCTTTTTCTATTTTTCCCAGACTTCAGAAATTTCTTGCCTTTTTTTTTTTAGAGACGGAGTCTTGCTCTGTCCCCTAGGCTGGAGTGCAGTGGTGCGATCTTGGCTCACTGCAGGCTCTGCCTCCCAGGTTCACACCATTCTCCTGTCTCAGCCTCCCGAGTAGCTGGGACTACAGGCGCCCACCACCATGCCTGGCTAATTTTTTTGTATTTTTAGTAGAGACGGGGTTTCACCATGTTAACCAGGATGGTCTTGATCTCCTGACCTCATGATCCACCTGCCTCAGCCTCCCAAAGTGCTGGGATTACAGGCGTGAGCCACCATGCCCGGCCAATTTCATGCTTTTTAGATTTATGGGAAATAGAATTTTTTCCCTTCTGCAAAAGGCCTATGTGCTCTACACGTGGTTAATAGCCAGTCTATGCAATATGATTGATGTTAAAGGTAACATCTCCTCTGTGTCCCCAAACTAATCAGTGCCCCATCTTAGACTATCAACACCTACACAGTCTGGCCCCAGGGGTATCAGTTTTCCACTTGGTACTATCACTGCTGTAAACAACTTCATGGGCTGAGAAGCCCTTACTTTCATAACCCCCACCTTCCATCCGGGGCTGCTGTGAACTGGACAACCCTAAAGCATCCTGACAACCAGACTCCTGTTGGGCAGGCGGTATCTGGCTGGTGTGAGCCATTTACATCAGTTGTATTGAAGGGATCAATGCTATGCTGGGACCCATCCTTGGTGCTCATTTTAGTCGACTTCATCCAGGTGGAAAGATGCAACCACACCCCCCGGAGCCCAGGTTTCTGCGGATTCCTCTCTTTTGTCTCCCTTCTGTGCAGTTTCTGGCTCCATTTTTATTTGTTCAGGCTGTTTCAGTGACCCTTCCTCACTCTTCCCCTCTGTGGGCCGTGCGCATTCCTGGCAACCAGTGCTCTGTCGGCTTTTGCAGTTGCCACTGGCTGGCTTTCTGGAGGCAGCCTCTCGTCTCTGCCTGGGTCCCTCTTCCTCCAACTTGCTCAGTGATGAGTGGGGCTCAGAGCCTCACTCACAGGCTGCCCTCCGCACCGCGCCAAGCTCATGGGAGGGGCTCGAGACCTCTGCAGCACCTAGGCACATGCCTGCCTTTCCCAGTGACCAGGCCCAGCCCAGAGCTGAGCCCACAGCTGCAGAGATCACCAGTCCCCAGGCTGACCAATTCTTTACAGGTGTAGGCTGAAGCTCCAACCCACTGCACTTTTCTCTATCGTGAAATCGGATGTGAATTTAGGGTGCAGATCCCAGGAAGAGTGATGACGCCTGGGGATAACAGTGTGTCTTGACAGAAGAGTTAGGACCCAAAGCCAGCATCTCCCAGGAGAAAGCAAAATAGTCATTTTCTAGACCCCGGGGAACAAGTCTCCTGACAGTATCAACAGGAGGGGGTACTGGTTGGAGAAGGAGGTCAGGGTGACGGTTGTGTCCAGCTCAGCAAAGCCAGGTCCTCGCCTCCTTTCACCCATGGGACCCCCCAGATGTGCCAGTCTGCTGTCGGCTGCCTGCTTCTCCTACCTCCTGCAAGCTCTGCAGGTGGCAGGGCCCTTTCTACACTCACGGAAGTCTCAAACAAACTTCTGTGACACCTCCTCTGGTGTGTGGCCATCATTTCCAGCCCCCTGCCCAAGTCCTCTTCTGGGGTCCTTGAGTCTCCTGGGGGGGGGGTCTCAGGTATGTGCCTAGAACTTCTGCTGCAGCCCCTGGCCTGTCCCCTGGGCCCCACCCTGAGTCACCTACCGGGTGGGGTCCCTGAGCTCCTGGAGAGCAGCAAGGGAATGCTTCCCATGGTCCAGCCCCCTGGGCGGACTCTTGCGCCTTTGTGACTGGGTGAGCTGTGCATTTCCAGTTCTTTGCCAGCTGCCCCACCTCCCCACCCACATCCCTTCCATTGGTGTTCTCAGGAATAGGTGTTTACAGTCTTATTTTTTCTTAAAAATTCCCATGCATGTTATATTCTACTCTAAAATGTGCCTCCTCTGATTTTAATAGGACCCCAAAGCACCCTGTGGGGTTAGCTCCACAAACTTGGAATCAAATATGTGTCCCGTGACTTCTTCCCATTCCCTGGCCCCCAGCACCCACACAGGCACCCAGCTTGCAGGCACAGCGGCCGAGAGTGAGGGAGGGGCTGCCTCCTGGGCTCCCCAGGGACAACGGGGCACTCTGCTCTCCCCAGTGGCTGAGGGAGGAGGATTCTAGTCCTGTCACCAGAAGCCTCTCTGGGTTCTCTGGGGGCAGAACGCCTCTGCTTGGCTGCATCTTGGAGCCCTCCATCCTGGAGTCACCTGTGAGGTCAACTGAGCGGAGCATGGGCTGTCGGGCCTGGGTTTATTTTCTGATCGTTGGTGTCCTCTGGCTTCACCTGCCAAAGCATCGAGGATTGTTGTTGACTGATGGAAGTGCTATAGGCTTGTCGGTAAATGTGGGGAAAGGTGGCTGTCATTGTGGGACGTTTTCACTCTCTAAACTTAAGTGGGAAATTTCTGTCAGGTTGAGGAATTGTCAAGGATGTCGGCTTTCAAGGTGACAATTGTCGTGCTGACAGATACAGCACATGGGTGGTAGTGGAGTGCCGGGGGCTTGGGGCTGGTGTCCTGGCTGCTGGAGTGTGATTTGGCACTAGAGATGAGGAAAGGGAAAGTGCCACTGGGATGCTGGTATTCCTGGTGGTGTCCCTGAGCCCGGGAACCCAGTGTGGGGGGCCTGCCATGATGGCCACAAGGTAACCTCAGGAGGAACCTGGGAAACGTTTTATATTAAAGTTTTCATTTAATGGTCCATTCTGTTTGTCAAGTGGTGCATATAGAAAAATTGTGGCAGTTGCATGGAATTTCATTTGGAAACAAATTTAAATAAAAAGTGAGTCAATTTAAAGGAACTCATTAAGTAAGTATCGTGAAACTGAGGCTTGGAGGACCATAGTTTGGATAAAAAATGCCTTAAGTTGAAGTGAAATCAGAACCTCAAAGCGAGATGTGCAATCTCATGTTCATTTCAGCATTATTCACAGGGCCAATATCTGAAAGCAACCCAGATGTCCATCACCAGATGAATGATAAAGAAAGTGCAGTGGGCTGGGTGCAGTGGCTCATGCCTGTAATCTCAGAACTTTAGGAGGTCAAGACAGGAAGATCGCTTCAGCCCAGGAGCTTGAGACCAGCCTGGGCAACATAGCAAGTCCCCATCTCTACAAAAAATAAAAAAAGAAAAAAAGAATCAGCTGGGCATGGTGGTGCATGCCTGTAGTCCTAGATACATAAGAGGCTGAGGTAGGAGGATTTCTTAAGCCCAGGAGGTTGAGGCTGCAGTGAGCCGTGATCGCACCACTGCACTCCAGCCTGGGCAACAGAGTGACACCCTGTCTGAAACAAAACAAAACAAACAAACAAACAAACAAAAGGCTGCCTGTGCTGTGCTGTATACACACACACACACACACACACACGTATATACACAAACAATGGAATATTATTCAATCTTAAAAAAGAAGGAAATCTTTCCATTTGTGATGGCATGGATGAGCCTAGAGGACGTTATGCGAAGTGAAACAAGCCACAGACACAGAAAGGCAAATACTGTGTGATCTCATTCATATCCGGAATCTAAAAACACTGAATTCATAGAAGCAGATAGTAGAAAGGTGGTTACGAGGCGCCGGAAGTGTGGGAAGAGGAGATACTTGTCAAAGAGTAACACTTTCAGTTATAAGATGAATGAATTCTGGAGTTCTACTGTGCAGCATGGTGACCATAGTTAACAATACTCGATTATATACTTGAACTTTGCTAAAAGAATAGATTTTAAGTATTTTCATGACACCACGAAGGTAACCACGTGAGGTGATAGATATATATTAACTGGAATGTATATGTATATCAAATTATCACTTGTATACCTTAAATATATACAATTTTTATTTGTCTGTTATACCTCAATAAAACAGGGGAAATATAAATTTAACATGATAATGAAAAGTACTTTTAAAAAACACACAAAGCTGCCTCAAGTCATAGAACAAGCAGACCTAGCTTTCACCATGACGTCTCTAGGTTTGTTCTTTCAGCCCTGGTTTCCTGTGTGTCTGAAGGCTCACGCCCAGCTGTGGATGTGCTGAGGCTTTGTATGAGGGAAGAGTTTGAACGAGGTGAATATGAGGAACAGGGCAATTTTATGCTTGCAAGCAGCGTTGGGAAAATTGCTTTGTTTGATTTTTAAACCTAAATGGCAAACATGAGAAACCCAGCCTTTGGGATTTATTTTGGACATGACAGGTGTTCCCCGAGTCCTTATGCCACTGCACTGGGTCCAGGTTGGGCCACTCCCAGGCCCACCTCCAGCTGGTGATGCATGCCTGGCAGGGGCCACCTCACACTGTCTGCATCAGTCAGGCACCAGGCTGGAGCCTGAGCCACAGCAGAGCACTGACCCGGGGTTGAGAACCAAGAGACGGGCAGGGGGCGGAAGGCATGGTGGGAATAGGCCTCGCTCAGCAAGCTTTGTTCCCAGAGCTGGGGTGCTGGGGCGGTGTGGACACTGCGCACTGTGGGGTGAGCGCGTTCAGTGCCGATCTCAGGGCAGCGGGCTCACACCCGGCTCCTGGGCTCTAACAGGTGTGGCATAAGAAACTCAGGGCTCCGTGTCAGGAAGGGCCCTTTGGAGAAGCTCGTAAGCAGAGTGTTAAGGGCCCTCTTACGGGGCCTGGAGTCATCTCTGAGTCTTCCCTCACCGGCTCTGTCTGTGTCTCCAGGTTTGGTCATTTCTTTCTCTTGTAAGGGGCAGTTCACTCCTGCCTTTCTGCTGCTTCTGAGACAGAGCCGTGTCCTGGCTGGGTCCTTCCTGACCACGGTCTCCCCAGTCCATCTGTGCCTGTGGCCCCGGTGATTGTCTTAAAATGCTGTTTGGTGGTTACAAGCCCACTCAGCCCCCTTTAGTCCGGACTTCATGCCAGGTTTGCAGTCCCATGGCCCTGCTCATGACCCTGTGAGCCCTGCCCCTCTCTTATTCCTGCACTGTGTTCATTCCTGCTGTTGGCTCTTTGCTTATGGAAGACCGGTCGCCTTCACCATTGGTCTGTCTGTCCGTGAGGGAATGCCGCCTCCTTTCTCATCTGTGGGAGGCTGCAGAGAAGCCCTCATGAAAGGGGCTGCTTCCTCACACATCCTCCACCCCTAGGCTGTCCGGGGGGCCTCACTGTTGCACGCATGGTCGAGCGACCTTTGGCACTGCTATCGCCATGCGTTTCTAGACTCTCGTGGACTTCCTAAGGAGCACTTTTCTAGAATTTATCTTCTGGTTGTTTTACAGGTCTTGGGTGTTCTCACAGGTCAGGACCACACCATCCGTTGAGCCTCCCCACCCGTGTGAAAGGGCGGGAACCCAGGAGCAGTATTGGTTTGTTGGTTGGCATGGGGTCAGGGGTGTAGTGGCCAGTGGCAATGCTTCCACATCACCAGGCTGAAAGGCAGGACGGAGCCGCAGAGCTGGGGAGGCTGCGTAGGGCTATGGGTGTGCGTGGAGCCCTGGAGCCCGAATGCCTGGGTTCATGTCTCCCTCCCCACACATTGTTGCTGTGTACCCCTGAGCAAGTCAAGGGGCTTGGCAGTGTGACCTCCCGGCCGCAGTGTCCTTGTCTATGTGGGCCGACGGAGTCCATGCGGGCCGAGGGAGTCCATGCAGGAAAAGTGCTGAGAGAGGTACCAGCTGAACAGTTAGATTTAGTGAAGGTGAGGTGTCACCACTGTTACTGTTCTTGAGTCTTAAGTTTTCATTAGAATACGTATTAGAATGCATGGTACACTAATAATGGCCATTATTATTGGAGCTAACACTTGTTGGTCACTTAGTTCTGGCTGCTCTTATAGCCAGATTAAGGGTCAGGCAAAGGGCATCAGTAAAGGTCCCTGAAATGTTACTGGGACAAATTGCCAAAGGGATCATTCCAGCTTCCCAAAGGTGGCCAGGGCCTCAAGAGCAAAAGAATACTAGTGACTAATCACTCCTCTGTATCACTGGCCCATTTCTGTGGAGTCTGTGGAGTCTTCTTGCATCAATTCCGTGCCAAGAGGCCTCCAGTGTGGTGGACAAGCTCATGGGTCCTGTGAATGTTCAATGGCAGGAGGAAGGGCACTTCCTAGCACTTTCTTGTTTCTGTTTAGGATCCAAGAAGCCTACCTCTGAATGCACGCTCTCCCCAGCACCACCTTCAGGCCCAGCCCTTCCTCCACCATGGGTCTGCACCATGGGTGGCTGACTGACCATCTCCTTGAGGCTGCTTTGGTCCCCAAAGTCAGGCTGGGACCCTGAGGAAGGGCCTGGATTGGGGGGCCCCATAGAGTCTACATCTGAGTATCTTTTTTTACAATCCTTCCTTCGAAAACTTGCGGATCTCTCCTTTCTTTAGTGCCCCCCCCATTCCTTCTGTTTTCCTCTGTCCTCCCCTTCCTAACCCTCCCCTCCCCTCCCCTCCCTCTCTTCCCCTCTTCTCTTCTTTTTTCCCTCCCCCCCCCCCCCCCCGCCCCAATATCCTATGAAGGCCTCAGAGTCCTGTTAGAAAACACTTCTGGCAGTAACTGTTCCCATCTTTCCTCCTGGGCCCTTCCCTGGGACTCATCTCCCAACCTGATGATGTCTCAGGCTTTCTCCTAAGTAGAGGCTCTGCCCTCCCAACAACTGTCCAAACAAGTTCTCTTCTTCCCTGTCTCGTTTTCCCCTCTTGGTGACCCTGGAGCGAGTCAGAGGGTGGGTTTCTTTTTGTCCAAAAGACAGAGGTTGGCTGGCACTTCCTCAAGGTGCCTGGGAGAAAAGACCGGGATGCCTGGACTTTCTTGGAATTACAGCTGTCCGCTGCTGCTGAGAGGTTTGCTCGAAAGATGTAAATATGGGGGTGTGGGGAGGTGGTGCTGCTCTCTCTCTATCAGAGGCACATCAGGGAACCTCAAATGCTTTTGTGGACGAGACTATCTCTGCGCTGATAAGCACCTTGTTGTTGCTGGGGCCAGATGAAAGATAGTTGTTGAGTTGCAGCTTCAGTATGCTGTTTGTATACTAGAGAAACATCATATCTGTGCGTATTTATAATTTTCCATCTACCACTTGGTCAACAGATCTGATAAGAAGCCCACACTTGAAGGAATTAGCACTAAATGGAATGCTAAACATAGTACCGTAAATGGTCCAAAAAGAGGCCTAGTCAATTATTCAGGAGGGTTATATCAAGGTCTCATAGCGTGTTATCGATTCCCAGTTCTCTTGAAAATGATTTATTTGTCAATTGCCCATGAAGTGACCTTTCTTGTATAGTTTCCGGCTTCTGGGTCTTAGGGCACTTTGGTTTTGTAATTTTAATTTCTCTTCTAAATATTTACGAAGTTAACAAGCAGTTGTTTTAGCTAAAATATCCCGAATTGGAGCCTAGCCCATTGATCTGTCATTTAATAACTCCTGTAGATGAGTATGCATATGCATTTCCATATATACATATAAAGTTAGACCTTTTATAAACTCTGCGTTTATAGTTATTGATTGGCAGTTCATCTCTTTAAATGAAGAGTTTTGGGGACTAGCTCATTTCTGCTGATCTTTACAGGTTTGCTTAAGATCTGTGGGCCCCTCAAAATCCATGGTATCATGGACAAGGTCAGTCGGGTGGTTTGTTGCATGGTGACTGTGGAATTCGAGTTCAGGGAAGGGACCATCTGGCTGGGCTGCCAGCCGGGTCCTACACAGCCCCCTTTGTGTGGCCTTTTGGTCTCATGCACCCAGTATGCAGTGTGTTCTTACCGATGGTGGAAACCTGGCTCTCCCACCTGCCTGCTCTAGGACTCAGGCAAATTGGGTACCTTCTGCAGTATCTGTTTTCTCTTGTGAGATGGGCCCCGATCATGCCACATGAGCAGAGCACGTGAGGGAATCCACCGGGACGGTGTGCTGCAGCCAGCCCAGGCCAGAGCGCCATCCGTGGTTCTTCATGTCACTATGGCAGAGCTCATGAGCCAGCCATCATAGGGAGGGCTTCTTAAAGGCGTTCTTTTTTTCCCTTTTTGGACAAATTGGTAAGATGCTGTAGCTCAAACTGTGTACAAATTTCTGCACGTGTGGGCTGATACTTTGGAAGAATGAAAGAAGGGTTGAGTAATTGGCTCTGGGGAATATTACTGCTGACTGGTGCCATTTTGATGAGTAATAGACCCCATTAGATCACAGTAAAATACTCGATTATGTATAATTAAAGATGGCATTAGTCAGGCAGAAGCCACAGCGTTTAAAAATGTGAAAGGGATAATTTCTAATGCTGAAAAGTGCATTCATGGCTGAAGAAGCAGAGCGTAATGTGTAGTGAATTGAGTTCTGAAGTTACTGGGGCTCGGTCATAGACAGATGCTTGTTTAGCAGGACAGCTGGTGTTCTTTTATTTTTAGGTCTCAAAAATGTGTAGGGACAGCAATCATGGCAGTGTTTTTTTTTAAAAAGTATTTTAGGTGAATTCATGGCTTGTGGAACAATTCTGATTGGTGGTTTTACCCAAAAAAAATCAAGTTCTAGACTTTATTCTTTGTGGAGCAGACAGAGCCCAGGCAAGCTTTGGGAATCTTTGTTTCCCTGTTTGCACTTCTGGCTTTCAACTGCAGATCCCCCTTTCTCTTCTCATTTATTCATTTGCTCTTTCCTTCCTTCAGAGGCTTCAATTGAGTGCCTCATGCAGGCCAGACACTGTTCTGGGCTCTGGGAAGGAGCAGGGAGCCAAGCTGAGACTGGCCTAGGAGCTCACATTGATGGAGTGGGCAGGACTCAGGGCAGGGCCACACTGCTGTCCTTGGTCCACACCCACTGCTTTTATTCGGACTTCTCTAGTCAGACACTAAGAATGTTCTATGGCCCCCCGGGACCCGTTCTCTGGGAGATCCATTGGCTTAGAGCTGAGAAGTCTCTTTGGCTTGACTTGAGCTCCTCTACTCCATTTAATCAAGAGTCAAGTGTCTGGCAGAGACTTTCGTTATTAATAACGTAGCTATTAATATTCACATTGACAGTCATTTGCACTTCTAAACCTCTTTAATCTCAGAGGTTGCCACAGCATTTCATGGACCTCAGATGAATGGCTTCAAAGGAAGGCACAGGGCTCTCTACCATGAGGACCCAAGGGGAATTCGCTTGTTTGACAGAGCAAGTGTGTTAAGGCAGCCGTCCCTGGGTCTTGCATGCAAGGTCCAGCAGGAGGACAGCTGAGCATCTCCCTGCACGTGTCCATTGAGCACCCACATGTCCTTTGGCTCTCTGTGGCAGCAGCAACGTTGCAGAGAGCAAGATAGTCTGGCCTCGTGGTGCTTACGTTCTAATTGGTGCCATGGGGGCTCTATCAAGACGTTGTGAGTAAGTGACAATTGGAAAACCTTAGCTACAGTGGAGATGCTTTGTAGTGCAGGTATTTTTGTACTCCAGTTGGACTTAATTAAGATTAAAATACCAGGGGGTTCTTTTTCTGCTCGTGGATATTTTTTGTCCCAGTGGAAGGTTGAAATCACTTTTTAATTGCAGCTGTGTTCTTTTATTAAACTAGTGGTTCTTGACTTGGGGTGCATGTTGAAGTCCCCTGGGGAACCTCCCCAAACACTGATGTCTGTCTCAGCCCAGGGCCCTGTGATGGGTCTGGGTGCAGCCTGGCATCAGATTCAACGGTCCCCAGGTGATGCCAGTGCTGGGGTGAGCAGCACTGATCTAAACTGCAGAAGGCCAACAAAAGGTGGTGTAGAGGAAGTGGTTGTGAGAGCCAGCACCTGGAGAATCCTGCCAGATCTGCACCTGGAAGATGAGTTGGACATGGCCAGGTAAAGAGGGAGGAAGAGTGTTCCAGCGGAGGGAATGGCAAGCATGGAAGCCTAGGGTCCTGAGGAGCTTGGAGCAAATGAAAGGAGGGGAAGGGTTGGGGGAGGGGGCATGAGGCTGGAGAGGATGGCCGAGGCAGGTGGTACAAGACCATGCTAGGGATTTTTGTCTATAACCTGATGATAGTCGAAGCCATTTTATTTATGAGCCTGGAACTACTCTGCTCATTATTTCACTTAAAAAACAATTTCTTAGAAAAATAGTTTTTTTACAAAAACGAGGAATTCAACTTATTAATTCACTTAGTCTGTTTAACCACACAGTGGGACAGGTATAGATAGGTGCTATGATTACCCCCATTGTGCAGACGGGGAAAGTGAGGCCCAGAGAAGTTGAGTAGCTTGTCACACAGCTGGTGAATCGTGGAGCTGGGATCTGAGCTCAGGCTGCCTCTGGTTCCAGTCTGGCTCTACATTTCTGGGGGATTGGTGCGATGAGCCTCATTTCACAGAGCAGGAAGTGGAGGTGTGGGTTGGGGTTAGAATTCTGTTCTGATCTCCTCAAATCTCACACTGTTACCTCCTTATCAGGCTGTTCAGACTTGGGGAGAAATTAAAAAAAAAGTTTTGTGCTTTTACCATACTATAAATGTGAAAAAAAATATGGGCATATAAGTCAGTGGGAGAGCTTTATGGCTGAACATAAAGAGCATTCAAATAAAGAAGCTAGTTATTTCAAGGTGCTGATGGGGGAAGTCAGGTGGTACCTTTTCCATTGCTGAAACATTGATGAAGGTCGACACTGCTTATGGAGTGCAATGCAAGGGAGAGGCTTTTATGGATAATATTGCATCATTGCACAAAAGCCAACAGCCACACCAATGTATTTGCCCTGCATTTGGTGAGGGGTGGTGGTCCTTGGGTTCTTGCTTATATTTGATGGGTTCTTGATTCACAAAGTGCAATGAATATATTGAAAATATGTGTCCAGTGGCCCAGGACACTGAGGTATCTGTGCTGTCTTCTTGTCCGAGGCTTTTTCATGTTTGTGGGGCTCCATGTTTGTGGCCATGGAAACAGACTGAATACAGAATTTTTTCCTTCCTGGAAATCTGTGCCTACACGTCTCAGAAACATTCATGAAAAGCTAATGGTTTAACAGGTGTTCAAATAAACCATCCTTTGATGGTTCAAATTCCTAATTTTATACTCCAAAGCAGCACCATCCAATACAAATAGAATTTGAGCCACATATTTAATTTAAAAATTTCTGGTAGCCACGTCACAAATGGTAAAAAGAAATTGGTGAAATTAATTTTAAGAATATATTTAACCCACTGTATCCAAAATATGTCGGCATGTAGTTACTATGAAAACTTATTAATTTGCATCCTTTCATCCATGCTGAGCCTGAAGCCCATGTGTATTTCACCCCTGCAGTACATCTGAGGTCACACTTCCCGGTTTCCAGGGCCCAGTAGGCATGTGGTGCCCACAGGTGGCTGCTGTATGGAAAGGCTCAGCTCTGACGGATCAGACCACTTCAGATATCATAATAAAGTTCTGGCACCAGTGCACTTTTTATGACTCTAATAGATTTGCATCTGCAAATTGTGGTTTATAGGCAACAATATGACATTTCCTATGATTTCCGAATTGTCATCATGATAGAATCTGCAGAGGACTGCAGGAATTTTTGGTTTGAAGTTAATATAATAACAGCCTGGAGGGCTTATAAAATGCATGCTGAGAAATTGGTCTGAAACCCAGATTGAGGATATTTTTCATACCCAGCTGATTATTTAAATTTCCCAATGGGAAGTTATTACTTCTCTGACAAGTCTCATCAGCAGTCTATTTTCAGTGGTCTTGATGGACATGGAGTCTAATTTTGTTTTTCTCCTAGCCTCTTTTTGGAGAGGATGAAATTTGGTGTCTGGAATTACATTTCTTCCTAGGAAAAGTGCTCAGCGTCTTAGAAATAAATTATCACAAAACTGTCACCTGTCAGGTGGTTCATTTTCCGAGGTGACAGGCAGTACCTATAATCACGGGAGGTGGGCATGTTCCCCTTGTTGTTGTGGTGTGTCTTTATAGTTGTGGGGAATGTGGGTGGGTGGCCTGCCCTTTCCCTGGTGCATTTGGCAAATCCCTCTTATATTGCTTTTGTTAGCTGACATGTACAGCAAATCAAATAAATAATTCTGGGCTCCGATCTCAAGTTGAGAACGAGAGCATAATAGCCTTGTTCCGGGTGCCTGATGGGCCTACAGTGGCATTACAGCATTCAGAGCGAAAGCTCATTTACTGGAAACAACGAAGTGTTTGAAAGTTCACTGCATGGAAATTGGATTTTTGCCTTTTTATTATTTACATTGTGTATTATCAGATTTATATTTAAAGCTGTGGGGATTATCATTCTCTTTAAACGGCATTATTTAATAAAGAGTAAGCATTTCATGGTTTCAAGACTGCTGAACCCAGCTCATCATTGGAAATTCAATTAATGGGTTCCAACTTGAGTAGGCATGGGCAGAGGGGCGGGGGGGACCCAGTGTCCCCTCCCAGGCCCGATGGCCTGATGGTGGGGTGCCTATCACCGTCTCTCACATGGGCCCTCTCACAGTGAATATCACCTGTCTTTCAAACTTTAAGAGTAAATCTTAGTACTTGCTCCTTGTTCTCGATGGAGGCACGCAATTGAAAGCTTTAATCTCTGGGATGAAAACTTCTGGGAAAGGCAGTACTTTAGTGTGAAGTCATTGTTGTTATGATGCAGCTGAGTTTGAGCCTGTCTTAGAAGCACGTTTTGATGGGCAGAAATGGACCCAGTCTACAGACAAGGGACCATCTGCAAAGACAAGACAGTCACTGTGAAGCTTTTGTCAGAAAACCCATTCCCAATGGAGGGGGAAGGAATCAGTGGGGCAAATATTTCAATGGAACAGAACCAGCATCTAAACTTATGCACTGCAGCGTTCTGCTAAACCCTGCTATGGGTGAGGCTGAATGAGTACATTCATTTCTAATAAAAGAAATTACATTAATTCTTGAAGGGAATGTAGGTGTTTAAGCTGTCACTGGAAACCCATTTCTGAGAAGAAGCTAAAATTGCATGCCTTTTTTTCTCTCTTCTTCTTAGTGATTTAAAAAAATTTGTATTTTTGCTGAGGTTTGGAAAGGCAATTACGCTGATTTTGCCCAAAATTTGGACAGATTAGTTCTGCTGAGAAAGAAGTAACGAAGGTATGAAAGGACATGAAATAACTGAAACTTGCCAGGAGAAATATTAAGGTCAAAAGCAGAGGAAGCATGGGCTCGGCTCAGTGTGCAATGCCTTATCACCGGGTCACCTGCCCCAGGAGGTGGGCCCGACAGATGCCCTGTGTGTGTGGAAGCTGCCGCTGTGAAAGAGTGTGGCATAGTAAAACATGAGATCACCCCAGTTATTTTATTTCTGACACACTGGGAATGAATCTTGATCTAGTCTCCAGGGTGTGTACTTGTCTGCTGTGCGTTTTGTGCTGAGCTGGGTTCTGGTGCATTTTGGCTAAAGCCACATTAACCACCCCCCGACCCCCGATGCCACCATCTTGCTGGAGCTGAGATTTCCTGCAGACCTGCTTCCTGAGGGCTGACTCCTGGTCTCCCACTGCTCTGGGACATTAGCAGTCGGGACTTGCTACACCAGTTGCAGGGCCGAGGACAAAATGAAGTGCAATTATAAAATTATTAAGAATTTCATTACGTGACCACAGAGCATTAAGCCAAATTTGGGCGGCAGCCAAGTGACCTGGTCAGTGATTCTGGTTGGTGGACATGGAACTGCAGACAAGAACCTTCTGTGTTGATGCATCAAAGTATGAACACTGTCAATATGCTGTGGTTGCCAGACTTTTATCTCGTGTGTTTAAAACTGGTTTCTAGAGCTTTGTCTTGGTTAGGGTTCAAAATGTCATCCCTACATGGGGCTCAGCAGATGGGTCTAATCAGGCCTAGCATCCATGTGGTGCTTTCTGTCATTTCTGGCCTCACTTGGGTGACCACATTGGATGGAAGCTGGGAAATGGAGGGACCAAGGAAGGGAGCCCCTGTTTCCCAGCTTGGGTAGGTGATTGGGGTTATCATGGAGGGGGTGGTTTTGGGGAAGCTTCTGGGTAGGGAGTACAGATACACAGAAGGCCCCCCAGCGCTGCTGCCATTGTCTGCCAGTGTTGAAGCTGCAGCATCATGGGCACGGCTCCTGGGAAGGGACCACCAGCCTTTTTGAGGGGCCAGGCCTCGAGGCTTCCTCAGCTGGCTTGAATTCTTCACTGGTGAAGAAACCAAGGCTCCCTAAGTTTGAATTGGCCCTAGTTCATGGCCAGAAGCCCACTGAAGGTCACAGTGCCCTGGGGTCTGTCTTTCTCTTTGTCCTGGCTTCTGGCCTCCAAATGAATACTTTTGGCCTTGCTGTAGTGCTGGCCAGGGTTTGGACAAGGTCAGGTGGGACCAGGGTTTGGACAAGGTCTGTGGGGGGTGATGGTAGGGACTTTGGGCCATCCCTTAGAAGTCTCAGAGTGTATGTGTTTTTGGAGACCTGTGGTGACACCAACCTGCTGCATAGAGCCTTCTGAAGCCCCACTTTCTGCTATGGCCTTGGATTGCCCTAAGGAAATTCTTCGGGAGCAGAGCGAGCTCCAGCTTCCTCAGGTGGCCTTTGGAGAGTGTTGGCTTTCCAAATCACGACTTGTCAAAAGAGGCTTTCCAGATTTCAGGACATGTTGGATTGATAGCCAGCCTTCATAGGAGTCATTTTTCTGTTGGGTTCATAAAATAGAGTGGAGTGTGTTCTGGTGTGCTCATGGAAGCTGGGGCTCTGGCCTCCCTCCGGGCCAGGGCAAGGGTTCCATGAGCCACATAAAGGCATTTTGCAAACTACAACTTGCTATGCTGATGTTCGGTGGTGTTCGGCATTTTGCAAACTACAACTTGCTATGCTGATGTTCAGTGGTGTTCTCATCCATGGGCACCTTGCATCTATGCCTATTTTATAGTATTTGTGGAATAATTTTCCCATTTTAAGTGATTATAGAGTTGGAAGTTGGATCTTTGTTTTGTTTTGTTTTAGAGATGGAGTCTCGCTCTGTTGCCCAGGCTGGAATGCAGTGGTGGGATCTTGGCTCACTGCAAGCTCCGCCTCCTGAGTTCACCTGCCATTCTCCTGCCTCGGCCTCCCGAGTAGCTGGGACTACAGGCGCCCACCACCACGCCTGGCTAATTTTTGTATTTTTAGTAGAGATGGGGTTTCACGGTGTTAGCCAGGGTGGTCTCGATCTCCTGACCTCGTGATCCGCCTGCCTCAGCCTCCCAAAGTGCTGGGATTACAGGCCTGAGCCACCGTGCCTGGCCGGATCTTTGTTTTGATGACACAATTTTGGCTATTTGTGATTTATTTCAAGCAGTGCCTGGCCTGTAACTCCATCTTGAATTGTAACACTGTTCCCATGGGAACTTTGATAGGGTTTCTAGCAGTACTTGAGAACAAAAAGGGAGTTCCCACATCCTGCCAATGTTGATCATAGCACACGTGCTGGTGTGTGTGAATAACGTAGAATGGAAGATGTTCCAGAACTAGGTGGTCAGCCTTCAAACTGCTAAAGCTTTGTTATAACTATTTTGGTAGCTGTCTTTCCAAGATGGTCATATGTATTGTAACAAGTGCTGTATTGGATCGGGCTAAGGTTTCCTTGGCAACTCAGGATCATTCTGCATGCTGTCACTGAGCTCTGCAGGGATTCTCTGGGGCCCCAGAGCCCCATGCTTCCCACTGGGGTCATTTTGCCCCTGCCTGAAATCACCCGTACTTTGGGAAGCTGGGTCCTCTCCTCTTTGGCTGCCACTTTGCAGGATGCTGCCTGCTTGCTAGCCATCCTCCCAATTTCTGCATTGTCTGATTTGCAGTCCATCTCAGCAGTTTGGAGCTCAGCTTCTTAACTCAGTGAATTAGCACTCGGTGTTGAGTTGTGGGTTGAGGGGGCTGGCAGTGCTGCCTTGGCTCACACACAGTCCAACCACCAGAGATCGAGTTGCTATCTCATCTTCAGTGTTTTCTCCGCCCCTCGCATCTTCCCCTGCTGGGACTGTGCTTTCTCTCCTAGATGGTGATCTTGCTGGAGAAGGAAGTATCCACTCGGGTGTTTGTTTCTGAACTTTTGAGTGATTCAGGGGAGAGGATACACTAAGGGATGAATTTTAAGGTTTTTTTTTTTTTGAGATGAAGTTTTGCTCTTGTTGTCCAGGCTGGAGTGCAGTGGTGCAATCTTGGCTCACTGCAGCCTTTACCTCCTGAGTTCAAGCGATTCTTCTGCCTCAGCCTTCTGAGTAGCTGAGATTACAGGTGTCCACCACTACACCTGGCTAATTTTTGTATTTTTAGTAGAGATGGGGTTTCACCATGTTGGCCAGGCTGGTCACGAACTCCTGACCTCAGGTGATCTCGCCTCGGCCTCCCAAAGTGCTGGGATTACAGGCATGAGCCACCGTGCCCGGCCTGAATTTTAAGTTTTTTAAAAAGGGATGTGAAGGGTTGTTGTAGGAGATAGAAACGTAGGCTCTCTGCTGACCTGATTGCCAGTTTAAAACTAGACCTACTCACAGAACTGAGGAATAGAGGAGGCAGCTTGTGATTTATTGCTAATGGCTAATGGAGGCAGTTAATGCTTTCTTTCCAGTTCAAATACTATTTCTTATTTAAAGACTACCAATAAGGTTAATAAAGGTTTTTATTTCCCTCTGAAATCACACATAAATGACATATTACTCCAGGTCATTTTTCCATCATAGGATTTGCATCATCTGACTGTGGGAAGGGCTCTCCTTGGTAAACACAGGTGGCTCCAGGCTCATAGCACCCCACAGGACCTTCTTAGGTTTTAGGATGAGAGCACTTGAATTTGATGTCCCAGAGTGTTAGAATGTTATCAGAGGGGATCATAGTATTGACTGGGGATATTCACCGTCTCTTCTACTCCTCAGCTCTGCTGGTAGGTCTAGTTTTAAACTTGCAGTCAGGCCAGCAGAGAGCCCGCATTCCTGTCTCCTACAGTGATCCTTCACAGCACCTTTTTAAAAACTTAAAATTCAATATTGCATTACAAATATTGCATTCGCTTTATAGACTCCCACGTGCCATCCATAAAAATCATTTAAAAAGGTGAATATGTGTAATGTTGCCTTGAATATAAATGACATTTTCAATCTGTAAAAATAAAATATCTGCATTTCCATACTCTCTGGACACCCTCTGGATCTGAAACTGGCCTTAGAGATAATCTCATTGGGTCTTCAAGAACATATGAGGAAAAAGATTTCCTTGGTCTCATCTGGTTGTTAAAAGAAGGAGATTGGAACTTGGGCTTCCTGAATCCCAGTCTAGTGTGCTTCCTAGCCACCTGAAAGGGATATAAAGATGTGATTCAGTTGGTTACTGAGCTGCCTGTTTTATCACCTACAATTGAATTTAATAGGATCATCCTGAGATGCCATACAAATTTCTTGATGTCATCAACAGGGACTTTGCCCTCATCATCCAGAGGGTAAAAGGACACCTTTATCAGGATTGAGGATTGTATGGGAGGAGCACTGCAAAGCATGTCCAGGATTAAGGCCACACAGCTCTCCTAGGAGACCCTCAGGATGGCTTTTCTCTGTGGCAGCTGCTCGTGTTTGATTTGCAGGCCGCTAATACAAATCCACTGTTTAGTGACGAGGGAGTACTTGCCTTACTAGTAAGTAACCCTCCTTGAGCCCGTGGTATGTTCTAGTTCTGGGCTGCGTGCTTCAATTGCACTGTGTCATCTGGCTCCTGAGCCTGGAGCTGGACTCCCATTTTACAGACAAGCAAACAGAGGTGGCAAGAGGGTCCCATAGCTAGTAAGGTGCCAAGACAGGACTGTGACCCAGGCATGTCAGACTTCAAAACACACGACTGCAAGCTGTGCTGGGAAATGATTGCTCTGGGGAGGACACTGTCCTCAGGCTCCTGTGGATGACTGACAGGAAGTCCAGGGCCACCTCCAGGCTCCCGGTTGCCACTTGTCTCTTTCTGGTACAGGTGAATCAGTGATGGCTTTGGGGACTCCCTCAACGCTTAGGTGTCCTCTTCTCTCATCCTGGGGAGAATCCAGTGTGTAAGTGCAGGAGTCTGCATGGCTTGCCTTCGTGGGTCATTGGGCACCATCCTGGGGGGCAGGTTCAGCTGAGGGCAGGTTCAGTCCCCCAAGGCTCAGCCACTTCATCCTTCACACTGAAAGATGCCTTGGCTGGGGGAGCTGGATGGTGTCATGTCCAGAGGCGCTCAGGGCTGTCTGACTTGCAGACAGAGGGTCTTCACCTCGCTGCCTGGGATGATAAGGCTTGTGTCTCAGGACTTTGAGGCTTGAGGGATCTAAGTCGTGAGAGCATCCCTATTTCTTCTGATAAGAGATTTGAGGATTTCTGAGAATCAGATGTAATTATGCCACATCATGGATGAATGTTTTAACACATATTCTGGAAGTTGCTAAGTGTTTCTTTCAAAGCAAGTAGCAATGGCTGATTCCCGAGTGTGCACTCTGGACCAGCCCTGGTCTACATGCTTTATGTGTAAAAGTTCAGTGTGTCCTTATGACAAGCCAGCCAGCTGTGAAGTCAAGGCGGGTGGATCACCTGAGGTCAGGAGTTAGAGACCAGCTTGGCAAACATGGTGAAACCCTGTTTCTACTAAAAATACAAAAAATTAGCTGGGTGTGGTGGCACACGCCTGTAATCCCAGCTACTTGGGAGGCTGAGGCAGGAGAATTGGTTGAACCCAGGAGGCAGAGGGTGCAGTGAACCCAGATCGCACCACTGCACTCCAGCCTGGGCGACAGAGTGAGATTCGGTCTCAAAACAAAGAAACAAAAAGGTGCCCTTACACAGTGTTCACCCATGAGAAGGGGACTCAGGTACAGAGCAGGGTCTGAGCCGTGGTGCCAGGCTCTGCTTTGAGCTTCCCCTCCCTGTGCTCTGCTGCTGGCCTTCCTGCATGGGCTCTATCCCGGCGCAGCTGCCTCTCTCTCAGGACCGCTGCTGTACCGCGGTTTCCTCGTCCTGCCGAGAGGGTGCTGCCTGCCCTGCCCAGCCCCAGGGCGAGGGTGTATGCGTGCAGAAGGGACTTGGGAACCAGGGCGGGCATGAGGCTGTTGGCATTTCTGTAACGGAGGCCTCCTGCATTACTGTGGATTTTAGTGGGGGAAGAATTGGCTTGTTTTACAAGTCAGCTTTCCTTGTTAATGAGCTTTCCTTGTTGCTCACAGCTTATTGTCCATGTAGTGAGTACAGTTGAGAAATCTGGCTGTTATTTATGACAGGGGTACCCAATCCCTGGGCCATGGACTGATACCAGTCTGTGCCCTGTTAGGAACTGGGTTGCACAGCAGGAGGTGAGTGGCGGGAGAGCGAGCAAAGCTATAGCTGTATTTACATCAGCTCCCATCACTCCCATTACCGCTTGATTTCCATCTTTTGTCTGATCAGATTCTCACAGGAGCACAAACCTTATTGTGAACTGCACATGCGGGGGATTTAGGTTTCACACTCCTTATGAGAATCTAACGCCTCATGATCTGTCACTGTCTTCCGTCACCCTCAGATGAGACTGTCTAGTTGCAGAAAAGCAAACTCATGGCTCCAACTGATTCTACATTATGGTGAGTTGTATAATTATTTAATTCTATATTACAATGTAATAATAATAGAAATAAAGTGCACAATAAATGTGATGCGCTTGAATCATCCCAAAACCATCTCCCCGCCAGGTCCATGGAAAAGTCATCTTCCATGAAACCAGTCCTTGGTGCCAAAAAGGTTGGAGACTGCTGATTTATGACATTATCAGTCAATTTATGGGCCCAGAGTGTCAGACCTGGGCCAGGATCTGCATGGGCCAGGTGTCACCAGGAAGTCACTCTCTGCCCTCAGGAAGCTGAGGGTCTTGTGGGATGAACAGCCAGGTCAGTCGGTAGCTGCTGAGCAGGGTGACCCATGGAGTGTGACAGACAGGCATGAGGTTGCTGCCCAAGACAGAGGAGGCCAGAGAGGGCTTTCTTGGGGTGCAGCCCATGCTTTGTTGGGTGAGAAGGCAAGAAACACATTTGTGTGCCCAAAGCAGGGCAGGGCTAAAGTTGGAAATGGAAATGAAGGAGCAGGTAGCCATGCAGCCTTGTGCTTTCCAGCAACAGGGTGGACACTTGGTCCCAAGAGGACGCAGCTGAAAGACCCTCTGGCAGGGAGAACGTGTGAGGACTCTGTGGTGGATTCTGAGTTGTGCCTCTCTGGCTTAATCTCATCTGATTCTAGCAGTAACTCCAAGAGGTAAGCACATTTGTGAGTCCTGTTTTCCAATGGAAAAGCTACATGAGGCCCACCAGGTCCCAGAACTCAACAATGGTGGGGCTGGGGTTCAAAGCCAAGATCTCTGACTGCAGGGGCTGTGCTCTCAGCCTGTCCCTGCTCCTACTCTGGGAGCTGGTCTGGAAGGGTTTGGGGACTGGCTGAGAAATGTGAACATCCCCAGGGGCTGAGGCGTGATGCTGGAAGAGGTGCATTTGGGGACAGTCATATCCAGCTGTAATGGACAGGGCCAGGAGAGGCTGCAAGGCTGCAGGTGGGCCACTGTGGCAGGAGTTGTTTGAGTGTCTGGGGATTAGAGGATTAGAGCCTCAACCAGGGGTGTGGCTGAGAGGAGGGCGTGGCAGGGGCTCAGAGAGGTGGGGGATCCCTGGGAGAACTGAGCCTGGCACTAGCTTGGATGTGAAGGCTGTGAGAGATGGAGAGGCAGAAGTAGGTGAGGGTGCTTGTGATCACAAGGCAATCGACTGTTCATTTAGAAGAGAAGCCGTTTGAGGCTTCCTGATGTATCCTTGTTACTAGGCATAAAGCATGAGCAATGCCAACAAGACTGGTTCTTTCGGAACAATAGTTAAATCCTGGGGGCAGGTGAGAGGTGGGGAATCCCCACCTTATAAGTCAGGCACGAGTATGCAGTGATGAGTTGAGTTTAGTTCAGGGTGCTACAGAGTTAGGAGTGTGTAGGAAGACAAGGTGGGGCTAAGTGTGGTATGCACGGGTTTCTCTCTCCCACCTACCAGCTGGGTGACTCCAGGAAGAGGGGCAGCCTCCTGAGCCTTCGTTTCCTTTCTGTCCAGTGGGAATGTGATGCTTCCTGATGGTCTGTTCTTCCCCTGTACACCCTCCCTGGAGCATGGTTGGGTGACGTGCATTACATATCGTAAGGCGATGTTTCCTGGGGAGGGGAACATGTCTTAGTCTAGCACCTACCTAAGTCTGTGGAAGTTAATAAAGAAAAAAAAGGTTTATTTGGGTCACAATTCTGCTGACTGGAAGACTGGGCAACTGGCAAGGGTCTCAGGCTACTTCTGCTTGTGGAAGGCGAAGGGGAGCTGGTGTGCAGAGATCATACAGTGAGAGAGGAAGCCGGGAGCAGGACATGCCAGGCTTTTTGTAACAACCAGCTCTCAGGGGAACTAGTAGAGCAAGAGCTCACTCACCACCACCCCCAGGGAGGGCATTAATCTATTCATAGGGGATGCAAATACCTCCCATCGGGCCCCGTCCAACATTGGGGATCACATTTTAATACAAGGTTTGGGGGACAAATATCCAAACTATAGCCTATCACCTATCACTCAGTGGTGCCTCCTGGGGAGGGGAGGGTTGGGGGCTGTGTATCTTATATGTCGCAGGTGTCTAAAGCGTAGATGGTGTCAGAAAGTACTTCCCCTCCTCCAGCCCCCTCCTTGGGATGTGTCCTCAGGATCTAGAGGGAGTTTATGGATGCTGATTTGGGAATTCTGCTGGCTGGCAGAGACAGGAGCTGAGGATGGACACCTGCTTGTTTTCCTTTACAAATGCTTTGGCTCTAACATTGACCTGGAAAGACGCCAGGACAGATACCATGGACCTTACTTTATGTGTGCCTAGGCTTGATCTCCTTAGAAAGTCTCACTGAAGACAAGTGGTGGTGGAGCATCTCAGCAGAGCTGTTAAAATTCCTAAAAGGCGCTGGTGTAAATACAGCTACTGCGAGAAGTTGCTCTGACACGTAAGCCCTCAGAGAGCCGGGCCTCTCTCATTTTTCCCCTCTTAGGGCTCCTCAACCTTTTTTAAATTTATTTATTTATTTTTAATTTTTTTTATTATACTTTAAGTTTTAGGGTACATGTGCACAACGTGCAGGCTTGTTACCTATGTATACATGTGCCATGTTGGTGTGCTGCACCCATTAACTTGTCATTTAACATTAGTCCCTACAAAGGACATGAACTCATCATTTTTTATGGCTGCATAGTATTCCATGGTGTATATGTGCCACATTTGCTTAATCCAGTCTATCATTGTTGGACATTTGGGTTGGTTCCAAGTCTTTGCTGTTGTGAATAGTGCCACAATAAACATACGTGTGCATGTGTCTTTATAGCTGCATGATTTATAATCCTTTGGGTATATACCCAATAATGGGATGGCTGGGTCAAATGGTATTTCTAGTTCTAGATCCCCGAGGAATCACCTTTTAACAATGAGAATAATGTTTAGCCCCTTGGCTGGGTCCTTTTCTCACCTTGGTATTGCAGGGTTAGAGATGATTACCAAAAAAACCACCTCTTGGTTTTTGGCTTGGTGGTAAGAGCCTCTTGGCTGATGCCTTTCAAGATAGCTGAAATTGTCACCTCTCCAAGGGATTTGCACCCTCTCTGACTGAGGGACTCCTTTGATTTGGAGGGAAAAGTCCCCCAAAGTCTGTATAGTGATAGCTGGGGCACTGATCCCGCCAAATAGGAGGCTGAAGTTGAGAATAATAGAGCCTTGTTGACCTTGGCAGCTTTTCCACAGTGGAATTGCAGGACCCAGCAAGGAGATCCCACAGAGTCTGAGAACTGAGCTCACCCCCGAGGCGGGAATAGGAACTCGCGGGCAGCTTTGGCACAAGCCCAGAACTATTTTTGGTGTGTGGTGTGTTGACTGTAGGGCTCTGCCATTTGTTTCTTCTCTAATGAAACAGGTGATTACCGTGTTGAAAGAAAGGAAATTGCAAGTGCAAGTTTAAGGGCCATCAAAGGGCGGACTGGAGTTCTCAATAGATTAACCAAGAGCAAATATTCTTTTTTTTTTTTTTTTTTTTTTTTTTGAGACGGAGTCTCGCTCTGTCGCCCAGGCTGGAGTGCAGTGGCGGGATCTCGGCTCACTGCAAGCTCCGCCTCCCGGGTTCACGCCATTCTCCTGCCTCAGCCTCCCAAGTAGCTGGGACTACAGGCGCCCGCCACTACGCCCGGCTAATTTTTTTGTATTTTTAGTAGAGACGGGGTTTCACCGTTTTAGCCGGGATGGTCTCGATCTCCTGACCTCGTGATCCGCCCGCCTCGGCCTCCCAAAGTGCTGGGATTACAGGCGTGAGCCACCGCGCCTGGCCGCAAATATTCTTAAGCTTGGAGACTTCACGATTCCACAGTGAGTAACTGGAATCGCCATCCTGTGTGCAGTCGGCAGCTCAGGATAAGAATGAAACTTCTTAATAATGGCTCTGCTTCCCTCCAAACAATGTGTTTTCCATGATCTCTCTGGTCTATTACCAACTATTTGTGGTTGGACCAAGTATGAATGAAAGAATGCACTTAGAGTTTGATAGATGGGCTAGGACTGGTTTCAGTTTTGTGATCTGGATATGTTTTTGCTTCTTGATGTCCTTCCCTTCCCCCTACATCCTCTCCAGGGCTTTAGTTTGTTTGTTACAATGAGATTCTACATGATTTTTGTATTTATAAATTTGCTTCTAAGGTGAACCCCACTGGCTGTGGGGGATGGAGGAGGCCTACTCTTCTCTTGTGTCTGTTAAATCCTTAAGGAATTATTTTTGGTCCAGGAAAACTCTGATGCCTCTCTCTTTTTTTTTTCTTTTACTTTTTTTAAAGAGTTGGGGCCTTGCTCTGTTGCCCAGGCTGAAGTGCAGTAACATGACTGATCATAACTCACTGCGGCCTCGGCCTCCTGGGCTCAAGTGATCCTCCCACCTCAGCCTCCCTGAGTAGCTAGGACTACAGCACAGGCTGCAACCCCTGGCTAATTTTTAAAAATTTTGTTAGAGATGGGGTCTTGCTGTGTTGCTCAGGCTGGTTCCAAACTCTTGGCCTCAAGCAGTTCTCCTGCCTCAGCTTCCTGAGTAGCTGGGACTACAGCTGTGAGCCACAGTATTTGGCCCTATTTAATTTTATTTTTCTGTAGACTCTTCGGCCAAGCCTGGCTGTTTCCCAGTTTACAGCTAGTATTTACTCTTCTACCCATTCAAACTTTCACCTTTTCTAGAACTCAGCCAGGCAGCAATGTGATGGTAAAGGTGTAAAAATTGGATCTTTGGGAGGGGGAAAAAAGAGCACTTACTTGTATCAACTGCCAGTTTCCAAGGTGTAAATACTCCCATCATGATCAATCAGGCTACCAATGTGATATCACCTGGCTTGCAGAACCTCTGCAATTTAATAGTCAGCCCTGGCAAGCTGGCAAAAACTGCCACTGGCACCCTATTGAGCCAGGAAGTGAGTTTCTAACTTCCCCTTTCTTCCTGTTTCTAATCAAGGCTGCAAGTTCCTTTAGGGTTTCAAAGGCACTTATGGATGATGGTCATGACACTACAACTGGACCATTGCAAATAAAAATGACAATGGGGAGGTCGTAATTGTTTTTCTTTTTAAAGCCTCTTCTTAGTCATCGTCTTCCTTGGAATATAAATGAGGAAGGCCAGTTTCCTTCACGGAATCATTTTCCATCTCTGTTGGCAGTGGGCCTGGACAGAATTCTGTGTTCTTACTCCCAGGGCTAGTTGTTCCTGGCTTCCCCCCTCCTTTAGTAAGGACAAATGAACTTAGGTCATCAACTTGCTGCCTAAGCCACATTAAATCATCACCCTCAAAAGCTGAGGGAAGACTGTGCTAATCCTGCAAAGAAGTCTTTACTAGGTGTATCAAGAAGGTTCAGAGTCATTTTGCAGGAAAGAGTAACTGCTGGTGCTACTGGCAGGGCCACTGTTTGCGTTTTCTCATTCCCTCCCTCATCCTTCCTGCTGCAAACAGGAGATGTTGGCGGATGCTGTCCATTGACAGGGTGGTTGGAGAAATGAGGATGGTGTGCTCAGAGACCCCACCACCCCTGCTAGAAGGAAAGTTAAGTTTGGATGGAAGGGGAATAGAGAGAAGTCTTAAGACAGGAGCTGTCAAACTATGACCAGCAGTAGTTGGGACCCAGCTACACTTGCTCACAGATGCCTTGTCTGTGGGGGACTGTGTGGCCAGCAAAACCCAGAACATTTTGACCCTTGACAGACATTGCCAACTCTGCCTTAGAGCACTGTGCTGCACTGACCACAGGAGTGAAAAGGCCACACTTGGAGCCCACATAGCAGGTCCCCCATGGCCTGGTGGTATGGACGAGTGGGGAGGCTTTCTGCTGCCCCCACTCTCCCCACTCAGATCCTTCTTTTTTTTAGTTACTTAAGAATCATCATTTAGCATGAGTGTGTTAAATGAGTTTATTTCAGCACATTTCAGTGCATCTGTGACTCACCCTAGACATTCAGTGCTCTACGTGTGCCCAGGCTGGATGCCTGTGCAAGAAGACCATGTTGTTTGTGACATGGGTGGTCACTAGTTTTATGTTTTAGTGTCTGACTTTAGCTCTGTCTTCCTTTCCTTTTTTTCCCGCTGCTATTGCATTATTCATTTTTCCTTTTCCCCCAGTTTGCTGCTCATTCTGTAGATACATACCTTGGTGAGCCTCACTGGAGAGCTGTGGCACCTTTCAGAGTGGAGACTGGTGGGGGCAGAGCTTAGGAATGGGTCAGGCACAAAGAAGTAGTGCAGACTTCTTAATATGGTTGGCTTTTTCCCTCAGTGCTCAGTGTTTCAAAGGAAAGATGCAGGCCAGGCACGGTGGCTTATGCCTGTCATCCCAGCACTTTGGGAGGCTGAGGCAGGTGGATCACGAGGTCAGGAGATCGAGACCATCCTGGCCAACATAGTGAAACCCCATTTCTACTAAAAATAAAAAAATTAGCCGAGTGTGGTGGTGTGTGCCTGTAGTCCCAGCTACTTGGGAGGCTGAGGCAGGAGAATCACTTGAACGTGGGAGGCGGAGGTTGTGGTGAGCTGAGATTGTGCCACTGTACTCCAGCCTGGTGACAGAAAAAAAAAAAAAAAGAAAGAAAGATGCCCTTCACCTCTATGTCAAGCTCATTGGTAGTGTTACAGCTCTCTCTGCTCAATGTCAGCCATGCTGAGTCATGGAAGAGTCAGTAAGAAAAGATTATTCAGAAAAAATTTACAGAAAATATTTTGAGACATTCCAGTGAGGGAGTGAAGGGGAGAAGTCCTGAGCAGAAGGAATCGAGGGAGCAGAAAATAAAGACCTGAAGTTCTTTTTCAAAGCAATTTGGAATGTCTTCTTCCTTTTTCCACATCTTATTGGTGATTGCCATAGGTTCTGGCATCTAGCTTCAGTTTTCAACTATATAGGTTAAAACTGTAAGTACAAAACTATACTTAAGTATAAAACTATAATCCCCCATATATGATTTTAACAAGATTTTTAAGCTATACATTATACTTAGGGCTTACTACTTTAAAACATGCCATTACTGTGTTTATGCATGCAACATGATGCATCCATAAATCTACCTTCTTGTAAAAGGGCCATCCCCTTTGCCTCCAGCAAGCTAAGTAGCTTGAGCAATGCTAAAAGAACAATACACACCACTCATCGGTGTCCCGTGGGAATACCATGGAGGTCAGGCCAGTGGGAACCCAGAAGTTAAATTAATAGCAGAACTGCTTCAGGAGTAGTTCTAGTAAGTGTTCTTTATGATATGGTTCCTGGCATATGGGATTTCATTTTTCCATTTTTTCCAGAACCAGGATAGCCATATTTTTAAAAAGGATGATGGCGGAGAAAAGTGGCATTTTTAGACCAAAATGTAGCTACCAATTTATGTAGCTGCTTGACAAATCATAGGTACAGGAGATGCGGTAGAACCAATTAGAACAAGACTTCTCAGCACTTGCAGGTGGAACATGAATTGAATTATTAGCTCTCTCTGATGCCTGGACCATATTTGATATAAAAGTATTGGGGAGACTTGAAGGTTTATATCCTGGCAAGGGGTGATGATTGGTAGAAATAACCCCCAGGCTAGGAGAGCTGGTGTCTTATTCATTATTTCCTGTTTTACATTGTATTTCCCCAGTCATCCCCCATTGGTATTGTTTAGTGTCTGAATTCTTTTATTTAATTCATTTATTTATTTAGTTGTTTATTTTTGAGACAGTGTTGCTCTGTCACCCAGGCTGGAGTGCAGCGGCACGATCTCGGCTCACTGCAACCTCAGCTTCCTGGGTTCAAGCGATTCTCCTACTTCAGCCTCCCGAGTAGCTGGGACTACAGACACCTGTCACCACGCCTGGCTAATTTTTTGTATTTTTAGTAGAGGTGGGATTGCGCCATGTTAGCCAGGATGGTCTTGATCTCCTGACCTTGTGATCCACCCACCTCAGCCTCCCAAAGTGCTGGGATTACAGGCGTGAGCCACTGCACCCAGCCTAGTGTCTGAATTCTCTCCACTTGACCGTAAGCTTCATCAGGTAAGGAGCTATAGTTGTGTTTATTGTTGTATCTTTCACATGTAGAGAAACATTTATTAAATGTTGAACATAGTGATACAAGGTGATCTCTCTAAATGTGGCATGGGAGGGAAGCCTGTTCTGTGCAAAGTCTCTGTGGGACTTTCATTTACTAAAATGAAATCATCCTACACACCCAATTAAGACAGGGCTTTTATGATGCGTTGAGTGCCTCCTTGTTAGGCTTAAATTGTGTGCTTTCAGGAAGCCAAAACAGCAATGAAGACTGTGATTTGCAAACATTGCATCATTGGGTTACAAATTCAGAGCTTTTCTGGAGAGATCAAAACTATACATTTTCACCACCTGATGGGGTCTGACTGTTGGGAAATGACATTCCTGTTCTTGCATTATTTCTGGTCATTTGGTGAGTGATCTCAGAGTGCAGGGCTGTCTTTGTTCAGAACCCAGCTATCAGGAGTGAGATGAATGGAAAAATATGATGACTTCAAGAGCCTTGCTAATGCTAGCTAGATTCCTGTGCTTGCGAGATGGGCTCTTGGCAGGAGGGAGAGGGCAAGATGGGCTCTCAGCAGGAGGGAGAGGGCTTCCCTGTTCAGAGGGGGACCTTCTGCAACATCTTCTTACACTTGACCTTAGTCTCTTCCTACTTCTAATCTTCGGACTGTAATGTTGCCCAGACTGACTGATCTGGCCGTAGGTGGTAAGAATCTTACAAATCGATGCCATGGACTGGCAGCTGCTCAAACTGAAAACCTTTCAGTCAGGAGTTCCCTTCTCTTGGGTCTGTTGTGATGCCTTCTGGCACTGGCTTCTGAGAGGCCATCAGCACTGTTGGCCCTTCTCATTGCCTTCTTCACAGTAGGAATTAAGCCTGAACAGTAGATCTCTGTCTTCCTGGTGGGCAACTGTGTTTTTTAAGACCTCAGTGAGAGTTGTCTTTGGAAACAAATGAATGGAACGCTGCATGCTGGCCTGTTCTCTGCTGTATCTTCAGGACTCCTGAGCCAAACCTGATTTCATCATCTTCTCGAGGGCTCAGTACACATTGAGCTGTCACCTGTGGTGTGTGGCCTGGAAGAAAGGCAGCTCATGAGTTTGCCTAACAGGACTCTCCCTTGGTCACTGAGGGCTGAGAAGTGGCACTAGGAACCACCACTGAGGCAGCCTTTGGAGGAGCCAGAATTCTTTGGAGCAGGATTGCTGGTAGATTTGTTAGTTGTAAGGCCCACATCTCGTCATATGTACTATTTAATAATACTGAGTTGTGACTTTATTTGTGGTTAGAAAACCAGCTATGGGACAAACAGTGCTGGTTTGTCTCTAAGCATTTAAAATCATTTGGAAAGTGTTTGTACTTGCTGAGAGGCGGGTATATTATTTTTGCCAAGTTCATAGTACCATCCATTGGTGGTATGAAATTAATTTCTGAGCCCACCAAGTTTCAGGAAGGGTCCCTTGCTCCATACTATGATGGTGATGATGTGGCTGATGATGCTGTGCTGGTGAAGAACACAGCTCAGCTCCCTGTGGTGGAGGAGGGTGTTGAATTGTCGGGGAGGAAGCTGGAGGGAGCTTCTTATCTCTGCTCTGTGCTCTCTTGGTCATGGGTCCATTTTCATTTCTGTAGCTTCTAAGGGGTCCAGGCTAAAGGCATAAAGTTGCTTTATGCTGAACAAACTGACCGAGCTTAGCAAGTAGGATAGCTCTCCATAAGTTTAATAGGGTTGGGCAATGTATTTGAACATAGCATGTGTTTAATTGTTTTCATTGTTTGGCTATATCTCTCTCTCTATATATATCTATATATATAACCAAAATACATATGTATAAAACAACCATACACACACACACACACACATGACCCCCCAAAATCAAATAGGCTGATAGATTACTCAGAAAAAGATAAGTCACATAGGAAGTGGGCTATATAAAACCAGAACTTCCATGAACACAGATGCTCCCTCCCACTGGCACCTGGCATGCATGGCAGGTGCTTTATATTGAAGTGCAGAAGTATATGAGTTTTAAATCTTTAAGAGACTTTAATGTTTTACTTGATAACAAAAGAAACATCACATCCTATTTTCCTGAATAGTCCTTTATCTTCATATGGCTCATAACTGTTATAGTTTTGATAATCATGGCATTTTGGCCAAAACACTTTGCCAGAAACTATAATCTCTACAAGTTTCCTTAGGCTATGAAGGTGTTTTAGAGGATTATAATTTTACATACCCCTAATACCATCGTCGGCTCTTGTTTCCTTATCTGCAGATGAACGAGATGTTTTCTTTCTCTCTCTTTTTTCTCTTCTCTTCTCTTCTTTTCTTTTCTCTTCTCTTCTCTTCTCTTCTCTTCTCTTCTCTTCTCTTCTCTTCTCTTCTCTTCTCTTCTCTTCTCTCCTCTCTCTCTCTCCTCTCTCTCTCTCTTTCCTTTCTTTCTTTCTTTTTTGACCACATCTTGTTCTGTTGCCCAGGCTGGAGTGCAGTGGCACAATCTCGGCTCACTGCAACCTCCGCCTCCCGGGTTCAAGTGATTCTCCTGCCTCAGCCTCCTGAGTAGCTGGGACTGCAGGCGCACACCACCATGCCTGGCTAATTTTTGTATTTTTAGTAGAGATGGGGTTTCACTATGTTGGCCAGGATGGTCTCGATCTCCTGACCTCAACCTCGTGATCCACCCGCCTCGGCCACCCAAAGCGCTGGGATTACAGGTGCGAGCCACTGTGCCTGGTCAAACAGAATATTTCCTAAGGGTTCATCCTGCTCCACAGTCTGAGGTTGTTATTTGTTAATTAAATAAATATTTGTTGGGCATTGACCATGTGCCAGGCACTGGGGCTCAAGGGGTGCGGATGACCCATCTGTTTCTCTCAGGAAGCTGACATCCAGGTGCACAGGGCATAGTTTACCTGTGAACAGAGAGGGCGCTTTTCTCCCCTCAGTAAGCTACCTTGCGTCACCTTCCTCTGTTCAAAGAGGACTGATAAATCACCTCACTAAGCAGCTGTTGCCTGCAGGTAGCCCACACCGGGCTGGGTGCTGAGGCACAGAGGCACACAGGGCGCTCCCCACAGGAACCAAGCCCGGGAGGCACACCTGCATGCCAGGTGCTGGGGGCTGGGGGAGTCTGTGTCCTGGTTTGGTTCATGGGCATCCTGGTTTTATGTAGCTCACTTGCTGTGTGACTTATCTCTTCCTCAGTAATCTGCAGCACCTAGATCATTCAGGTTTTGTTTTGTTTTATATATATGTACATTTTTTGGTTTATTTATGTATATAAAGTACATACATCACCAAATATAACCATATTATGGCTGTATTTGCTTACATGTATTTGGTTGTTTTGGTTATATATGTAGAGTTGAATGTCCTTTTATTTCCTTGTCATATCTATTTCTTATCTATAGCCTGTTAAGAATTCAAAGTTTTTGTCATCTCTATACAAAATGATGGCTATTTGTTGTTAGTGACTATGAATATTCGGAGAAAATTATCTGCATATTGACTTGAAATACTCTTCCTAACAAAAATGCTTCCCCTCCTGCTCCACGCTTGCCCCCCTACCCCGACCCCTCACTGCTGCTGGGCTCGCGGGTATGGTCAGCGCTGTGGCTTCGCCCGCGGCGGGCCAGGGAAGTGCATTAGAACACGGAGCACAGGGAGCTATTTCCTTCTCGCCGCCCCTGGTCTGTGCAGAGCTGCCTCTGAGACATTTCCTGTGCGGGAATGAATCCAGGGCTCCAGGGCTGTTTAGTCTGGGCCTTTGGGAGTTCGGTGCAGCTAATGCCTTCCAGAGGCCCAGCCCCTGCGCCTGGCGCTGCCCTCCTGGTGCCCACGCTGGCTGGCTCCCTGCCGTGCATCCCGGCCACGCTCACTTGCAGCGGGGAGTGGCTGCCTGCCCCAAGCTGGCCTGTCATCCAGGAATGAAGATGTTCTATTTGTGTTTTATATGGATTCACTTTGAAACTCCCATTCTGTGTTCCCATAAAGGGCATGCATGTGCCGAGCCCAGCCTTGACTCCCTCCTTTCGCTGTGGTGAGCTTGTTTATTTTCAGCGTGATTCTCAGCTGAGTCGCCCGTTTCCCAATAAAAGGCAGGGCCCAGCACTGTGGGCTCCATGAGGGCCTGTTTGGTTGCTTGGTTTGGAGCACGAGGGAAAACTTGATATGCACGTCATTTCCCAGTTCCAGGCAATGACCTGGGGCAGAGCGGGTGGGGAGCAGGTCTCCCGGAGCCATCTGGAATATGCCGATGAGTGAGCTGTGCATTAGCTCTCAGACCAGGGTCCTCTGGCAGCCAGGCCTCTGAGCACAGCGTCTGAAGTATCAGCCGCCACAGGGATCTGTGGGCAACAGCTGCGTGTGGCCTGTGCTGTTTCTCTCCTGACAAGGACCTTGCAAACAGCGTGGAAATGCGCGAGCCAGCGGTCAAACCCCTCTTCACCATGCACGGAGCTCAGCCGTCCTCTCCCTGCTCCTGGAGGTCTTCCTTTTTCTGTGACTGTAACCTAAAAACATTAAAATACGTTTATTGAGATAGCAAACTTTTATCCTCTTGGTGTTTGCAGTGAAAATAGTCCTTAATGGTGTAATTTTCCTTTCTTACCTCCCTCCGCTTGTCCCGTCCTAGCTCTTGTTATTCCAAACAGTGTGGATTATTGGGCTGCACCTGGCCACCCAGGCTGGTGTTTTGAATCAGCAGCATCACCTCTCCGGAGCCCATAGCAGGAAGCAATTGTTTGGGATCTGATACTGCTGGGCTCTCATTTTCCTTGTCTTAGAAATGGGGACACATGTCTGCCCATGTTGAGCTCTGGCAGGGATGCTGGACTTTTTGTCCTAGCTAAGAAACCAAACTGCATGTGGGTTACGGAAGTGGTCTAAGTTTCCCAGTGCCAGCACGAAGCCTCGACTGGTGAGTATTGTAGAAGAGCACTGCCTTAGCTGAGTCCAGTATTTCTCTTCCAAAATAAACGTGCATGTTCAAAGCAATTGCTTGTCTGTGGGTATAACTGTTGTGTGACTGGTAGCTGTGGGAACACACTGAGTGTCATGTATGACCTTGCGCTTGTCTTCACGCAGATGTCAGTAAGACTTCCAAAGTCTGTGTTGGTCATCCCTGGGTGGTGGGATTTAAGGGAAAATTTTACTTTCTTCTTCATGTTTTCTGATCTATTTAAGTTTCAATAAATGAACATCTTTTTTTAACTCAAATTTTAAAAATTTGTAACTTCTAGGGCTTTGGAATCTTTTTTTCTTCATGGAAATCGAACACAGACTGAGTCATGGTTCTTAGAATTCTGTAATTATCAAGTTGAAAAGAACCTTAAGAATTGTCTGGCTCAGAACCTGGGATTGAGATGAGAGGCTCCTGAGCCTGCACTTGCGTTTTCTCCTCAGACTCTCCTTCCTGTGCTCTGCCCGTTATCAACCGAGCCGTCCCTGCCTGGGTTGTCTATCGTGTGACTGTTTCAGATAAAGGCGGGTTATCTTGGTTTGGAAGAATTCGGATAAATGACATAGTTCTTCATTGCCTCTCCAGTTGACTCTGCCTTACCCACAGGCAGATTTAAGGCTGGGGTTGGCACACTGCCTGCAGGCTATGTATTGTCTGTGGCTGCCTAACAACAGAGCTCTAACAGCAGAGCTGGTGGCTGCGGGGAAGGCCACACAGACCCCGCAGCCTGCAGTGGTTACCGTCTGGCCCTTTCATGGACCCCTGCTGAGACTCATTAGACAGTGGGATGTGAGCAGGAGACCCACGGCAAAGACAGTGAATGTAAGATGGGAAATCCGCTGTCTGGAGGGGCAGTGTCTAGGGGGACCAGGGACTGTGGTAGCCTGCCTGTGGTGTGTGCTGTGAGCTCAGTGTCGGCCCCTGACCAAAGGCATGCGATGGGGCTGGAACACTGCCGTCGTCCTTGGAATTGGATGTTCAGACTCAGCTCTTTTGCTGTTGCTTCATCTGGAATGTTCTCATTAGGAATGTGAAATCCGGTGTGGGCCAATTCTTATGCCCTTTAAAGCAGATGTCGGGTTCAGGCTGTGGGCACTGAGTCCTGAGACTGGCATTGGTGGCGGAAAGCACTGGGCTCAGTCCTTGATTCAGAGAACACACAGCAGTGCGGTTTGGTGGCTGCTCCCACAGTGTCCCCATAGCCTTCCTTGCCTGTGCAGTGGCCCCAGTGGCTTCAGGACAGCAGGGCTGTGCCATAGGGCAGAGCCTCCCAACCAGAGGCTCCAGGATGTTGTGGAGTTCATGAAGGTAGCCATGGATGTCCCTGGCCATTTTACTGTTTCGAAGAGTAAGGTGGACATCACAGTTTTATCTATGACTGGGAAACACAGGCAGAGAGAAGGACTAAGTTGCTTTGTTTTGGCAAGAGGGGAGAGGAACAGACATGTGGGGATGCTTCCTGTGTACCAGACTGGGTGCTGGGTTTTTGACTTCCTTTCATTTTTTTTCTATACCATACCTCATGCAGTTGGCAGCCAATACTCCACAGCTGGGGCGTGGGTGGGACCAGAGTGGTGCCCTGATCAGAGTAGGCACCAGGCCACACTCACTTGGCTGCTGCCAGGCCCAGCCAGGGCAACGGGCAGTCCTGGAATCAAAGCCTGTGGTCTTTCTACAACAACCCATGGTGTCTGGAATTCCCTCCATTGTGGCTATGGTGTTCGTATCTAGGTGGCTGAAGCCTTGCTATGTTTGATAAGGAACAGGAAGATAAATGGTTAATAAATGTAATATATTTGGAAGATGATATTTTCAGGATAGGGCACATGCACTGAGGTGGGAGATTTTAACCCAGCGTCTTTGGAGGAAAAGTTGGAAATGATGCCTTGTGTGGCTCACTCGCTGGAGCCCTGCTGGCAGACCCATGAGGGCAGGGGCTTAGCGTGCAAGCTTCAGGGATAGGATAGCAGGAGCACAGGCAGTTTCTTTCTGCCCCTCTGTCAACATATTTCAGATTCTCTTTTAGGCTTGTCTAGCACTGATGTCATCTAATGGGGAGAGTCCTTGCATTTGCCTTAAATAGGGTATATTTAAAGAGTGATTTATACCTTTTTCCAAAACAATATATTGCCCAACTGTCTTTTGGCTTCCTTGAGTAGCCTTTATTTGAGTCGCACAGCAAAATCCCATATTTAAATGATTTTGAGATGCTGCTAAGAAGTGCATTCATGCCTACTAGTAGTCCTGGTCATTATCAGTCCCACTAAACCGGGACCTAGTCCTGGTCCAGACTAGAAATTGGAGTCCATCATTTCAGAGTCAGTGGTGACGTCAGTTTGGTGCCATGGCCTGTGGTGCTTCCTGTTTTCCTTGCCTGGCACTTGTACTTCATCCTTTCCCCTATTGGCACGCTAATCTTTGCATGGTTTTATCTTGATGAGATGTCTGAGGGGTTTGTATTTCATCCTGCAGCACAGAAACAAAGGTTAGCTCATTGAAAAGCAAACGCTGGTGAATTCAGGCACACTTGGAAATAAATGCAAACTTTTTGGCAGTCGTCTGTGTAACCAGGAAGCTTCACGAGTTGGCAGGTGGTTTCACATCTGTTTGTTCCTTTACTCAACAAGTATTAACTGAGAGCAAACAAGGATGAGCTCATGGCTCCCCTGAATGAGACCAGCACTGTGGCTGCTCAGGTGCAGGAGCTGCAAATCTGAAATCTTAGGTTATTGCTTTGGCTGAAAAGTGCAATCTCAGTGGAAACCTTATTTTTAAGGATCTCCAGAATCAGTAATAGGACACATTTTGGGTTACCTCAACTAAGGGACTTTTCTAGGTAGAGTGTACATAAAAATGAAGTAAGTAACTTTGAACAGTGTAATTGTAATCTATTGGCTTCAAAGAGAGTCTAGAGTAAGGAGTAATTCATCTTTTAACAGCTGTAAGCTGCCATGCCAGTAATAGTTTTTTAAACATGTCTTTTAGTTTTGCATCTTAATTATTTATTGGGTATGCACTAATTAATTTTTTTCCAGGGAGTTCTTTGAATATTTTATAGTAATACTTTATTTTTCTGGATCACTTGTGCTGAAGCAGATCAGAGAGCAAGCAGAAAAGATCCACGTGGTCTAATTGATATTCTGCATGTTATATCCTTGAGACTCTGTCTTCACTGGGGGCCTAGCTCCTTTGGGTTTTGGTCAGCACACTGGAAAGCCTCATTCTGTCCACCTGCATTTCCTGGGTGTCTGCCCTTTACTTGGCCCAGTGCTAAATCTTGAAAATTCAAAGGGTAATAACCAACATACAACCAGTGGGGGAAAAGCAGACTTGTGCAATGATTATTTTGTGATTCTTGAGTCAAGTAGCAATTGTAGAGTTTAATAAAATAGAAAAGGGTACAGAGGAGGAAGCCAATTAATTGAAAGGTTATTTCATTGAGGGCTGGAAGGAGGTGTTTTGAGAGAAGACAGCTGAGCAGCAGTGAGATACTCTGAGAGAACACCATGTGCAATGGAATGCTGTGTTTTTAGGAGCCCAATAGTTGCTCACAATTTCTTGATCAAAAGGCATAGGGGCCAGCCATGATGGCTCATGCCTCTAATCCTAACACTTTGTGGGGCCAAGGTGGGAGGATCACTTCAGTCCAGGGGTTCAAGATCAGCCTTGGCAACATAATGAGACCCTATCCCTACAAAAAATTAAAATAAAAAATTAGCCAGGTGTGGTGGCACATGCCTGTAGTCCCAGCAACCCAGAAGGCTGAGGCAGGAGAATCGCTTGAACCTGGGAGTTTCAGATTTCAGTGAGCTATGATGGTGTCACCGCACTCTAGCCTGGGTCACAGAGCCAGACCCTGTCTCTAAAAAAGAAGGCATAGGGGCATGGAAACAGGAATGGAGGCTGTTCCGCTGGCAGAAGTTAGGCTCAGCCGTGAACTTTATCTTATGTGACACGGCATTGTTGAACAGTTTTCAGCCCATGATGTGTATTTAGGGGAGAAAGATCACTAGCTGAAGGATAGGGATGCATTTGTCAGGGTGAGACTGGTGGAAAGGAGATTGATCACTTGGGAGATTTGGCATTTTAGGTGAGGTATGATGGCCTCAAGAGAGCCCTGCACTGGGGTGAGCAGGCTTTTCCCCAGCTTTGTCAGCCACCTGCTGTGTGACCTGGTGGAAGTTACATTTAAATGTTCCAGAGTCTGAGACAATAAGCTCTGTTTACTGGGAAAGTCACTCGTGTGGTGCTGAGATTAGCCATCTGCCTTTATCTTTTCTTTACAGACACACTCAGCCCAGAGTCAGAATAAGGGGGACTGTGTTTTCAGATGCAAAACCAGGGACGATGATAGCTCCTGTGCAGGATTGTGAAGCAGGAAGATTAAATGCCAGGCCTGGGGCTGGTGCAGAGAAGGAGCCCAATGCATGGTGATTTTCTTTTATATCTACTAAGAAAGATACTTAGGGTGGTACAAGGGACTGCAACTAACCAGGCTCTGCCATTGTAGCATGAATAAGTTGGACATGAAATAGTCTGGGGCAGAGATTTTTTAGACTTGGGGCCTGTGATCTGCCAGAGGGTTCATGCATGGACTTGGCAGCTCCGTGACTCCTTGGAACTGTGTGTGAAGCCACTATTTAACTTCTCTGGGGAGTGTGACTGTCACCTGCTCTGGGGGGGGGCACCATTCCTACAAAGTTAGTATCAGTGGTCCAGAGAAAGAACAAGGCCACAGGGTGTTGAGGTGAGGGTGAGGGTGAGGGGAGAGATGATAGTGTCTAGACCACACAGAGATCCTGCTTGTGTAGTAATCTAAAAACTCTGAATAACTTAGGACAGGTAGACTTCCCAGGAAAATGCTAAGAACCCCCTTCAACTTGATCCTCTAGTAGATTTCAGATGTAAGAAATATTAAAGCCTATTAGACAAGGCAATTTGTTTGATTTATTCTGGCCAACTGCCAGATGGCTTGTAGGTCAAGAACAAGTAAAGTTGTTTGTTTAATTCACCTTTCTCCTTTGAGGTAGGATTTCTCCATTAAACTGGAAGTTTCTAGCAGGAGTCTCATTTGATTTGCCAACATGTTTCCCAAATCATCTAACATAATCAGAAAATTAGACCTAAACAAAGGGCCTAAATCTTTTCTCCCAATTGTTCAAGTATGTTTCTTTGCTAAGGTATAAGCAAACAAACAAGTCTACCCTAAAACTAAAAATATTTTCTCTTTCTATATCCATATCAATCTGTGCTGCTATACAACAAACCTACCCTTTCTTAGGGTAAGGAAAAAATATGAGGCACCAATGTACCAAACAAAATATTTTCATATGTATTTCATACATTGCAGAGTCATATTCTATAAATTTCAGGAACTTAGTTGTCAACGTTTTTATCTGCCTCTTTGCTTTAATTTTTAGAGCTCTTTTATGAATGTTCTCTATTGCAATTCATTGAGCCCCCGTGAATAATACTGCTTCTGCTAGAAATGATATATACTCAGTGTGGTGGAGGAATATTGGTGGTATGCTTTAGTTTCCTTTTTTTTATTGTTTTGTGAGCTCTAGATGGTCTCCTGTAGCAGGTCCTCCAGAGATATTATACTTGGATAGTTTATATTCTCTAACTGTATTTGTCAGAGATTATTCCCAACATTGCTATGTTTTATTTATGTCAACTCTTTAACCCAAAGCCTTTGGACTCAAATACGTTATTTTTCAGAACCAAAAGAGTCTGTGGTGAGACAGCAAGGCAGGGCAGTTGGCTTATTTATGGATCATGCTCCTCTTCCTGTCCTCCCAGGAATTCACTTTGTCAAAGTTCTTGTGTCGTTCACATAGATCTAATTAACATTTTTAATTGGTGTGTCGTGTAGTTCTGGAAACTGCTTATTAGATTTCGTAGGTGTCTCTGGCAGCACAAAATGTTTAATGAGCAAAATAATTGTGTTACAGTGAAATGAATATGGACATATTCACTGAATTAATAAATGAATTAAATGATGACTTCATGGAAACCTCCTGAGAAAGTAGTTATGGACCATCTTCCCTGTGTAAGATATTCAAATTAACTTTTCGTGTTTGTGTGAAGGTTTTGGGGGAAATACTTTTTTTCTTATAAAGTATAATAATGTGTGTGTGTGTGTGTGTGTGTGTGTGTGTGTATTTTTAAACCAGAATGAGAGTCTGTAAGTAAACTGAGATTCACATTCTTTAATTGAGCCTCAGAAGAGTCTGTGAAATGTCATGGCAGCTGGAAGGAAACGAGTAGGATGTACAATGTCCCTGACCAGAGAAATACGTATCTTGCAGCTGCGTGGAAATTGAGATAATCAAAATTAGGTTCTACTTCCTGTTCTGACATGTGATCCTTTTTATCCTCTGATTCTGGAGGTGATGGCCAAGAAGTAAGAGGATATATAAAGAAAGGTAGTCTGTAGATTTTCAGAGCTGCTGACAGTGAGTCCAGACTCTTCCTGTATTAGATGAAAAAGCAGAACGTGAGAGGACATGACTTGCCCAGAGTGGTGGCTCGGAGCTGGGGGGTATCCCTGAGATCTCTTAACTGCTGCCCAGCCCAGTGTCCTTGTCTTTGTGTGTTTTCTGTTGCTATAATATAATACCAAAGAGTGGGTAACTTATAAAGAAAACAGGTTTCATGAGCTCACAGTTCTGGAGACTGGGAAGTCCAAGAACATGGTACTGGCATCTGATGATATCCTTCCTGCTGTGTTGTAATATGGTGGAGGGTATCACATGGTGAGAGGGCAAGAATGTGCTAGCTAAGGTCTCTCTTCCTGTTCTTCTAAAGCCACAAGTCCCATCATGGGGGCCCTACCCTGATGGCTTTATCTAATCCTAATTACCTCCAAAGACCCTGCCTCAAGATGCCATCAACATATGAATTTGGAGATTGTGTTTTCAACACATAAGATCTGGGGGACACATTCAAACCATAGCCCTCTTGGCTAAACCACGCTGTCTCTTACCCCTCAAAGTGCTCCTTATCGCAGGAAAATACAGGGGTCAAAAAAGTCACTGACGAAAGAACTAGGGCTATTAAACAAGACAGAGGCTGGATCATTTGGACCCAAAGGTGTTCTTAAAAAGACTCTTTGGGTTGCAAGAATCAGACCCATTCAAATTACCTCAAGTGGTGGGATCTTATTGTAAGGTTTGCTCTCTGTGGGGACCCAGGCACAGCTGAACAAATGGGCCTCCATGGGGTTAGGAACCACAGGAGAAGTTTTTTTTTTTTTCTCTAGTCTGCCAGTCACACAGCTGGGCCCTGTTCTCTGTCTACTTCCCTCTCTACCTGTGCTGCCACTGAACCACTGCCCTCCACTGGTATTCCCCACTAGTCAGGGCTTCGGCCTCCTTCCTTTGCCCACAATCTCTGCTTCTCTCTGAGTCCGCTGCCTTTCCTGATTTGGCAGATGGTATTGATGACTTTTTCTCTGTTTCCTGATTCCATTTCCCAAAAGGGACCATCTCATTGGCTCAGGGAATTACTTCACAGCAGGTACACAGAGGCCATTAGCTAGCCAATGAACTGGCTCCTCAGGGGTCAGGTGACTTCCCCTGGCCCAGTGATATGGTTTGGCTCTGTATCCCCACCCAAATCTCATCTTGAATTGTACTCTCATAATTCCCACGTGTTGTGGGAGGGACCCAGTGGGAGATAATTGAATCATGGGGGTGGTTTCTCCCATACTGTTCTTGTGGTAGTAAATAAGTCTCACGAGATCTGATGATTTTATAAGGAGAAACCCTTTTTGCTTGGCTCTCTTTGTCTGATGTCCTCCATGTAAGATGTGACTTGCTCCTCCTTTCCTTCCACCACCATTGTGAGGCTTCCCCAGCCATGTGGAACTGTAAGTCCATTAAACCTCTTTATTTTGTAAATTGCCCAGTCTCTGGTATGTCTATCAGCAGTGTGGAAACAGACTAATATACTCAGTCAGCTAAGAGTGTGGTCACAGGGGCTTCAGGGGCTGAGTCCAGGGCAAGCTTACTTGGAAGGGACCACCCCATGCAGAGAGCTCTGCAGTGGGATTTATCAGCAGATTTCTCCATGCAATATGTTTACCCTGATGCAAGCTTCCTCAGATTGATAACATTCCAATCCTACTTACCAATTTTCCCCTTCTTGACAAAGTCCTTTGATGGCCAGCCCGCTGTGCACACACAGTACTCACAGACCCTCCGTCAGCATGAGCATGTGGAGGTGGTGAGGAGAAGTGATGGCTCAGGAAGGTCCTTCCAGCTCGTCTGTGTTTGGTGTTGGACTTCTGTGTCAGAGTTTTTCAAATAAACCTGTTATTTGGGAATGATCTTAGGTTTATGGAAAAGTTGAGAAAACAGAACAGAGGATTCCTGTATACCCCTTGCCCAGTCTCCACTAATGTTGATATCTTATGCTACCATGGTACATTTGTCAAAACTAAGCAATTAACATGGGTACATTACTGTTCACTAAATTACAGGTTTTACCAGGGTTTCAGCAGTCTTGCCACTCACGTCTTTTTTCTGTTCCAGGATCCAGTCTAGAATGGCATGTTGCATCTGGCGCTGTAAGGGTTTGTGTGAAGAAAGGATTCCACTGGTGTAACACACACACACACGCACACTAACAAACACAGCAGAAAAGTACCCAAAAGTTTCTTTATCCTCTGGTCCATGCCACACTCCTACTTTCACCAGATTCCTCTTTATTAAAAGTTATGTTTTTACCTTCCCCTCCAGCATAAGGACCTGCAGTAGATGCCTGTTGCCGAACACACCAAATCCAAATTTCCCTCCCGGCCACAGGGGGTTCCTATTCTCTGAGTCTACTCTCCTGCCTCCTCTTTCTTCTCCAGCCATGGTAGTGGATGCTAGGTTCCATCTGTCTCCCTGCCTTTTTCTTGACATCTCTGAGCATACTTCATCCATGCCACATTCTAAGACCATTTTTCCATGACCTACACCTTTTTTTTCCATCCTGGCAGGAATTAGGTTTATGTGTTAGTATATTCTCTGGTTTTCCTTTTAGGCTTTACTGTAGTTATATTGCCATGGCTGTAAGGGCCTTGAATGAGCAACCAAAGGCCAGTTTGGTGATGTTTGCTCATTGCTCAGGGGAGGAGGAGCCTGATTTTGAACTTCAAAAAAATTATCTATGTGATAAACATATGTATGCCGTAAACCTGAATAATTTTTGAAAAGTAGGTAATTGCTTCACCTGTTGAAGCATGAAGAGGTTTGTCTTACTTAGTTTTCTGCTGCTATAGAAGAATACCACAAACTGGATAACTTATAAACAATAGAAGTGTATTTGACTCATGATTTTGAAGGCTGGGAAGTCCAAGAGCATGGCGCTGGCATTTGGTGAGAGTCATCCCATGGCAGAAGGCATCGCATGGTGAGATAGTATGTGTGCATGTGAGAGAATGGGGCTGAAGTCCCTGCTTTTATAACTAGCCCACTCCCATGACAATGGCATTAACCCACTTAGGAAGGTGAAGCCCTCATGACCTAATCACCTCTTAAAGGTCCAAACCCTCTGCATTAGGGATCAAATTTCCAACACATAAACTTTGGGGGACACACTCAAACTATAGTGTCCCAGAAAGGTGTCTGCATAGTATAATCTCACATAGTCAGGTGTTTTTCTTCCTGGATGTGCTTGGGACATAGAAAGCACATGGAACTTGCACAGGAGATATTTTGCATTAATTGCAAGAATGAATCGATGTTGCGTAAATTGGTGACTAAAGGAATGAATGAGTGGGTAAGTAATGGCTCCAGTTACATTGTAATGCTTTGAGGCTAGGCTGGTATTTCCTTGATATCAACTACTGCAGTGGTCTACATATAAAGTAATTCTCAATTTAAATGATTTCTTATTTTTAATTTTAAAATTAAAGTGTCAGGCCAACTTGGATATTTGAATTTCTAGGAAATAGAATGCTCAACTGCCTGTTTCTAATATATAGTTTATTTCCATATGCATATTGCCATATAAAATTATACTGTTTTTCACTCTCATATTTCATAAAATAACTTAAACGTTTCCCATGAATCTTTGACATTGGTGTCTTCATCATCACAGGACCCCATTTTGGGTCTCCTAACAGGTTTCAGAGCTCATCATCCTTCCACATGACTGTGTCGTGAGATGTATTTTCTAGTCGTTTTTATCCCAAGCCACAATGACTAATTTATTCAGCACTAAAAATTAACTTTTTAAAAGAAATCTTTAGAAGATTGTGTACAAAACTGTCCAGCACTGTCCAAAACTGACCCAGAATTGTGGGTCATTCCTTCTGGGTTAATTACTGAATCTGTGTTAACTTGCCTTCTTGTATACTGATTCTCAAAAAGCACATCCTGAGATGACTATCAGTTGAGTTAGTTTCAGGCTTGTGTATTTTCTCCATATACTGCTTTCGTGTTCTTAATAAAGTAACTGATAAGTGCTTTGCAAGGTGAGAGTCTACACAGGGAACCAAAGAGATGGTGAACTCTCCCTTGCTGCTGGGTGATTTTGGAAACAAAGCTCTACCTTATATCTAGATGCATATAGTAGTTCAACTCCCACACAGTAAAGATCTGGAAATTGAAGCCTGGAGAGGGAGAGGTTTCAGTGGCCTTTTGAAGGCTGTGCCTTTTGTGTATAAACCAGGACTAGAACATTTGAGTCTTACCCCAGCTCTTCACAATTCAGCCTTAACTTTTATTTTTGAGATAAAAAAAATGAGAAATTAACTTCTTTTATCCTGCCCGTCCACTCACTCTTTGATTCTGAAAATGTACAGTTCATCCCTGAAAACAAAAACAAAACTGATGAGTCTCTCAGCACTTTCCTACATGGAGCATTTGATCCTCCCAGCAGCTCGGTCAGGTCAGGAATTATTTATACTCTTTACATATAAGGAGGTAAGGCCAAGGGGGTTAAGTTACCTGTCCAGGGGCCCCTGCCAGGCCACTGTGTTGTCCCTGGGCCATTCTCTCTAGGGCATTGTCCCAAGGAAAGTGGGCTCTAGAATCCCAGAGACCTGTGCCCCCACACCTACCAGTTGCAGGTGAGTGCCCCAGCTCCTCAGAGCCTCAGTTATTCTCTTCTGTAGAATGGAGCCCTGTGGTCCTTAGTGGGGTTGAGTGACACGGTGTGTGTTGAGTGCTAGGTGCTGTCCAGGGTATCACGATCTCTCTGTGAACGTGGGGTGTTGAGCCCATGTGGTGGTTCCATGTGCTTCGTAGTCTCCTGCATGTGCTTCAAGGCACTGCCCCAGTTGCCTTGGCTGGCCCTGTGATGCTTGGGTAAATCCATATCTCCTCCCAGGTGGTCTGAATTTCTACACTCCCTTGGGAGTTCTGGGAGCTTCTTGGATAGGTGACTGGTCAAAGCAGTGTTCAACTCTGTTCCTTCTCCCTTACTTCAAATGACCAAGTTCATATCCTTGTTCATAAAAATAAGACGTTTATCGCACAAAGGCCAGGAGTTTCCTAGCAGGATGAAATGCAGAAAGGCAGCTTTTCAGGTGATGAAAGCAGATATGTCAGATGTGGTCTTTGCTATTGCTGTGGCGGGGCCCTGGGGGAGCTCTGGTCCCCTGTCTGTCCCAGCCGTGGGTCTGCTCACTGCTCAGAGTCCTGTGCGGATAGAGCTGGGCTGGGAGGCTGAGCTGTTGCTTAGCTTTGAGCCCCTCTGATCCAGGTTGTTGGCTTCCCCCATCCAGTGCTGGGGTGCTCCTGTGCCTCCATGGGCTTCCCAGAGAGTGAGCTGGTCCCACCAGAGGTCCCAGCCCACACTGGGCTGCCTGCTTCCCCCTGCCACCAGGAAGCAGCCTCTCCAAGTGCCTCCTGTGAATGTGCAGCCTCCTATTCTGCCAGAACTTTCTGGTTGGGTTTGCAGAGTTCAGGGAGTTGTGCCACATACAAGAAAGTATTTGCCAAGCCCAATGAGGCAGTTACGTGGTTGTCCAGAAAACTGAGCAAAGACAGTTTGTCATTGAAGCTGGTCCCTCAGCGAAAAAGGCCTCATCAAACAACCAAGAATGTAAGAAAATATATACATTTTCCATTTATTTCCACCTGAAAAATATGAAAAGAATTGTAGGTGTCTGTGAATATACCCATATTGTAGCACCACCTACCTGATTAAAATATGGAACCTGCTTATTATCTGTTTGTGTATTTCGATTCCCTTTGTTGGGGCTGTTACACCGTGGAGATAGTAAAATGTGATTAGAGTGGAATATATTCATTTGTAGACAGTTTGGATTGCATCTGAGATATTTTCCTGATTGTTAGAATTTCTCTCCCATTGGGATTTAAAGGGTGGTTATTTTTCCGTATATTTATCAAGTGGAAGAATAATTTGACAGGGACATGTTATCAGGTAAGGCATCTTTCCTAATCGATGTGAATAAAATCCCATGTAAGAGGAGCTCAGTGTGTTTGCATATTTTTTTAAACAATAAAAGATTGGATTGTTAGAGCATCAGAGAAGAGTGAAGACAGCTGTGCTTTTTATCACAGGGAACCTAAAGAAAAATTCTTACTTTAAATCCTTGATCCGAAGAGGCAAGTTAATTTAACAAAATAAACTCAGGACATCACATTTACTTGAGTCACAGAGCATGTTGAAAGGTGCAGACATCACAGGGCATCAAAGGATTTCACAGAATGCTGGGGGTGGAGTCTCTGTCTCTTTGGCCAGGCGTTGGTTTTCCTGCCTTTGGGGTTGGCAGAGAAGCCGGAGCCAAGTCCCTGGACAGGACAGCCCTCAGACACTCCTGGTTCACCTTAGTTCACTAGGCACATGGCTCTTGGTGGAAAAGACGATTTCTGGAAAGGAAGTGGGAGACTTTAGACAGACAAAACTCATCCAGGATTTTATATTGTGATTTCAAATTAACTTGGCACACTAATACTTCAGTTATTAATCTTCTGTGGCACTGTAGGAGAAATGAGGCGACAGTGTCTTGTAATTAGGGGCATTCTTGTGCCTGTCAAAGGGGCCAAGTCGGGTGGTGTGGATGCATCCTCCCCCAGCTCCTGGGACGGCTGGCCCTGTGCCCTGTGCCCCGTGCTTGGCCAGCAGAGGCCTGGCCTTGGCTGTCACGAGCACATTTCATACCATTCTCTGGGCCGTTTTTATTCCCTTAGTCACTGGGATCCTGTTTTGTATTTAACCCAGTGTCTTGACTTGTGTTGTACATTCCCAGGGTGATTTTAACTTCAGGAGAGGGCAGGCCCTGTCTCTGTGTCCTTGAAATGCTCCTTTTAATAATTTTCCCAGCATTTGAAAATGTCATTACTGAGATTTCTGTTTTTGCCTCACTGAAAAGAAGACGAAGTGAACTGGAGTGCTTCCCGTGTACGAGATGCTTTCCTTTGCATTTGCCCAGATGAATTCATGTAATCCTGACTGCAGCCCTAGTGGCAGGTACTGCCATTATCCCCATCCTGCAGATGAAAATGCTGAGGCACGGAGAAGTTGAGTATCTTGTGTGAGGTCACATAGCATTAAGAGGCGGAGCCTCGATACGAACCTGGGGAGTGAGGCTTTAGAGTGCAAACACTTCACCGCCGTGCTGGACCACCCGTGGGAGTTCAAGGTGTGTGTAAAATGAAAGCATGTAGGGCCAGTTACCCAGACCTTGATTTAGAAAGTCAATTCTGTTTTTGACATTTCCAGCAACCAGTAAAGCAAACAAATAACCTCCTGCCCCCAGTTTATTAAAAAACAGCTCCTGTTGGAATGGGGTTTTGGGTTGGGATGGAGCCCCCTAGGAAGACCCTGCGGGAAATGCATCTTACTAGCTTTTCTCAAAGGAGCCACACACACAGCTTTGAGGTAACCATTTTTCTTGGGGTACTCTGAGGACTGGGCAGCATGTGGGAATGCAGAGGCTCCAGTGAATATCACTGCCTTAGGTTCCACCTACAACCCCAGCACCAGCCTCACCTCCCCAGCTATGGGGTCAGAGTTCAGTTTCATTTTCAGTAAATGTGTGATTCTGTGGGTCCATATATTCACCCAGTTTATAGCAAAAAAGCGTGCTAGAACTAATTGGAAGTGTAGAAGCCATGATGCTGCCTCCCCAACCTGTGCCCCTAGAAGTTTGCTCGTCTCCCAGAGGCGGAGCTGGGCCTAGCCCTGGCACCCCACCCCATAGGTGCTGGCCCCACCTGTCACGGATCATTTAAGCATATTTTGCTAGCATCATGACCACACTCTTTGCTGGCTCCAGAGCCACAGGGTGAGGGACACAGGACTCTGTCCCCACGGTGCTGACCACTTCGTCGTCATTACAAGAAAGTATTCCCAAAGGCATCGGTTTACTTGTTATCTTAGGTTGAGTTTTAAAATCTACTTGAAATTCCTATAATTGCACAATTTAAAAAACTCTTCGATCTGATGTGACCTGTTTAGTCTTTTCTGTTTAGTCTGAATTAGGAAAGCTCTTTTCTCCAGAGTGCAAAAGACAACCACAGACTTTTTTTTTTTAAAGGTATTATTTAGAAAAAGCTAAGATGGTGCTTAAGGCCGCACACACGTAAATACAGTCATGTACTGCATGAAGACGTTGCTGTTGTTGACAATTGCATATACTGTGTGATAAGATTATATCTTTACTGTACCTTCCTTGTGTTTAGATACAAACATTTACCATTGTGTTCCAGCTCCTAAGGTGTCTAGTACAGTCCATGCTGCACAGCTTTATAGGCTAGGAGCATAGGCTGTGCCACATAGCCTAGGTATGTCTTAGGCTATGCCATCTGGAGTTATGCATGTACACTCTGATGTTCACACAATGATGTCACCCAAGGACTCATTTTTCAGAATATATTCTCCTTGTTAAGTGGTGCATGACTGTGTATATATGTCTGTATGTCCACACACAGGCACACAGGTGGGCTTGCTTCCGACTTCCCTCTGACACCATCCTCTGCCATTGTGACCAGGACCCCATTCTCAGCTTATCAGCACGGACTGGGTGCTCTCTTCCTGCCGCCGTCACCGTGGGTGTTAAGCCTGCCTGTGTTGTGCCTGTCAGGACTCTCAGGAACCCCTCAGAGCAGCCCGTCTTTGGAGGGCGGTAGGGATTGTAAGGAAGGGGGGCACAGCGGGGGTTGCCTCTGCTCCATCTCACCTGCTTGGGTGGAGTCTGCACCGGCTTGCAGCCCACCCCGTGAGCGTAGTGAGTGGTCCCGAACTGCAGATGTGTGCTCTGTGCGGTGCTCTCGGACATCTAATGAGCATGGGAAACAAAATATGACTTACAGCAGTGTATTGACTTCCCAAGAACCAGACCTTGCTCCCTGGGCCCGAAGGGCTTTCCTGCTGCAGCTTTGCCATGTAGCAGGGGTGCCTCTGAAAACTCCACCGCCACCCCAGCAGACAACTGTGCCAGTCTTTCTGTGGGATCTGGGACACAGAAAATGGAAGCTGTCTGGCCTGGAGCGTGGTCTCTTGGTCCTGTCTTCCTCACAGTGATCACCACCTCCAGGGTTGCATGGGAGGCTGCTGCTCAGCGGGGTCTGGGACCCCATGGGCCCAGCCATCCACACAACAGGTGTGGATGAAGCATGCGCATTGTTTCCCCCTGGGGTTTGTGTTGTCCCTGGGTTTGGCTCTTGGTCTGGATGAAAGAGACCACGTTCAGAGAAGCGGCATCCCCCGTCATTGTGACTGCATCCCTATGGAGGGGCAGGGGTCCCGTCCCCTCTCCGGCAGCAGTTTGCCTATGGTGAGGGTGCAGTCATCCACCTGGGCTGCATGCCGAGGGCTGGAATGCAAAGCGCTTGGGTTTGCTCCTGACTTTGCAAGACCACCTCCCACCACGTGGTGCTTGCCGTCAGTGTGTGCTTTGAGACTCTGAGAGACACCATCGCAGAAGCCAAGCGTTACACTTTGGTTATTTATTGACATCCATGAACAGATTAAAAACTGTTCCTACTTTCTAGGGTGCTTCTCTCTGTGCAGTTGCCAGGGGGAACGTGTTCGCTTTGCCGGGGCATTGTGTAGCAGCTGGCATTTAGTCTCACAACTTTTTCTTTGTTTAATTAAAAAAAAAACCTGAAAATGTTTGTGAAGTACTCTTTTCATCTTGTGAAATGGAAGCTGCTTCTGAGGGAAGCAGGCAGCCTCTGTCTTCACCAGCCCCTTCCACCCTCCCATAGGAGTCCCTCCAGTGGAAACCCACTCACTCCCCCTGAAGCCACTCTCTGAGAGAGATGCCTCCACTGCCTTGCTAGCAGAGGCTTCCCCAGGCTGTGACCTCGCTGACAGTGTTGTGTTTCTTCGGGGATGGAAAATGCTGCTTCTGATACCCCCGAGATAGAGGAGGCTCTGGTGTGTTCAGAAGGAGGTGGCGTGAGGTCTGGCCAAGCTTGATCTGGAGTTACCTGGCCTTGGCATTCTGATTGTCAGGCTCCACCTGACACCCCCCACCATCTACCAGGCAGACAGGAGAGGAACTTACGTGTTCAGTCGTTTGACTTTTTTTTTTTTTTCTTTTTTTTGAGACGGAGTCTCTGTCGCCCAGGCTGGAGTGCAATAGCGCTATCTCGGCTCACTGCAACCTCTGCCTCCTGGGTTCAAGCAATTCTTTTGCCTCAACCTCCCGAGTAGCTGGGATTACAGGCACACACCACCACGCCCAGCTAATTTTTGTATTTTTAGTAGAAGCGGGGTTTCACTATATTGGAAAGGCTGGTTTTGAACTCCTGACCTCATGATCTTCCCTCCTTGGCCTCCCAAAGTGAGTCCATATTCTCTGTTTTAAAAATTTACCCCCTATCAATTTAATGTATTGTGTAATAATCAAAGTTGAATGTAAAAGCCCATTAAAAATAGCTTTTAGGTTTGCATCATTATCTGCACTGTCTGGAGCTTCAAGCAGATCTTTTACAAGTTCCCCAACAGTGAGACCCACTTCTCAACACTGGTCAGAGTTCTCAAGCCGACAGTGGCCAGAGATCATGGTTTAAGCACATCCAGTGGTTGGCATAAGGTTGGAGCGATCATACTTTCTGCACTTGATTGCCTAATGGATGCCTCCATGAGGTTGGATGCAAACTCTGTGTGGAATGTTCCCCTGGTGTTTCTCTAACAGATCTGCTCGTGGTTTATCATGGAAGAAGTCTACAGAACTAAAAAGGAGAGGAAACTTCCAAGTGCTCTTTGATGTTGTAATTGTCGTTGCTTTAAACTTTTCCCGTGATCATATGGGATGATTCTGTGTAGGTGAATATTAACAAACACTGTGATAAGAATCTTTCCCTCTATTACAATCACCTTGACATCCTATTTTTTTTTTTTTGAGACGGAGTCTCACTCTTATTGCCCAGGCTGGAGTGCAGTGGCGTGATCTTGGCCCACTGCAACCTCCGCCTCGCGGGTTCAAGTGATTCTTCTGCCTCAACCTCCTGAGTAGCTGGGATTACAGGCATCTGCCACCACGCCTGGCTAATTTTTGTACTTGTAGTAGAGATGGGGTTTCGCCATGTTGGCCAGGCTGGTCTCAAATTCCTGACCTCAGGCGATCCACCCGCCTCGGCCACCCAAAGTGCTGGGGTTATAGGCGTGAGCCACTGCGCCTGGTCGACATCCTATTTTTATAGATTGTTTCCGATGGGTTGTAATCTTCCAAAATGTTGATTGTGTTTCCTGTGGAATTGTATAACACCTGAGTGAACAGATTGTTAATGAAGATGGGTAAATTACCACACTCCCATTGCAACTAATTATATTGCAGCGACTTGGTGAAAATCTTTCTTATTGTTTCATTTCTACAGTCTATGTGCATTTAAAATCACCTGCTGATGGTCTTCAAAAAAATTTGCTAGGTGTTGGGTGTCTCCCTTCTTTTCCCAGTCACATGACTCACACCCATAGAATGGGATCACTCATAGGTGTTGCATAGACCCAGGCTCAAATTAATCATTTTTAAGGAGTGTTCAATTCAGAAAACATCTGGTTAAGCACTTACTGTATGTAAAGCACTGTGCTCTACCTAATCAGAAAATATGAAGAGTATTGTGATACTTTGCCTACTAGATGCCAATATTTTTATGGGGGAGATAATTCTAATTCATTTTAATAGTTGCGTCAGGCGAGGAGTTAGCACATTGTTTCTGTAAAGGGCCAGAGAGTAAATATTTCAGGCTTCTTGGGCCACAAAGAGTCTAACCTCCTCTGTTGTATTCGGAAAGTAGCTGTAGACAGCATATCAAGTGATTGGAGAGAGATCCAGAGGGACAGATTGCCAATGAGAGTAGAGGGTCCCCAACGTGCTATCAACCGGGTAGGAGGAAGGATGCAGTGATGCCACTGGGATGGGTGACACCTAGGACATGTGCTTAAAAAAGTGGACGGGAAGGTTGTTTCTGACATCAAGAGGAAAGGGAGTTGTTGCAAATGGAAAGTAAGTGTGCAATGCCCTGGAGAATCATTAGGAGCTCCGTGAGGACCCTGGAGGGGCCTTGCAGTACCAGCGGAGGTGCTGGTCAGCTTAGTCTCTTGCATACCTACTGTGAATACTATTTAGAAGAAAGTGGGGTGAGTTATAAATCAATGTGTTTGGGTGCGGCCAGGCTGTATTGTTGAGTGATTCATCTTCCATCCTCATTCTCACAGCCTGGGAAAGGGGTAGGGTGCCCCTCCTGAGAGTCTGCTCAGGCTTGACGCTGCCTCCCACATTATGTGACTTGAGGGGCAGGCATTTCCCACCCTTTCACATGAAGAAAGTGGAATTGCAGCAAGAGCAGTCCCAATAATTGGAGCCACTTGCCCATGGCAGTATAGCTGGGTGGTGTGACAGTGAGGACCAGTGCGTTTCTCCTTGAGGTGCTGATGCGAGGGGAAGCCCTGAGCCAGGCTCCAGCAGTCACAGGGATCACAGTCACAGTCACCTGTTGGGCAAAGTCCCCAGGTTGGGACTGAGGATTCCTCTTCTTTGTGGTTATAAAAACAATAACCCTTTAAGGTCACTGAGACCAGCATTTTTGAAACCTTTACTATTATTATTTTCAACAGAAGACCCTTCTGCTTAACAAAAACAGTTGAAAGTGGTGCTTCTCGGATTGACAAAAAGGGCCTCACACTCCAGCCCCTACAAACCCTCCCCCTCCACCTCAACCCCTGCAGTCATTTTGGCGAACACAATTTGAAAAGCATTGAATTTGTCTACCTGCACCTTCACTTTGCAAACCGAGCGACAGAAGTCAACTTTGGTTAATTTTGGACTCAGAGTTCTTCACGGTACCCAATATTGGTTCTTTGAGAGCGGTTCGGTTCTACATATGGCACTAACTCGTCCACTCCACAGGCTACTGAACCTCTTTATGATTCTGTCTGTATCTAAGCAGGGAACCTGTCCCTGGCACTGCAGCTCATGGGATGTTTGGAGAAATCGTGGCTTATTGGAAAGTGATCTGAGATGCTTGGATACAAAAAGCAGAAAATGAGTTTTTAAAAACCTCTTCTTTTGAGCAGGCATCATTCTCAAAATGTGGAGTATTTATAGCATATGTTACTCATAGAAGACATTAACTTCCCAATTATTAAGAGGAAATGCACTTTTATTATTAGAAATTTAATTTGTATTAGCCTGGTATACATTTGTGTTGGATCAGAGTAAGCCTTTCTTATAGAGATTTGGTAATTTCTATGCCTGTGCCAGCGTGGTCCTCATGTGGAATTTCTGTCTTGAAACGGCATGGAATAGTCTATGAGATAAAGAGAGAAGCTGGAAGTAAATATACAGAAGGTAATGCAAATAGGCCTTCCAACTGCAGAGGAAGACTCTTATAGATGACTGCATTTTTCAAGGACTTAAATTTTAAAATCTGGAAACTTATTTCAGTCCCTGGGGCTTCCAGTGCAGCCACCCATGGAAGTCACAGCAGTGACAGACGAGTTCAGACTTTGACAAATATGAATGGTCATTGGGATGGCTTTGATTCACCATACATTTCTCCTGCACCTGTTTCTGTGCACTGATTTTATGAATTTTCAATTTATGACATTCCAGTGATATGCCAGTTACTATCATCATAGCTGTGGTTAAATTAAGGGTGTTTTGCAAGAAGAAGAGGTATTGTGATGAACCTCTTGTGACTTGGAAACCTGCAAGTTGGAAAAGTTGTAATACAGATCCATCAACAGATGTCAATGTGCCAAGAAATTACTTAGTGTGGTTCAAAGGTGAGTAAATAGAAGTTAAAATTATGAAGGAACATTCTTAACTCACAGCAGTTGGATTTTGAATCCCAGAGGAAAGGCCAGAGGTCTCACATTTTAAGAGAACTGGAATCAGGGCAAATTGTCTGCCCTTCCTGGGAAGATCAGCTGAGTGAGTGAGAGAGAAATAGGTTCCTGTCATTTAGCCAGCATTTACATTTTTTTCTTTTAAGGCTTTATTGAGACAGAATTCACATACCGTGAATTCATCCATTCAAAGTGTACAATTCAGTGGTTTTAGTATATTCAACATATAATGTGTAGCCATCGCCACAGTCAATCATAGACCATTTTTATCACTTCTAAAGAAACTGTTCTCCTTACTGTCACCCCAGCTCTGGGCAACTCTGTGGGTCTCCCTATTCTGGGCTTTTCATATGAATGGAATCATACAGTTTGCGGCCTTTTTATATCTGGCTTCTTTCATTCCCCATGATGTTTCTGAAGCTCACCCATGTGGTATGTGCCATTCATTTTTTTAATGCTGCATAGTATTCTGTTGTATGGATGCACCACATTTCTTTCTCCATTCATGAGTTGATGGACATTTGAGTTGTTTCTACCTCTACATTTAATGATGGTCTAGAAAGATCAGTATGTAGTATACATTCTGACCCCAAATCATTATTTTTCTCACAATTAAAGGGAGGGCAATTAAAGGGAAAAGAACATTTGTGCAGTGCTTAGTGCCTTAGAAAGGGTGTTTTCTACCCAGCACCTGATTTAAGTCTCGTCTAGCCCCGGGGATGGGTTTTCTGATAATCTCCGTTTACAGGGTTTGGCAGGCTGCAAGCCTTGCCCCAGGTCTCCTGGCAGGGAAAAAGTGAGGTCAGTTGGAATCCAGCTGCCATGCTCCTTCTGGGGCACCAGAGTGAGTGACTGACTGCTGAAAATAAACTTTTGAAAGTTTTAGAACAGTCTGTTCTGCCTGTGTGTGTGCACAGTGTGCCAAATCTCCAGGTCAGGATATTCTGATAAAAACTCCCCAAGACGCTGGATGCATGGGCAGTTGCTGTTGATGGAGTCACTGTCTCACATGTGTCCAAGCCCTTCCCAGCACTGGTTGGAATCCCTGAAACAGGCACAGGCACTGCCCGTGCAGACCACGTTTCAGGAACTTAGCATCCATCAGCCTCATGACACAGGTGGATTCGTAACACAGATGCCGGTCTTGTGTTTCTTACCTGCAGGGGACTTTCGAAAGCTTGGGCTGCGGTGTCCCCAGCTGTGCCCTGTTCCCCTGATCTGTGTGTCTGCTGCCACCCCTGCTTCCCAGTGGGCTGGGCCTCAACCCCTGCCATCCACAGTCTTCAGCTGCGCTCTCGGCTGGCTGATGGCAGCTGTGTTGAGGCTCTGTAGAATGGAGAAGTCCTCTGACAGGTGGGTGGTGCGCATCTGAGGAGGAGGGGCATTTGCTCCAGCAGCACTGAAGGGCGAGGAGCACCCCCACTTTCAGGGCCCGGCGGGCGGGCTGGGTAGGGAGGGCAGGCACATATGCACACACAGGCACTTTGTATCTTCTGCATATACAGGAAGAGATGGGTTTGGTGATCAGCAGAGCTTAGGTTTCATCAGGGCAGGTGCTGAGCTTCATTCCCTCCACCCTAAACACTGCCCTGCAGGCCGGGGATGCTTCCAATCCTGAATGCTCAAGCTCTGCCCAGAATGTGGTTGTCAGGGCAACCAAAATTCACAGGACGAAAAGATTGAGAAGCTTACAGTGCTTGACATGCCATATAGAGAACCCTTAGCTTGCTACAAACTCAGTTTTTAAAAATGCTACTTGGAAAAGAAAAAAGAAAAAGAAAAAAATCCAAGGAAGGGAGAAAGTAGAGGAGCTGGGGAGGGAACCCCAACTCCAGGATCCTTTTTTGTGGATTTTGAGAACACACAGCTTTTTAGAAGTGGGGGAAATGAAAATGGAAGGGGAAGATGGTGTTTAAAAGGAATCCTAATACCCTGGTTCTTTGACTGAAAAGAAGAGCATTTTACACCTATATTTGTAGCTGGCAGATGGATAAAAACTAATAGGAAAAAAAGGACAATTTGGTTCTCTCTGAAGTAATAAGCTCATTGGAGATGGGGCTAGGAGAGTGATAGGACTAGGACTAGGACTAGGACTGCCTACACTAGGACTGCAGTCCATGGGAACAGGGAGCTAACAGGAGGGTCCCATAGCTAGGGTCATGTGGCAGGCAGTTCCTGGGAGGAAGGAGGGGTGACAGCCAGGACAAGGGGCAAGTGAGGAGCTGCTGCCAAGCTTCCCTGCCCTCTGGGACCAGGCAGGCCCTGGCCTGCGGACACCAGCGTCTGCCACTCATGCCTGAGTGTCAACTGTCGAGTGTCCCCACCCCTTCTTGGCCTTGCCACATAAAGAGCTGTAGGCTTTATTTTGGAAACCTACGTTCTTTAGAGGCCTGCTTAATTAAGTTTCCCATTTGCACCTAACCCTCGCATGCTTGATGGGCTTCCCTTGCTGGAGCTATTTTTGCATCGTTTTCTGGAAGGATGCCTCTTTCCCCGCAGGCAGCCTCTGACCGTGTGCCAGAGAGCTCCGCGTTTGCATCTTATTTTTCTGAGCACTTGCTATTTTTATTTTTTTTGGTACTCATTTGACCTGGACTTCTGATAAGGCGTTTAAAAATAGCCTTTGGACTTCCTGTGGGTAATTGGGCTTCTCAGAATCTCCCCTCTACTTTTAAATACCTGCTGATTTGTGTCGCCTGATCCCGGCATGGAGTCTGGCTATGCGTTTGGAAGGTCTCTCGAATTTCCCTTCCACCTCTCAGGGTTGCATTATCTCATTACTGACTGAGCACCTCGCCCTGCAGCGAGAAGGGCCAGGTACCTTGCGGGCCTTCTGGAGACACCACCAGAAACTCCCATTTGCAGTAGCAAATCTGTACGCACACCTGTTTTTCCAAAGTGGGAATCCAGGTGATGTCGAAGGGCTCCAGAGGGAACGCAGACCACCTGGCTCTAAGCCTCCTTTAATGGGACGAGGGACAGAAGCCGGCAGGCACACGTCCCACTCAGGGTCACATGGCTGGTTGGCCATGGCAGAGCTGCAGCCTGGAGGCCTTGTCCACCCTTGAGGCCATGTCGGGGTGTTTGGGACGGCAGAGACTGCCCACCCTCCTGCATCCGCTGCTCTCCTGGGCCCCTGGGCTGCTCCAGGCCAGCAGCCCTGGATTGGTGTAGCTCCCCTGGCCCCAAGGCCTGGCGTTGGGCTGTGGCTTGCAGGCCTGGCTCGGTCCTACCACTGGTCCTTCTATCATTTAATCCCGTGGCGGGCAGCCTCCTGCTGTGGCATGGCTTCCACAGCCCTTCCTCCATCCTGGGCAGCCCTGCAAGGGAGGACACAGGTGACTCCCTTCCAGTCTGTTTCTAGAGTGTCTGGGACCAGCTACTTAGCACCTGTGCTGAGAGGTCCGTGGGTTTGTCGTCCTGCAAGAGTGGCCCTACATCATGTGGCTGGATGTGGAGTTGGCCTTGAAACTCCGAGTGCTGCTGCGCTGTGGTTGCGGCTGTACCTGGCCTGGCTGGCTGAGGTCTGGTTGCAGTGAGGGGCTGGCTCTGTGAATCCTGAGCTGGTGTGTGCCTCCTCCCGGAGGAGGGAGCTGCACCACATGCCCCGTGGCCTTCTGGGCCTACTTGTGGCCAAATGAGATCAGGCGCCAATAGCATACGGTCTGACTGCTGACTCTTTGGGGCACAACTCACAGGGAGATCCTGCCAAGAGACAGAGGTGGGCCTAGATGGACTTCCTTTGAGGACCCCGGCACATCATAGAGGCTGGCACTACTTGCTGAGTAGTGCGAAGGCTTCCCCTACACAGTGCGCCCCTGTGCTGGGCACTGGGAACAGGTGCTTAGTTTGATTTCCCTTAGCCCTCACCATAGCCCTGTGAGTGGGTGCCACTGTTTTCCCTTTTCTGCAGATGAGTACACTGAGGCACAGAGAGGTGGAAGAACTGGCCCAAGGCAACACAGCTAGTAGAGGCAGAGGTTGGGTTTGAACCTGTGCAGATGGCTCCTGAGCTCCTGCTGCAGCCCTGCGGCCCAGGAAGGCGGTAGTCTTGTTGCCCTTCCTGCCAACTCACTGCAGAATCTCAGGGACCAGGTCAGGGGGCTGCCAGGGTAATTCGTTGGTCGTTAGGGATGCTGGGATGCACTTGGCCTCATTCTGGGAGGGCTGCTGTTCTGCCTGACACAGGAGGGGTTAAGAAGGGAAGGGAAGGGCCAGACCCACTTGGACTTCAGTCTTTCCTCTGCCACTTGCAAGCTGTTTGTCCTCGGGCTGGTGGCTTAATTTCTCTTATCTTGTTTCTTCATCAGTAAATGGGGGTGAGGCTCTCCCCAACCCCAGCAAATGAGACCCTATTTGTGAAGGCTACTCAGGAGTCAGATGCCCATATTCCCACAGCCACCCTTGATGCAGGTGGCCGGGGAGGGGTGGGAGGCCCTTTTAGGGGGACCTGTGCTTGGGGTTTAATGCTCTGCAGTTGCTGTTTTGAGATTCTTGGATATTTACCTTTGCATTTGTGTTTTGTGAGATGTGTTGGGACAGTAAGCCTGCCAGGGCCCAGTAGGGCCGGGTGTGTGCCTTGCTGGAGTAGAAGGGTGGCCCTGGCCCCTATCAGGCTCTGCACTGGCCCTGCCTGAGGAAGCCTGGCATGAAATAGCAAATTAAAAAAATGCTATGGTGGGTTGGGGAGGAACTCCAGGAGAAAGGAAAAAGCCTTACTTTTGCTTTTTGCACAGAAGACTGCACTTGCCTTTTGCATCAAATCCCACAGAGTATGTAGCTGGCCCCTTGGGCAGCCTTGGTTATTTGGCATCTGGGTGAGGCCCAGGAGGTCAGAGGGGTTGAGGTTTTTCACAGAGTTGACCTGTAGTTAAGTAAGCGGCAGGTTTCCAGCAGAGTTGTGGCTAAGCCCAGTCCCCATGCAGTGTGTCAGTTGGGGGTGCTCGGGAGTGTGGAGCCTGCTGTGACATTTGAAGTCTCTCAGTACCCTAAGCAGAACACTTAGAAGTCCTGCCCAGTGCAGGGATGGCCACAGCAGGGACCTTCTGGAACCCTCAAGACATGGCCTGCATAGGTTGTAAATCGAAGCAAACCAGCCAGCCAGCCTGTGATCTAAGCCCTGTGAGATCACAGCTGCAGTGTCATCTCTAAATGACAGGAATTTATGACCCTGAGGAATAAATTATCAACAGTGCAAGACAGGATCACTTCAAACATCCTTGTGACAACTTAAACAAAACTCAGTGAGCAAGGGGTGTGTGCGAGAGGTAGAGGGGCACAGTGGGCTACCTCTTGGGTACCCTGCCCAGCACAGATTGGAGGATGATAGCTGTCTGAGTTTCTCAGGCTGCTATAACAAAATACCACACACTGTGTGGCTTAAACAGCAGACATCGATTTCTGTGAGATGTTTGTTTCTCATAGTCCTGGAGGTGGGAAGTTCAAGGTCAAGCTTCCAGCAGGTCTCATTCCCAGTGAGGGCTGTCTCCCTGGTTTGTAGACAGCCAGTGTCTTGCTCCTCACATGGTGGAGACAGAGAACATTTTTCGTGTCTCTTAAAAGGGGACTAATCCCATTCGTGAAGGTTCCACCCTCATGACCTAATCACCTTCCCAAAGGCCTCACCTCCTGATACCAAACCTAGGAAGTACAGCCTTTGACATACCTAGGCTACGTGGCACAGCCTGTGTTCCCCGGCTGCAGACCTGTGCAGGATGTGACTATACTGAACACCGTAGGCAGTTGAGACATAGTGGCAAATGTTTGCGTAGCTAAATGCAGAAAAGGTACAGTAAAAATACAGTCTTATGGGACCCCATGGTATATGCAGTCATCATGGACTGCAGGTCTTCACGTGGTGTGTGACTGTATTTACATGGTGGCCTTAAGCACCGTCTTGAGTTTTTCTACACAGTTCCACTTAAAAAATGGTCTTGGGGGTCCAGGCATGGTGGTTCATGCCTGTAATCCCAGCACTTTGGGAGGCTGAGGCGGGTGGATCACAAGGTCAGGAGATCGAGACCATCCTGGCTAACACGGTGAAACCCTGTCTGTACGAAAAATACAAAAAATTAGCCAGGCGTGGTGGCGGGTGCCTGTAGTCCCAGCTACGGGAGGTGCTTGCAGTGAGCCGAGATCATGCCACTGCACTCCAGCCTGGGTGACAGAGTGAGACTCCATCTCAAAAAGTAAAATGGAATGGAATGGAATGGAATGGAATGGAATGGAATGGAATGGAATGGAATGGAATGGAATGGAATGGAATGGAATGGAATGGAATGGAATGGAATGGAATGGAATGGAATGGAATGGAATGGAATGGAATGGAATGGAATGGAATGGAATGGAATGGAATGGATGGAATGGAATGGGATGGAATGGAATGGAATGGAATGGAATGGAATGGAATGGAATGGAATGGAATGGAATGGAATGGAATGGAATGGAATGGAATGGAATGGAATGGAATGGAATGGAATGGAATGGAATGGAATGGAATGGAATGGAATGGAATGGAATGGAATGGAATGGAATGGAATGGAATGGAATGGAATGGAATGGAATGGAATGGAATGGAATGGAATGGAATGGAATGGAATGGAATGGAATGGAATGGAATGGAATGGAATGGAATGGAATGGAATGGAATGGAATGGAATGGAATGGAATGGAATGGAATGGAATGGAATGGAATGGAATGGAATGGAATGGAAATAACAAAATTGTCTTGGGGATTAGGGCTTAGATGTAGAAAGCTTAAGTGTACACAACCTTCAGTCTATAGCACCCGCTGTACAGCACGTGTCCCCAGGGACGTTTGCAGTGTCTGGGGACAGTTTTGGTTGTCACAGCTAAGGTGGGGTGGGTGCTGCTGAGCATGCTGTGATGCATGGGACAGCCCCCCACAGAGAAATGTCACCAGTGGCCAGGGTAAGAAACCAGCATTTTCCTTCCAAGCCCTAGTGATGTGGAGGAAATGTTACGGACATGCTCCACATGCTCCTAAGGTGACTTTGTTGGTATGGAATATTTCTAGTTTACAAGAGAACAGAATAAGAAACTCCAGAACACCCCATCTGCAGAGTCGCCAGAGGGGCCCTATCCTGCACCTGTAGTTGGGGCTTTCAGCAAGGTGTTCTCAGTGGGCGTCTGTTTGCTCAGAGGCCTTCCCAGACCCTGCCGCAGAACTCACTAGCAGCCTCCTTTCCATAGGCTCCTTCGTGGGGTTGCCTGTGGTTTTCTGTCATCTGCCTTGTCTTTCTCTCTTTCCCTCCATCTCTGATGGCTTCTGTGTCCTGTGTGGTCCCTGGGTATGGCTGTGACCTTCATTTCCTTTGTAGTCCCCTGTGTCCTGCTCAGTCGGCGGGTCCAAGCCTCCGACTCTGCCCTGTGTGCAGAGCCTCCAGGCTCCCGGCCTCCAGCCTTGCTCTTCTAGGCACCGCCGACCTTTTCCACCTGGAGATGCCACAGCCTCTTAAAGTGAGCTTGTCCCAGCAGCCTGCCCCACCCCTACCTGGCCAAGCTGGAGGCCTCTTTTCTCCTGGTGTCCCTGCACTCCGGTTGGTTCACCTGCTCACAGGCTCTATTTCTTGCTGCCCCTCCTCACCCCTCATGCCCACTCCATGACCAGGTCCTTTAGGGCCGGCTGAGCACAGAAGAAAAACACAGGGCCCTGAGTTCACAGGACAAGAGAAAAGCTTTTCCCCTAAGTGCGGCCTCTCAGCCTGTCATGGGGTTTCCTATGTGCTGTTTCATGTCACTCCTCCTTGGGCCCTGGGTGCTGTTGGGATAGTGCAGACCTCGCAGTGGCCCGGGGCCCACCCACACTGGCACCCGGGCTGCTGCTGGGGACAAAGGGGCAGCAGCAGCAGCTAAGTGGCTGTGGGGACCTGGGTGGGACCCTGTGAGCTGGAGCTCCAGGCTGAAGCAGCCGTGCTCAGGGACTCTCAGTTCTCTCCCCTGTCCCTCAGCACAGACCTTATTTTATATCAGGTACGGCTCTGGCTTCACACGTCTTCCTTCCGGCGGCCTCTGCATGGCTGCAAGATGCACGGTCCTGAAATGATGCTTTAGTTTTGCCTCTTCTGCACTTAAAAACTCATTTTGCAAAGTGAAAATTTTGCTGGCCTTGTATTTGAAGCCTTTCACAGACAGACCCCAGCCCCACTCTCCCACAGGCCTCCCTGATCTGTGACCTAGAACCCACAGGTACATGGCCTGGGCTTTGGGCCTTGGCCCCTTGCCTGTGTGCAGGCTGTTTCCCGGATCTCTCTGTCTCCAGGCACACATCCAGGTATCTCAGCCGCCACAGGCCAGCAGTCCCACCTCTCTCTCTCTTATCTCTCTCTCCCCCTGGCTACCCCAGGCCACCCTTGCTGTCTCCTGCTAGGGTCTCCCCTCCCTGGTTTGGAAGTTGCTCTCCTCCTCTTTCAGTTTTGAGGTCTCTGAAAGTGTGATCTGGGACCATGCCGGGCCTCTCACAGCATGGCCTTCGTTTGGGACGTTTGTGTCAGGAGGCAAGTGTCTGCCCACTTCTCCAGCCCGTCAGCAGCATGGGAAACGCTGCGCCTTGCATGGAGAGCCACGTACAGCCCAGGGGCACAGCCAAGCGGTGAAAGGAGCATTGGTAGGAAATGAGCTTTGGGAAGTGGGTATAAATGCTGCTCAGCTGATCTCTTGGGTTATTTAAATGGGGCATAGTGCCCTCCCTCCAGGGAGAATTATGTCCTGTGTTGCTAAGCCTCCTACCAATGAGTCTGACACATCTGAAATCAATACAAGGACCCGTGGCATCATAAAAAAACTGGTGGAGAAGCAAATGTTTTAATTAAAGTAACCTGTAATATGTCCAAAGGAAACGGGACACAGGCACAGAACCTAGGCCACATTGTATTTGCCTTGGAGCCTGGCTGGGTCTCGTGACAGCACAGCTGGCAGGAGGCACACAGCCTCCCCTCGAGGCGATCTCGGCCACTTTCTCATCTTGACAGATCAGCATATGGACGCACTTACAGCTTGTAGATGAACACGGGGAAGAAAACAACCCTTCTCTTCCCTCCCTTGTTTCCCAAGCCACCTGTGGACTGCAGAGTGAGGATGCGGCCCCCACCTTGCCTCCAGTGCTGCCTCCCAGGTCCATCTCGGCAGCGTCTGGACCCCCTCGGAGGGGAGCGATGGATAATGAAACTCCCTAGGAGTGTGTCTCGGCTGCTTTGGGCTTTCCACTCTCTGTTTGAGATTTTGTGAAGGGACACCTAATTGCCCGAACTTAATTGTACTTTTTAGTACAATTACTAAATGTAGTACAATTACAATTACACAGTACTTTTTCTCTTTGTCCCTGGGGCGCGTTCTTGTTCCTCACATGTCTGGGTAGCTGGTGGGTGGTCAGCATGGCTGCTTTCTCCTTCCCCTCCCAGCAGTCAGCAGTGATTATTCTTTAAAAATTGAGAATTCCTTTTTCAGAGCATAGAGGGTGAGGCGTCAGCCCGGCCCCAGGAACCTGGGTCCTGGGAAAACAGCCAGCACACAGCCTTGGGTGAGCACCTTCTCTCCCTGAGCCTCAGTTTCCCCATCTGGAAACGCCACGGCCTTCCCGTGGGGCTGTCGACAGCCCTTCCCATACTATGGAGCTCTTAGGATCATACACACATTTAAGCAAAGGGGGTCGAGAGCCCCATTCCCGGGAAAGGGCCCAACTTTAAGTGTTGCAGAATTTATGGACTGAACAACTGCTTGGCTGATTAGCACAGTTTTGTCCCGATAGTAATGTTTTAGAGTGTAGGTGTCATGGAAGGAATGCAAACACAATGGGAGCTGGTCTTGTGCCTGAGGATAACACTTGTGCCTAACAAGGTAACACTTGGGCCTGAGGATACTGGCCTGGCCATGGTCCTACAGTGATTGGAGGGGAAGAGGCTCCAAAGGCTACAGAAGCTCCGTCGAGCCTGGAACACTGGTGGCCCTGCACGGTGCCCTGGGCCTGTCCGTGTCCTCAGCAGTCAAGGAGCACTGTCCACTCATTGAGTGACATCCTCATTGAGGATGCCTTGCCCGCAAGAAGGACCCTGCAGAGAGCCAGGAGCCTCTTCAGAGAGCCCCAGGGCAGCATCAGGATGAGGCAGGCTGTGTGGCTGTAATTAAGAGGCTACAGGTGGCTCTCTCAGGTGGACGCAGCAGACAGTGGCGCAGATGCGGCGGAGCTTGCTAGTCCTTATGCTGCCCTGTTGTGAGACGGATGGCCTTGGGAGGGTGTTTCCGCGTCCCTACGAGCGCATCACCTGTGGTCAGGCGATCACTGTATCCCTGGCCATGACATATTCTTTAAGTCGCTTCTTAGTTCCTAAGTCCCACCGCTCCCCATTGCCTCCTGAATGCAGTTGCTCTGATCCCAGGGCATGCATTTGGAGCCCTCTGGGACTGCTCCATGTGGTTCGTCCAGCTCTCTGGAACACTGTTCTCCACTTTCCCTTTGCACGACAAGCATCGTGGCCCTGTCTCTGTGCACCCCATGTGAGTGTCCTGGCCCTGTGTCTCTGTGCACCCTGCACTTCCACCCCCTGGGCCTGGAGCCCCATCTTCTCTCCATGGGTATGCTCTGCCCAGCCCACAGAACCCACATACCTTTCACACCCTCGGTCCATCCATTCCTGCCCTTTGTCTCATGCACGCCTCGACTCTGAAGCGTTTGCTCTCTTGTGTGGGTGCCTCGCTACCTACCCCTGGGCCCTTCTTGTTCCCTGTGCGGCCTGGCAGCCCTTGATGGCAGGGCTGATGTGTGTGCTGTTGTGGCCCCAAGGCCTCCCAGCAGAGCATCTGCACGGTGCTCCAGTGTGAAGCATTTGTGGGCTTGAAGGGGCTCTGAGTGTGAAAACCCGAGTAGTTTATATCTTTGAGACGTCAGGAGGCCATTCGAAAAATGCCTGGATTTGCACCTCCTGCCCACTGGCTGTCATGAACAGTCTCAGACAAGGCGAAGAGGGTAAGGAGAATCCAGTGAAGGTCTGTCTCTTCTCCATTTAGATTCAGCCATTAACTCTGCCACATCTGCTCTTTCCTTTTATCTGTCTGTATGTCTGTCTGTCTGTCTTGGGTGAACCATGAAACTTACTTTGCTTATGCCCTGTTGCTTCATTCCTAGATAATTTAGCAGACACCTCTGCAGAATAAGGGCACTCTTCTGTGATCCTGTTATCTCACCTAAGAGAGTTAGCAGGAATCTCCTTATCTTATCTTTTAAATCATTATCAATACCAGTTCACATTCAGGTTTTCCTGATTGTCCCTTAAAAATCTGCTGTAGTTTTTGTTAAAACTGGGTTCACTTGTGGCTTTTGTTATGCCCCTCCAATCTCCCTTATTCTAGACTAGTTTCTCAACATTGTACATATATTTGTGTGCAATGTACAATGTACACATAAATGGGTGTGTTCAGCAGCGTCCCTGGCCTCCATCCTCCAGGTGCCGGCAGCGCCACCTACTCCACCACCAGGTGTGACAACCCACACATTGCCAGGGACCTGCTGGCAGGCAGGATGCCCCATTGGAGAACTGTTCTAGCAGTCTCTTACTTTGCTTTTGAAGGTATTGACCCTTTGAAGAGACCAAGCCAATTATTTTGTCAAATGTCCTGCATTCTAGATTTATTGGGTCATTTCTTGATGGTGCCATTGAACTTGTTTCTTGATTCCCTGTATTTTCTGTAGCGTGGAAGTGGGGGCTAAACTAAAGGCTTTTTTGTGTTCCAGGGAAATAATTTTAGAAGTCTGCCTTTTAAAGTAGAGCAACTGGGTGGGCATGGTGGCTCATGCCTGTAATCCTTGTGCTCCAGGAGGCTGAGGCAGGAGGATCACTTGAAGCCAGGAGGTTGAGACCGGCCTGGTCAACATAGTGATACCCTGTCTCTACAAAACTAAAAATATTAACTGGGCATAGAAGTACATGCCTGTAGTCTCAGCTACTTGGGAGGCCGAGGTAGGAGGATGCCTTGAATACAAGAGATTGAGGCTACAATGAGCCATGTTTATGCCGCTGCACTCCAGCCTGGGCAGCAGAGTGAAACTCCGTCTCTAAAAATAAATAAATAATAAAATAAGATAAAAAAAATTAGAGCAACTTATGTGACTTTTTTTTTTTTTTTTTTAAACTGAGTCTTGCCATGTCGTCCAGGCTGGAGTGCAGTGGCTCAATCTCAGCTCAAGAGATTCTCCTGCCGCAGCCTTCTGAGTAGCTGGGACTACAGGCATGCATCACCATGCCTAGATAATTTTTTGTTTTTGTTTTTTGTATTTTTAGTAGAGACAGGGTTTCACCATGTTGGCCAGGCTGGTCTTGAACTCCTGACCTCAAGTGATCCACCTGCATCCACCTCCCAAAGTGCTGGGATTACAGGTGAACCACTGTGCCCCGCCCAACTTATGTGACTCTTTATGCTCACACAGAAACTACATTCTAGGGGTGCAGAGGGTATATTCATCAGATGGGAGAAGGCCACGGTGAGAATCACATGGCTCAGTCTGTTGGTGTCAGGGTCTGCACCGTATCTGCCCTAGATCTCTGGGCAGAGGTGTTGTTTCGGGGCAGTGCACTTTGCTCACTGGCAGGAAGGCAGCCCCGCTCTGTGCAGCCTTCCCCAGCAGCCTCCCTGAAGCAGCGGGGGGATCAGAGACAGGGAAGCACACTGTGTGTGTAAAATACTCTTGAGCCTAAAGTTGGAGTTTTCTCCTTTCCGCTTCCTGTTTTTTCATAGAAACCAACTGAAGGGTTATGAATTATTTGTTGACTTAAAAAAGTAGATGTGTGTTTTTCTGAGCTCTTTGTAACATTGAGATTTACCATGTTTACTCCAAAAGTGTTTCAAGGCCAAGTAGTAGTTGGAGACTAACCTGGTGAACTGTCACTTGTACCCTGAGATGCCTTTCCAGCCTCCGCGGTGGGCATTGTATGACCTGCACGTGAATGGATGGGTGACCCAAGCCACCCCTCTCTCCCTGGAGGTTTTGCTTGGTGTAGAATGTTATTCTGGGGACACAGCACTATATTTTTAACTATGGTCGAGATTAGAGGAGGCTGGGCCGGGCACGGTGGCTCACGCCTGTAATCCCAGCACTTTGGGAGGCTGAAGTGGGCAGATCATGAGGTCAGGAGATTGAGACCATCCTGGCTAACATGGTGAAACCCTGTCTCTACTAAAAAATACCAAAAATTTGCCGGGCTTGGTGGAGGGCACCTGTAGTCCCAGCTACTCAGGAGGCTGAGGCAGGAGAGTGGCGTGAACCTGGGAGGCAGAGCATGCAGTTAACCAACATCGTGCCACCGCACTCCAGCCTGGGCGACAGAGTGAGACTCCGTCTCAAAAAAAAAAAAAAAAAAAAAAAAAGAATTAGAGGAGGCTGAGTGTGGTGGCTCACACCTATAATCCCAGCAGTTTGGGAGGTCAAGGAGGGAGGATAGCTTGAGGCTGGAGTTCAAGACCAGCCTGGGAAACATAAGTAAGACCCTGTCTCTACAAAAAAAAAATTTTTTTTAAATTAGCTGGGCATATTAGTGTATGCTTATAATTCCAGCTACTCAGGAGACTGAGGTCAAAGAATTGCTTAAGCCCAGGAGTTCAAGGTTACAGTGAGCTATGATTGTGCCACTGCACTCCAGCCTGGGTGACAAGAGAGAGACACTATTAGTTACTTAACTCTGGCATTTGCTATTTCTGCACTAATTGTCAAAGTTGACTGAGCATTCTCAGTGCCCCTTCTGCCCAGTCATGGGCCATAAGCTTGTGTTTGGGATAGCATGTCTCTGTGTCATGTGTGGCTTGTTATGGTTGCCTGGAATGAACTTCAACACACCTCTGTTTGGCTGAGCGCTGCATTTGCAGGAGGTGAGAACCACTCAGGGCCTGAGGCAGAACCTGACCATGCTCATTTGGAGGAGAGGGCCTGGGGAGCTTAGTGCGCTCAAGAAGAAGGCAGATAGGGCTGTGTGTGCTGTAGAGGATGATAAACTGGGGGTGAGGGTGCAATGACGACACAGTGCCACATTTTAGAACTATGCTCTCATCTTGTGCAAACAGGTCTGTTTACAGCAGTTCATTTTTATGAGTTACAATTATTATTTCTGGATAATTTTGGTGTATGGTAATCATTAGAGTAAGCTGTGTGTCTGATTAAAGAATTTGTCTCTAATTTATGCCAATTTAAAGATGTCTTCTGTGTTCTCTTTGTCTCTGGGGGAGGGAAGCAGGTTGCTATGGAGACAACATAAGAAAAAGTGACAGGCAAGAAGGCTTGGCAGTTTCGATTTTGAAAATATTTGTGATGTAGGTAATTATATATGTAATAATGTTATGCAGCAGAACCATCTGCCTTTGGAGAGATGCATGTCATGGAATTTCATGGTAAAACAGTGTTTCTCTTAGGAACAAAATGTTATTTGTGTGCTATTAAGATATTGAAATTGTGGAAAATAAAGATGCAATGGAGCCCTAAGATTGTTTCCAGGGGTGCAGTTGCTGTATGATGTAAGGTGCCACCTATAGAATTTGGAAAGCTATTTTCACATGGAAACAAAACATTTGTATAGGAAGACTTACCTGAGACTGAATTATTTTATGTTGTAAATTGCTAAAATCAACTGTATTCAGGTTTATAACTGATTTTGATCAGTTTAAATGGCACAATTTTCTTTTTTAAAAAAAATTAAACTATACCTCATATTGTTTGGGGACCAATTTAACAAATTGGCCTATGGCAGTTTCCCTGTATCATCATTTTCCCAGGGATCTTGGCTTAGTTTTGCTCTAATCTGGAATTCCTTCTTTTACTCTTACACAGTTGAGCATTCCCCCTCCCCCATTTTTAAATTCTGGTGAGATTTAAAAGAAGAAGAAACTTTAGCATGCGATTTGTTAAATTCAACAATTCTGCAAATATTTACGGAATGCCTGTGCTGGGCACAGTGCTGGGCCCTCAGACACACATGCTGCTGCCCCCATGGGCTCAGAGTCTGAGCTTAAGCTCTGCTGAGACAGCATGCAACTGCCCTGTGGCACCTACCTGGCTCTGCTGGCAGAGCAAAGCTGAGGTTTTAGTTCACATCTTCATGTGATGGATTCGATATGGTTGCAGAATTGCAGATCCACAGACACTCCTGCCACCTGCAGGTGGGGCATATCCCTTCCCTTAAACCTGGGCTCCATGGCTGCTTTGACCAATCAAATACAGCAGAAGTTTCCCATGCTCGGTCTTCAGGGATGGGCAGCTTATGCTTCCTGTATCTTGGAACACTTGCTGTCTAGGAGCCCAGCCATCATGTGAGGAAGCCCAAGAAGCCCTGTGGAGAAGGGCAAAGGCTCCCAGTAACAGTTACAGCTAAGCTCCATGTGATTGAGCTTTCTTGGAAGTGGAGCCACCAGCACCAACCGACCCACCTGCAGCAGAGCTGTTCCCACCAAGCTCTGTTCAAGTTGCATATTTGTAAGCAGTCATTTGACTTTACTGTTTTAATACACTAAGTTTGGAGCAAGTTTGTTATGTAACAATAGATAACCAGAATACTGTTTTTTCTGTAATCCTGTACTGTTGCTGTGGGAATATGCCAGTGTCTAATTTCCTTGTCAGAGGAAGTGAGGTCAAGGGAATCTTGCCCTAGAAATACATGTGTTGAGCAGATGTCTCAAGCATGAGATACTTAAGCATCTCCAGGAAAAGGCAAATTCAGGTTCATTCTCTCTTACTGGCCTGCTAGAGAAGATCCTTAAAGAGGGCCAGTGTGGGCATCTGGAGAAGGACTGTAGGATCCAGGCCATCAGACAGAGGTGTCTTTGGCCATGGGCAGGTGGGGTTCATGTTCACAGAGGCCCGACATCAACACGGACATATGGACCCAGAGTGGCAGTGCTGGCCCCAGCACCTGTAGACCCACACCAACTTTCCGTGGCAGCCAGTACCTTAAACAAAACCCACAAATGTTGCCCAACTTTTTCTACTGTTGCCACTGGGAAGTGGGTCCAAACCCTCTGTGCTGTGGTCTGCCTGGGCATCATAGTTGTGTACCTGAGGCTGGTGGTCTCATATGCCGTGGCATCAACACCTGTTTATGGGCTGTAGGAAAACTGAGAGGTCATCACATTCAGAGATTCCCTTGTGCCAGGTCCTGCGCGGGTGATTTTGGTGACCATGACTGAGTTTTCTTGGCTCCAGTGGTGTGCTGGCAAACGTTTAACAGTTGGCTTCCTAGGAAGATGCCCTGAGTGATAGTGTTTGTCCATTTCCAGGGTGTAAACACTCCCACCTGGCCGATTCCAAGCTGCTTATGTGATGCCATGGGTTGGGAGAGCTGCAAACACTCCTGAGCTGGGAGAGCAGGCCTGGGTACAGCAAGGGAGGCGAGAACTGTGCAGTGTGTTATCTGAGGAAAGTTCCTAGCTCTCATGGGGAAGATTTTCCTTCCTTTTGAGTTTCCTATCCACTCCCTGCTGTGTAGGTGGGGAGGAAAGGGAGAAACGCTGTGAATCAGTCGACTGCTCCTCTGGCAAGCAGGACCCATTTCTAAAGCATGAGTCACTACAAAATGTAGCTTTTTAGATGGAAAAATCTATTTACAAACCCTAGGTGAGAGTAAATGGTTTGTTCACCTCCTGTGCTTACTTGGTAGAATGACAAATTGGACACTCCAGTATTCCAAGATTTATTATTGTGACAAAACATATATTACATAAATTTTACCATTTTTAAGTCTACAGTTCAGTGGCATTAAGTACGTCCCCCCTGTTTTGTAACCACTGCCACTATTTCTGAGCAACACCTTTCCAAACTGTGTCCCCATTAAACACGAACTCCTCCACGCTCAGCCCCCCCAGTAACCTCTGTTATACTTTCTGTCTCTGTGAATGACTATTCTAGGGACCGCAGAGTCAAACAGTATTTGTCCTTTTGTGTCTGGCTTATTTCATTTAGCACAGGGTCCTCAGGATTCATCGACATAGCCGCATGCGTCACAATCTCCTTCCTCCTTCATGCTGAATAATATTCCATTGTATGGCTAGACCACATTTTGTGTATTCATTCATCTGTTCACAGACATTTGGGTGTTTCTGCCTTTTGGCTGTTGGGAATAATGTCACTATGCGTGTAGGTGTACAAACATCTGTTTGAGTCCTTGCTTTGAGTTTTTTTGAGTATAGACCTAAAAATGATATTTCAAGATTTTTAATGTCACTGATCTGTGAAGTCCAAAGCGGGAAAGCCTGGTCTTTTCCGTGCTCCCTCGTTTTGTCTGTAGGCATTGAGCACAGTGAGGCTACATGTTGTTTTCAGAGTTGCCCAGCAGCCTGGAGACTGCTGGAGCTGCATCCCAGGGAGACAGTGGCTGGAGTAACACCAACCAGACAATGAGATGGGACATCTGGGGCTTTCAAGAGCTCAGGGCAAATGGCCTAAGCAGGTGGCTCTGCAGGTGTGGATTGTGTCCAGCTCAGGGAAGTGCCTGGGCCTGGTGGGGCCTGGAGTAAGGGGAGAGGTGGGGTCTGATGAGCTTACTCCAGGTGGGAGGCCCAGGAAGGAGGTTGGGTTTTCCTCCCGGGGTTCTCTCTGGGTGTAGGCAGGGAGGAAAGGGAGAAATGCTGTGAATTAGTCGACTGCTTCTCTGGCAAGCACGACCTATTTCTAAAGCATGAGTCACTACAAAATGTAGCTTTTTAAATTTAAAAATCTATTTACAACCTAGGTGAGAAATCTTTATTTTAATTGTGAAGGAAAACACAACCCCACTTGACACGTGGTGGAATTGCTGCTGTCCTTTCCTGTCAGAGCCTCCCAGTGGGCTGGGTTTGGGGATGGATGGGGTGCACACCCGCTCTGCTCAGTTCCTTCTTCCTCCTGGCACACGGGTTGATGACAGCTCTTCAGTTGAGTCTGTTCTGCTCTGTCTGGTAGGGAGCACACCTTTTTGGTTAATATGCCCATTTATGTGTGTCTATGGGGCCTCTGGAGAAAACGTTACTTGCAGAATTAAGCACAATTAAAGGAGAAGTGAGCCCTGCTGACCTGAAAGCAGGTGGGGGCTGCTCCTTGGCTGGGATAAAAGGCAAGGAGGCAACCCTGATAAATGGCAGCTGGCTAGGTGGTGAGGGGATGTCCTGCCATTTGCAGCAAGGCATTGGTTACAAGCCTGGATTTTGTTTAACATCTTTATTAATAATGCTGGAGGCAACAGTAAACAGCAATTTAATGAAATTCACAGAAGATGCTAAATCAGGAGGTGTTATAAACAGCAGGGAAGCCCTGGCGAGGTAAGAAGCATGGAGCGGAAGGAGTAGGGGCCGTGTCTGAGAAGAATGCAGATGGGCGCAACTGCGGTGGAGGGGGAGCCCAGTCTTCCAGGTATCCAGTAGGAGCGGATCAGCAAGCTCCGGGGCTGTCACAGAGCAGGCAGCTACGTGCTGGAGAGCACAGCAGTGGGGAGCATTAGACAGACAGATGCACATGAGCCCTTCGGCCCTTCCTGCATTTCTTTCTTTTTTTTTTTTTTGAGATGGAGTCTCGCTCTGTCACCCAGGGTGGAGTGCAATGGTGCAATCTTGGCTCACTTCAACCTCCGCCTGCTGGGTTTAAGCAGTTCTCCTGCCTCAGCCTCCCTGAGTAGCTGGGATTACAGGCATTCACCATGCCCAGCTATTTTTTGTATTTTTAGGAGAGACAGGGTTTCCCCATGTTGGCCAGGCTGGTTTCAAACTCTGGACCACAGGTGATCCGCCCTCCTCGGCCTCCCAAAGTGCTGGGATTACAGGTGTGAGACACCGCACCCAGCCCCTTCCCACATTTCTGTTACCTCTTTCTAGAAACCTGAATGTGAATGCCACTGAATTCAATAAATGACTGATTGAGCACCTGCATTGGTGTAACTGGTGGGCTTTGCGGAATTCCAGGGAGATAGCGAAACTTGGAATGTAAGCTGGTGAATGGGTGGTTGGTGCGGCTTGCCGGGCAATGGTCCGAATCGAGCCTCTGGGTGGCTGTGGTTTTGTTTGGCTTCTGGATGACTTGTCAGGGTACCAGCCACTGGTGTCTGATCTGGGATTTTCTTCCTCCTCTTCTTGACTCCTCACTTCCCTCCAACTCCATGAAATGAGGCTGCCCAGAAAAGGCTGAAGGAAGTCAGTTGGCTCGCTATGGAGGAGGGGCAGTTTTCAATTAGAGTCTGACCATGTTGTCGGGAAAGTAGGGGACTGCTTTGGCTGGTTATACGTGACTATAAATCCCAACTTGGACAGTATTTCATTTAGAATCCTGACAAGGAAAAACAATACAAAAGTCTCAAAATGAATTTGTTAGCAACCATCCTGACTGCATTGTGAGGCTTTCCGACAGCTCCAGGGAGGTTGGCTTGAGGTAGCTTTGCCCAGCTGGCTGGAGAAATGAGATCAAGTGGAGTGGCTTGAGGAGAAGTCGGCTGACCCACACATTTGACAGATCTTTTGGGTTCATTGATCTTTGTCAATGTTTCTTCTCCAGATAGCAACCTCCCTTTTCTTGTGTTAAATGGACTCACCTGATTGTAATCACAGAACTAATTGTTGTATAATAAAGACCCATTCTCTCTTTGCCCGTGGCCCAAAGCAGCCTTCTCCCCCACCCGTCAGTTCCCTCTGCCCCTGGTATTTCCCTGCTGGAGGAGTTAGACCTCCTGGTGAGCTGGTGTGGGGTAGGTGCCATACCAGGCTGGGCACTGGAAGAACAAGGGTGGATCAGACACAGTCTTGGCTTTATGGAACTTCTGTTGGGTGGGGGAGAAAGATGATTGGAATATAGTGGATGATGAAAAGACAGATGCTGCCCACACATCCCAGGGAAGCCCTGTGCTGAGCGGTGTGCAGGTGTCGGCAGCAGGGTAGGAGTGCACTCTGAGCAGGTGGAGGATGCAGTCCTGGGAAGGCTCGGAGGAATCTGAAAGCACAGTCAAGCAGTTGCATCACTTTGGGTGCTCTGGGCTGCAAGTCATGAACACCCAGTTTTTAAACTGGGTTTAAACCACATGGGCGCGGTTGCTTATTCTCTTCCTTGGCAAGAACTCTGGAAGTAGGTGGTCCCAGGGCTGCTTCTGAGCTCAGTGATGTACTCAGGACATGGCTCTTCCTCCCTCTTTGCCCTTCCACACCCTGGTGTGTCCATAGCATAAGGCTATGTGTACGCCAAACGCAGCCCGGGCATCTTGTCCTCCAGTGATAACTGCTGGGTGACAGGAGGGACGGACCAGGGCTCCTCAAACCTCCCTCATTTTATTAGGGAAGAAAGTGTTCCCAGAAGCATCCAGGACACTTCCCCTTATATCTCACTGGTGAGGACGTGGCCCCAGGATCTGCAGGGAGCCTGGAGAAGGGCATATCTGCCATCTGAAGCCTCTATCACCTAACAGGGGGCTGGGCTCTTAAAGCAAGGAAGATGGGGGCATTGGGTGGACACCAGCTGTGTCCAACACAGCAGGCACCTTTGAGCCATGTCAGGGCAGCAAACTGTGTGTCTACACAGGCATACTAAGGTCAGGTCAAGATGGCTTCATCTGTCACGTGTCAGAGCCTGGCCTTTATCCTTTACCTTGAGTGGGGAACGTGGGGATGGTTTTAAATAGGAACGTGACGTGGTCTCACTGTGGTGTGGTGTGATAGGGTGTGGTGTGGTGTGGTGGATGGGCTGGAAGGGCAGGGTTACAGCCCGTGGGTCGTTCTGAGGTCACTGAAGTAACCCAAGCCCATGAGGCAAAGCCTCCCGGGACACTGGTGTCAGAGTGTGGAGGAAGCTGACTCAGTGACTGCCCTCAGAGGCCTGGAGCAGTCCCTGCAAAAGACCTGTGGATTGGGTGGACGTGGCGGGCAGGGGAGGGAGGAGCTCTGAGACCAGCCCTGCAGTTCTGGTTGGAGGAAATGGAGGGCAGGCAGTGGTCACTGGACGGCGAGGAGGAAGGGGTGTTTCTGCCAATTGTCTTGGGTGTGCCGGGTGCCCCCATGCTGCGTCTAGGTAGGGGCCTCAGCAGGCTGTTGGAGGTGAGGCTAAGACGCAGACTGGAAGTGACTGGAAATAAAGCTGTCAGCATGTGGTTTATGGGTAAAACCACAAGAGATAAGATCACCCAAAGGGAGTGGCCCCAAAAGCTGGGGCAGAAGGGCTTGCCTTATTCTCCTGGGAGCATTGCTACCCTGGCAGAGGAGGGGCCTTGGGGCTGTGGGGGCAGCAGGAGGCCGGGGCCACGTGTGCTGTGTAGAGAGTTCTTGTGTAACAAACCTGCACACTGTGTACATGTACCCTAGAACTTAAAGTATTAAAAAAAAAGAGTCATAGAAAAGAGAAAAAAAAAAAAAGGAGTGGAGCCCAAGCCAGCCAGGCCCTGGCGTAGAAGACCTGTGAGACAAGGACTAAGAAATTTCATTGACATGAAACAAAAGGGGGATGATTGAAAGACAGCCAAACAGGAATCCTTTTTGAGGAGGACATCTGAACAGCCCTGGAAGAACGTCTCTGCCTGACACTCTTGCTGGCATCTGTGGGCTCTCTCTGTCCCGTGGACAGGACAATCAGAAGATGGGCTCCACTCCAGCTGCAACTCTGGTGACATTTAGCTGTGTGGCCTTGAGCCTGTGGCTTCACCCCTCTGGACTTGCGTCCTCACCCCTAAAGGGGAGCAAGATCTATGTATATTGGAGACTGAGTTCCAAGGGCTGCTGGGGGTGACGCGGACAGCAGTGTTTTGGGAGATCTGAGACTTGGAGGGTGGTAGGCACTGACACCACAGCCCAGGAGCTCTGCACCAGCTGTAGTGAGCTGAGGAGAGAAGGGGCACGTCGCTGAGCTCACACATCTTGGTGGAGGCAGAGTAAGATCTCAAATAATCTGAGAAAACAGCTTTTGTACTTCTAACCAGTAAAGCTGTCCATGGAAAAAATGAGCAGCGTTAAACCTTCAGTGGGACGACTAACCTCCATACACATCACAATTGACCGTGTTAAGCATCTACGTGTCTTTCTGTGTTTCTCTCTCTCTGAGCATTGCTCAATTATGGAATAAGAAGTCTGTAACCTCCCCTCATGGTCCCTGCCCCCTTACTAATGTCACGGGCAGAGGAAACTGGAGGGTAGGGGAGAAGGCCACTTTGGGTCATGGGTAAAGAGAGAATAAGTCTTCATTATACAATTGTTTTGTGATTAAAATCAGGAGAGTTGATTTAACACCAGAGAAGGGAGGGTGCATTCTGGAGAAGGTACGTTGATAAAGATCAGTGAACTCAGATGCTTTGTAAAATACTCAAGCTAGCTGACCCCTCCTCAAGCCACTTTACACCATCAGAACAGGGGTGGGAGGTAGCCGGGCCCTGATTTCAGCAGTGTGTACTCGGAGTGCACTCCTGCTTCTATGTGGGTTCCTCTCGGGAGAGCCCCTGTCTGATGTAGTTTTTTGCCTGTGATGAGTGCCTCTCTGGGTAGAGTTCTTCCTCGGTGACTCTGGATGCCAGGAAGGGTGCTGGGCTCTCACCTACGATTTTACTGAGAAGCTGCTGCTTCTGGAATCCTACACCCAGACCGTGTGACTCACCCTGTGAACTGCCACTGCTAGGACATCTAATGGGGGACATCGCTGCACAGTTGTACATCTAAGGATGGAGGGATGAGCTGGGATTTGCCCTGTGTTCAGGTTGCACGAGTTTGTTCCTTTTCTTTCTTCTGACATGGAAGCAGATGTTAGGAGTCCCGAGGAACCGGCATACAGAGTGGGGTCCACACAGAGCTGCGAATGTGGAACTGGGCTTCTACCGTGCCAGCGGCCACGTGAGCTGGGTGCCCATGTCCCATGGCTTGTTAACTTCCAAGTCTAGAATTTTCCCATGGCCATGACTGCACCCATTCATGGGGGAGCTGGGGCAGGAACAGGTAAGACAGCCAAGCAGTCAGTCTGAAGAACGGAGCCTGTCAGCTGCTGGAGGAGGAACCCGGGGGACATCGTGAGGTCTGGTTCCCAGCTCAGCATCGGTGGGGAGTGAGTCGGGAGAGAGAGTGAACTGGGATCCACTAGGCACCTGCCCATCATTGCATCTACTGTTGCCTCCCTGCCTGCTTCCAGGTCCTAACTACTTTCTCTCTGGCCAGCTCTAGCCCTGACTTAAAGGGAAGGGGATTAAAGGAAATAGCATTCTCAGCTTAGTGATCCCACCTTGAGGACAGTGTTTCCACACCTCACAGCATATCATTTATTTAGCTCCAAAACCACCCTCTGTGTTAAAACGGTGAGATCCACTTTGCAGAGGAGGAACCTGAGTCCAGGGGAGTTGGTCACTTGAGGGCGGTGCAGGGCTTATCCATGGAGAAGTGGCAGTGCACGCCCACCTGGCCGCAAAGCTTAAGTGCCTTGCTTCTGTGATACAGAAAGTCAGCAGAGAACACACAGCCCGAAGCCTGAGGTGGGGCAGAGCGTTTCCTGAAGGTGAGATGGCCAGCCATGCTCTGTAGGCTGATGGGTGCCCACCCTGCATGCTCACTGGAACCTCCTGCCCTCTCTAGCCAGTGCCCAAGGCAGGGTGAAACTGTGGGGTCACATGCTTGTCTGATCATTTGCTAGGACCTGATTTAAATTGGCATACAAATATATTTTTTTAAATTGTGGCAAAATATACATAACATAAAAATTTACCATTTTAGCCATTTGTAAGCAAACAGTTCAGTGGCATTAAGCACATTCTCATTGTTGTGAAACCATCACCACCATCCATCTTCAGAACTCTTTTCGTCTTCCCAAACCGAAATTCTGTCCCCATAAACACTTAACTCCCCATTCCTCCACCCTCCAGGCCCTGGCACCCACTCTTCTACTTTGTTTCTTTGAATTTGGCTGGATTTAAGTGGAATTACACAGTATTTATCCTTTTGTGTTGGCTTATTTCACTCAGCACAGTGTCCTCTAGGCTCATTCATGCTGCAGTGTGTGTCAGATCTCCTTCCTCTTTAAGGCTAAATCCTATTCCATCGTACGGTCATCCACATCTTGTTTATTCATTCGTCTGCTCATGGACACTTGGGGTTGTTTTCTGTAGACAATATTCTGGGAGCAATCACTCTTTTAATAAAATTCTGTCTTCCATTGAACCTTTTGGGTATCTTTTATTATGGTTTTTCAAATACAGAGTCCTTGGAGAACCTTGGTTGTTCTCTTTGTAGATACGTATTTGGAACTGCACTTACCATATCGTGAATGAGGCTACAGGTCAAATTCCCATCTGAACATCACCCTGATCTTGACCTTAGTCTGCTCACCAGATGGTTTGTCTCAGCTCCAGGTTTATGGCCACGATTGGTAAATAGACTCACTCCACATCTTAGTAATAGGAAGAAGTCATCCCGGGCTTCCCCAGACTTCAAGTATCTTTAGAATGTTGAGCTTCCGGCAGATTTTTCTCTACCAGGACCTACCACATCCTGCATGTGTTATAAACAGAATCAGTCCACCAGAATGAGAACAACCTGCCAGTGATGGGAATGAGATGAGGAAGCTCTCTCACCGGCTAGAAGACCAGATGTCCGAAGACCTTTTTGGGGGAGGGTGGGGTGTTGCCTAACACCAAATAACTATGGCCACTCAACTAATAGATCATTCTTCTCCCGCCTGCATCTGATTGCTGGCCTGGCTGTGGTGCTGGGCAGGCTGGACACCACCAGCTTCCCCCAGGCAGGGGAGCCCCCATCTCCCCCATACAGGGGATCTCTGTTGTGGCCTGGCACAAGGGAGCTGGCCCGGCTGTGGGTGGCCTTGCAAGACAGCTCAGCCAGGACCTTTCCCTCGAGGGCTCTGCCTTGCTCCTGCCGGTTGCCTTCCCACAGGTGTGCGGACTCGAGTTTGCTTGGATGGAACCAGGTGCCACAAGTGAAGCAAGTGGCAGACAGCTGCGGGGAGGGGTGCTGTGTTGTGGTAAGAGTAGTCAATAGAGGTTTTTGGAAACTGAGTAGAGACAGAAAACCATTGTCCTCTCCTTTTCTGTTCTATTAAAAAAAAAAAATCCTGCCTGGCCTCACCAGTTTCTGAGGCACGTGACAAAATTTAGTTTTCATCAGGGTCCTTCATGTGGCATGGCACAAAAAAAGACATTTCAGTATTTATTTGAAACTTTCTTGGCTCTCTTGCCCCCGTTTTTGTGGCTTAGAGGAAGGTGTGGATTTCTTCTACTTCACCAGAATTGTCCTTTCAATTCAAAATATGGGCTTCTGAGTTGCTGGATGAAATGTTCTAGAAACAGTCTTTGAGTGAAAATGTTATGCTTAACAAAACGAGCTTCAGTTTCCACTTCCTTTCTGCTATACAAACCTATGTGGTGCTGCTTATTAGGCAGAAATAGAAGAGCAGATGGAAGGGTGTGTGGTACGGATGCCTTCTGACCACAAAATCAAACAATAGACCTTTTCATCTCTCGGTCAAAATACAGCCTCATCACCTCTCCTCTCAGCCAAAAAGCAACACAGAAATGCACAGTTTGGGCATAGGAGCAGGCCCTGCCGGCCAGCAGGAGTGAGGGAGGGTGGTGTTTTCTTGCCCTTTCATCATGGCTGGACTTTGGCACTTTGTTCTCTAAGTGAAAACAAAAATAGCCACTGACTTGGGCTCTGACTATATTTGCTGTTTCTTTAATGCTTCTCTTCCTTGCTAAAAATACATTAGAGGTGATTAATCAAACACACACACAAACACACAAACCCACAATCAATGCAATTAAAAATATATAGGTGGAGAAAGACAAGAACCAGGTGAGAGCCCTGCCTTCCCTGCACGGACCAGGCTTGTAGAGGGGTGTGTCTCTCTTCCTCACTGTTTCTGTTCTGGGATTATGCCTGTTATGGGCACTGACCTCTCTTTCTTGGCTGCAGTGCCATTTGGGGGCTCAGTCCTCATTTAGCTGACCTTAATTTGGATGGTTCCCAACTTTCCATCAACTGGCATTGCACATGACTGGCTTTGTGGAGTTCCACCTCTCTCGCTCACACCCCATTCACAATGAGGATAGAGGGGCTACCGCCTGGAGCATGGGAGGATCCTGAACTTGGGAGCTTCCATGAGAGAATGTATTTGAGTTGTTCTCAGACTACCGTTTTTGCTCAGCACTTTTTTGGGGGGCTCAGTATTATTTCCAAAACATTTTGTGTAATTACATAAGGTTTCTACTTCTTTAATTTGCCAAGTAAAATGTTAAAAAATTTTCACCATCACTTAATAAAACAAGGAACATTTTAGTATTGCAAAAGGAGGAAGAACAGCCATTTTTATCCGACATAGAATTGGAAGCTCTAGACAGAGAAATTAGGGAAGGAAAATAAATTATTGGCTTCCAAATTGGAAAAAAAAAAGTAAAATTATCTCTGTTTGCAGATGATACGATCTTATGCATAGAAAACTCTAAGGAGTTCTCAGAGTTTTCAGAGCTAGTAAATGAATTCGGCAAAGTTGCAAAATATAAAATTAAAGCTCACAGTTCAGTTGTATTTCTATAGACTTGAACAATCCGAAAAGGAAATAAAAAATTCAATTTGCAATCTCATCAAAAAGAATAAAATACTTGGGAATAAACTTGACCAAAGAGGTGAAAGATTGGCACACTGAAAACTACAACATGTTTTTGATACAAATAAGTGGAAATGCATCTCTTGTTCATGGATTGGAAGACTTAATATTGTTGAGATGACACTACTACTCAAAGTGATCTACAGATTCAGGGCAATCTCTATCAAAACCCCAATGGCGTTTTTTAGAGAAATAGTAAAAAAGCACTCTAAAATTTATATGGAATCTCAAGGGACCCCAAATAACCAAAACAATCTTGAAAAGGAGGAGCAAAGTTGGAAGACTCACACTTCCTGATTTCAAAATGTACTATAAGCAATAGTAATCAAAACTATGTTATTAGCATAAGGGATAGATATATAAACCAATGGAATACAACAGAGATCCCAGAAACAAACTGTCACATGTATGGTCCATTGGTTTTTCAACAAAGAAGCCAAGATCAGTCAATGAGGAATGGGCAGCCTTTTTAACAAATGGTGCTGGGAAAACTGGATATTCTTATGCAAAACAATGAAGTCAGACCTTTATCTAACATGGTCTAGAAAATTAACTCAAAATGGGTTAAAGATCTCAACATAAGAGCTAAAATTATAAAACTGTTATAAGAATACACAGGTAAAAACCTTCATGGCCTGGAATTAGGCAATGATTTCTTGAGTGTGACACCAAAAGCACAGGCAATACAAGAAAAAAATACATAATTTGGATTTCATCAAAACGCAAAAGTTTTGTGCTTCAAAGGATACCATCAAGAGAGTGAAAAGATAACCTAAAGAATGGGAGAAAATATTTGCAAATCATTGTTTAGTAAATAATGAATATCTGGAATATATAAAGAACTTCTATAACTCAATAATTTAAAAAACCCAATTCAAAAATGGGTCAAGGTTTTCAGTAAACATTTTCCCAAAGATATACAAATGGCCAGTAAGCACATGAAAAGATGCTTCATGTCATTTGTTACTAGAGGAATGCAAATCAGAACCACAGTGAGAAACCATTCCCACCTGTTAGAAGGGGCATTTTCCAAAAAGTAGAAGATAATAAGGGTTAGGATGTGGAGAAATTGTTATGCTAGTGGGCATATAAAATGGTACAGCTGCTGTGCAAAACAGTGTGAAAGGAGTTTGAACATGCAATTACTGTATAATTTGAACACAGAATTAACTATATAATCCAGCAGTTCTATTCCTAGGCTTATACCCAAATGAATTGTGAACCGGGACTGAAACAGATATGTGTACACCAATGTTCATAATTGCATTATTCATAATAGCCAAATGTCCACTGACAGATGACAGGGTAAACAAAATGTGGTATGTATACACAGTTGAGGAATATTCAGCCTTAGAAAGAAATGAAGTTATGACACGTGCTGCATGGATGAACTTTGAAGTCATTATGCTGAGTGAAATAAGTGAGGTGCATACAAGTCATGCACAGAGGAACCATGGACCTGGAATAAAAAGTCAGTCTTCCACATCCTAGTCAGCCTCTCTTAATTTTTTTCTTTTCAATAACAGCCATTCTAACTGGGTGGAGGTGATATTTTATTGTGGTTTTAATGTGCATCTTCCTGGCTGGGCCAGGTGACTCACGGCTGTAATCCCAGCATTTTGGGAGGCTGAGACAGGCAGATCACTTGAGCTCAGGCGTTTGAGACCAGCCTGGCCAATATGGCAAAACCCTGTCTCTACTAAAAATACAAAAATTAGCCAAGTGTGGTGGTGCACGCCTGTAATCCCAGCTACTCGGGAGGCTGAGGCAGAGAATTGCTTGAACCTGGGAGGCAGAGGCTGCGGTAAGCCGCGATCGCGCCAGTGCACTCCAGCCTGGGTGACAGGGTGAGACTCCATCTCAAAAAAAAAAAAAAAAAAAAAGTGTGCATCTTCCTGATGGTTAGTAATGTTGAGCATTTTTTCATAAACCTGTTGGCCATTTCTGTGTCTTTTGAGAAATGTCTCTTCCTTTCCTTCCCCAATTTTTAATGGGATTAAGGACGTGGAGAAAAGGGAACTCACATATACTATTGGTGGGAACATAAATAAGGCAGCCACTATGGAAACCAGTAGGAAAGTTTCTCAGAAAACGAAAACTAGAACTATCATATGATCCAACAATCCCACTGCTGGGTATTTATCCAAAGGAAAAGAAATCAGTGTATCAAAGGGATACCTGCACCCCTGCATTTATTGCAGCACTAGTCACAATAGCAAAGATGTGAATCAGCCCAAGTGTCCATCAACTGATGAATGGATTAAAAAAAAAAAACACAGGGGATACTATTCAGCCTTTCAAAAGAATGAAATCATGTCATTTGCAGCAACATGGATGAAACTGCAGGTGGTTATGGTAAATGAAACAAGCCAGGCACAGAAAGGCAAATATTGGACGATCTCACTCATATGTGGAAGCTAAAAAAGGTGCTCGCATGAAGACAGAGTAGAGTGCCAGATGCCAGTGTCTGGAAAGGATGTGTTGGTGGTAGGGAGGTAAAGAAAGGTTGGTTAAGGGTATAAACATACAGTCAGAAGGAATGAATTCTCGTGTTTGATAGTACAGCAGGGTGATTAGTTAACAACAATTTATTGTATATTTTACAATAGCTAAAAGAGATTTGAATATGTCCCAACACAAAGAAATGATAAAGATTTGAGGTGATGGATATGCTAGTTACCCTGATTTGATCATTACACATTGTATGTATCAAAATATTATATGTACCCCATAAATATGTACAATTATTATGTATCAGTAAAAGTTCCTCCAAAAAAATAAAAAGAGTCCATCCTTCAGCAGAGGGAGTGCATTGTTGGAGGGGCAAGGGTGAGAGGCCAGGAGAGCAGGCCCTGGGCTTAGCCTCCAGCATCCACAGCACGCGTGTGCCCTGGACTGGGCCTAGGAAGGGTGGTGCCCTGGTGGCCTATGCTGGCCCTGTGGAGCCTGGCCAGGCCTTCCCTGTACCTCCTCCCTAAAACCCTGGGATGGCGTGGGCTCCTTTCTTCTACCACTGACATCCAGTGTTTCTGTTAAATTAGGTGGTCTGCCTAAGGACTTTTTGGTTTGCTAAAAGACAAAACAAAACACAGGAAATAAAGCACATTTTCCAGTTCTCAGCCAGCAGCGCAGGTCCTCTGTGACCACATGGCATCCCCAAGGTGTCCGCGTGTATCCCACATGGGGACTCAGCCAGCTGTGAGAGGGATGGACCTGCCCCTGCCTGGGGCTACGGTCCCCATACTCTCCCATCAACAGGGTCTGTACTCACTGCACCCTTCAGGGTGAAGAGGGCACTGTCCGCCCCTGTGGCCATCAGATGGTGTGATCCCACCTCTTGGCAGAGGCTGGCACCACGCCCTGATGCTTCTCCATCCCAGACAGGGGGAAGCAGGTGGTTGGAGAGAGGTGGGAGGATGAGGTTGCCACCTTCTCCTGAAACCAGCATGGGTGCTGCTGCCACAGATCATGAATGCTTTGTCCCCCTTTGCTGCCGTCCCATGCAGTCAAGTGCCCTGATAACCAGGAGTTGGCTGTTACCAGATCCAGAGCCCTCAGAGGCTGCGTGAGCACCAGCCACGTGAGCAGCCTACCTGGTGTGTTTCCCAGAGCCGACAGAGCCAAGAGGGGCGTTCTGAAGCCCGAAGAAGCAGGAGTGGCCACTAGGAGCTGCCGTGTGCTCGCTGTGATGGAGTTGCCGAAGTGCTTTGATTCCTCGGTTATTTCAGGCATTGTCCCCCTTTGGGAGTGGGCATGGCCTGCCCATGTCAGTCCTAGGTCAGTGGCTGGAAATGAGCAGAATGGAAGCGTAGGAAGGGCTTGAGGGGTGTGGGCACATGCTTCAGCTGCGGGCTCCATTCAAGCATCGGTGGAGGGCAGTAGCACCATGCAGACAACTGGAGCTCCTTAGTGCTCCCTGGGTAGCCCTGCACCTCTCCATGGCTCTCCCCTGAATTCTGCCCCCCACGTGATGCTGCCCCAACGTGGAGATCCGGGATGTGTCGTTGTCTTTCCTTGCAGAGCCGTGGAGGACAGCCTCTGAGCCATCCCTGCTAGTCTCTGCTCCTGGCACATGAAAGTGTTCAATACATGTTTGTGCAGAAAGTGAAATTAAAATCTGTCCACTTGGTAGCTGGATGTGGTGGCACATGTCTGTTGTCCCAGCTACTCCGGAGGCTGAGGTAGGAGGATCAGATCACTTGAGCCTGGGGGGTGTGGGTTGCAGTGAGCCATGATTGTGCCACTGCACTCCAGCCTAGGTGACAGAGTGAGACTCCGTCTCAAAAACAAATTCAATCAATAAAATCTGTCCACATGGCTCATTAATGGATAGAATGTTAAGAGCTGGAATAGCTTCAGGGTTTACCTAGCCTCGCCCCTTGTTTTACACAAAAAGAAACTGAGGCCTGGTCTCCCACTTCTGCCCCTGCTTGGCAGGCCTAGAGAGTGTGTGTGCATGTGCAAATGGAGGGGGTGTGGGCATTGGGAGTTTAAACTTGGCTTGAATAGCTAATCAGATCTATCAAAATTAGGTTTTTACCAAGCATAGTAAAATAAGACTTGTTTGGTATTATTAGTGATGCTAAAACTATATGTCACATATTGGACAAATAAGCACATTTTCAGATACGCATGTGGGATTTTGATTGCATGCTGGGTTTAGTCCAAGATTAAATCTGCATTTTGTTCTGATGTAAAAGGGACTTGAAGCAGTTTTTGAGGTCATGTGCATAGCAGCAGTGATGGAAATGTCCTGTGTCTGCTCTGTTCAGTACAGTAGCGACCAGCCACAGGTGACTACTGAGCTCATGAATGTGGCCGGCGTGGCTCAGGAAGTGGCTTTTAAAATTTCATTTTGCCAGGCGCAGTGGCTCACACCTGTAATCCCGGCACTTTGGAAGGCCAAGGCGGGCAGATCACTTGAGGTCAGGAGTTCAAGACCAACCTAGCTAACATGGTGAAACCCCGTCTCTACTAAAATACAAAAATTAGCCCAGCATGGTGGTGGGCACCTGTAATCCCAGCTACTTGGGAGGCTGAGGCATTAGAATCGCTTGAAACCTGGAGAGGGAGGTTGCAGTGGGCTGAGATCATGCCACTGCAGTCCAGCCTGGGTGACAGAGCAAGACTCTGTCTCAAAAAAATTTTTTTTCATTTAATTCTAGTCAATTAAAACTGAAATTTAAATAATTACCTGTGGCTAGTGGCTACTCTAATGGACAGCTAGAGAACTGCAGCATAACCTTATCTTTTTAAAAATCTTATTTTAAAAAGAATTTTGTGGGTTTGAAGGAAAGATTGTCTGGAAGAAGGAAGTGACTGAGACATAGCTTTTTGACACCTGGCCTGGAGCCTTTTCGTTTAGACCAACCAACTAAGCTGGATGACACCAGCACAGTCCCTTAAATTCCCTGGCCTCAGTTTCCTCTTGTGTAAAATGAGGTTCTATGGCTTCTGCTAGTTCTGAGATTCTATCTTGCCCCATTCTTGGCAACTGGGATATGAAGAGCTCTATTTTAATAACGATAATAATAAAGAAGGCTTATTAAACACTGGGGATCCGGCTGAATAGTCCTCAAACCATTGTACTCAGCTGGGTGGAGAGACCTGCAAGTAACCAAGGGAAGTTTCAAAATGTGGGTTTCCGGGCTCCGCTTGGACCCATTTCACAGGGACCCGAAATCTGCACGTTAACAGGTTTCACAACGATTCTCACACAAACAACTCCCTTTAAAGATACAGGCCAGGCCGACTCCCCACTGGGGACTGGGTGGGCTGACCCACCTGGCCCACTCACACTCACCATGTGGAGTTTTCTCCTGAGAGTTAGGCCAGGGAATGATTTTTAATGTGGGATGCTCCACGTTCCTCTCTGGGACTTCCCATTTGCAATGTCTTAAGTCACTTTCATGTTTGAATTTAGAAAATCAAAAGATGACCGTCTTGTTTCCTGTAAATATCAGGAACAGAGAGGAGAGCAGGTGGTGTGTTTGTCCTAGACTTAAATTTTAAGATTTATTTTTATAAGTTAGTTTCAAGTTTGCTTTCTTTCGTTCTTAAAATTGAGATAGGGTCTCGCTCTGTTGCCCGGGCTGCACTGCAGAAGTGCGATCCCGGCTCACTGTAGCCTTGACCTCCTGGGATGAAGTGATCCTCCCCTCTCAGCCTCCCGAGTAGCTGGGACTATAGTCGCTTTCCACCATGCCAGCTAAAAGTTTGCTTTCAAAGAGTCCCTATTCTAATCTGTTGTTGGAGCTCTCCACAATGAATCACCAAAATACCATTTTAATATTAGAGTAGTATTTTGTCAGGAAAAAATAGGCCTGACCCTGAACAACTTATCTGCATAGCTGTAATATTGTCATTTTTGACTCAGGCTAAATCACTTGTTAATTTTAGGAGGAAATGTCAGAGGAGGTTGTCCCCAAATAGCAGTTATTATCTGTTTCCCAGGTTTATGAACCCAGCTCACAGCTCTGCTTGTCAACATCTGCAGAAGGAACTTAGAGAAAGACTGGCTCCTTTTACATTTTTTTTGTTACAATAGTTAATGTAAGAGTAGTTATGTAAACAGATCAATAAGCTCATTTTGAACATGACCCTGCCAACTGTTTCAAAGCTAAAGTCACATTGACTCAGGAAGGTCAGCTGTTTCATCTACAGTGTCTGTGGCCCATGGAGGAACTGGAGCCATGTGAGGTCTAATGACACACGTGGCCCATGTGCAGTCCTCATCGTTAAGTAAGTACCCTGCTGACCTCTTAAGACATAAACCAAAAATAAACTGTAGCAACCACTTCTTTTTAAGTCCCTTTAAAGTTTAGATTTTTACTGTTCTTAGGGTGACTTTGTGGCTCATCACTCTTAGCTTTTTCTCATTGCTTCTTGAATCGCTCCCCTTTCCTGAGTGTTTCTTGGTCTGCCATCTTGACTTCTCCCGGGGCCATGCATCTGCTCCCTTTGTGGCTCCGTTTGCTCCTAAGTCTTTGCAGGATCTCCACGCAGAAGGCGTGGTGCTGGATCTTTAGGGGACATTCAGATATAGACATGCTTTGTGCCATTAAGGAACTTGTGGCTTAGTAAGAAGAACAGCTGGTTACAGAAATGAACCAGGACCCCTACAGCTGCAGGAGAGAAACTAACTGGAATCAGTCAAAACACAGAGAGAAGCAAAGCCGTGTGGTGGCCCAGATAACCAAGGGTCCTGAGGTAGATGCATCCACCATGGCCGGGTTCATGGCTCAGATGATGCCATCAGGACTTGGTCTCTTTCTAGCTCTGGGTCCCACCAAGCTTTTCCATGGTGGCCTAGCAGCTCCACTGTCCTCTTCATAGGTGCAAGAGGGCTTTAGGGGTCTTTGTCATGTTTCTGGGGTCTTTGCTGGAACATCTGCAGAACTCACGAGATTCACTCCGGCTGAGTGAACTGATGGCAGTGGCAGTGGTTGGCTCAGACTTAGGGTGTGTGTTTTCTCCTGAAATTGAGAGGATCCCACCCAGGCCTCAGGGGCTGAAAGTTGGGGGAAGGAGCTAAGAGAAAATTGGTGCCTGTAGCTAGAAGAAGCTCTGTGAATGTCAGGCACACAAAGCTACACGTCCATGCCAGAAAGTCACAATACTAAGGGACTTCTCAAGTCCTGGTTCTCAGGTCCTTAGGGGTCCTGGTTCATTTCTGTAACCAGCTGTTCTTCTTACTAAGCCACAAGTTCTCACAGTCAAGTAAAAACCAAATGCGACTGGAGTTATGAGGATGGTGACATTGAAGCTATCAGGGACTGCTTCATGTTGGGTGCTTTGTGTGGGCTCCCGGGTCTGCCTGGGCCCTGCCCTTCATCCCTGTCTGCTTCTCTGGGAGATCCCTGGCTCTTGGGATTGTCTGTGTGTGGGAGATTCCCCTGGATCTGGCCTGGCCATGCCCACTGGCTTCATGGGGTACACGGCAGCTCCCCTGCTTCTGTGCTGTGCTCCCTGCAGGTCACAGGATCCACTTCTCTGCAAGTGCCAGAATCTTGTGCAGTCCTTTCGGGTCCAACGCAAGTTCTTTTTCTGGGTAGGTCACCCCCCAGCCAACTGGAGTCAACACTTCCTTTCCCGAATTCCCGCTCACTCTGGCAATCTCCCTTGGCCCTTCGGTCGCTCCGCCTTTCATCGGTTTGTCTGCAACTGCAGTTCCCTGTAGGCTTCATGATGGTGACCGTCATTCCTGATGTTTCCCAAACAAACGTGCATTGGTGCTTTTCTGGCTCAAGGGGCATGGGATTTACATTTGCTGTGGGTAGGAAAGAGTGGGGAATAGTTCAGTGTTTTCCTTTATTTGTAGGAAAGTGATGCCCAGACACAGGTACGAGTGTCTGGTTTGGTACTTTTACTCTCTCTTGACACATACAGGCAATCTCTAATGGCTGTGTTTTCATGCTGCAAATGATGTACTTGCAACGTTTGGCAAACATGGTGCTACTTGCTTATAATACTGTCAGAAATTCAATCGGCAGCCCTCCTAGTCCCCAGGAATGTGCTTGGTGGCAGGTGTTAGCAGTGCGTGTCTATCCCCCAAAGGCTTTTATTGTCTCATTAATGAGCAGGTGCAATAAATGTGTTGTAGACAGCATCTCTGTTAGTCTGAAGATGTTTGGGATGTGTGTTCTATTTCCACATGTCACCCTGTAGAGGAAAACCAACTGTTTTCCTTGATACCCACAATGCACCCAGAACACTTCTGATACCAGATGTGTGTGGGGTTTTGCCACACCAAGCAATTCTCCAGTTGTTTGCAGATGCCAACTGGGTATTCAGTTCAGTTCTGACCCCTTCCATGTGGAGCTAGTATGGACCCTGCAGGTTAAGGGCTCAATCTCATCAGGCTGCCTTCACTTCAGAGGCCAGTTGCAAGAGGTGTCTTCAGGTTACCTGGAACTTCTGTGTGGCGTGGCTGCAAATCTGGTTTATTATATTAGTGGAGGGCATGATAAAAGATACAGGCAAGCAGCCAGATGGAGAGGTACATAGGGCGAGGTCTGGAAGGGTCCTGAGCACAGGGGCTTCCGTCTCTGTGGAGTTAGATGTACCCTCTCCAGGTGGGTGGATGCATCCACCAGCCAGAATCTCCCCAAACTCCAACTTGTAGGGATTTTTATGGAGGCTTCTTCACACAGGCATGATTGGTTATCAACACAATATCCAGCCCCTCTGCCCTCTTTGGAGGATGGGGTATGGAGCTGAAAACTCCAAGTTTCTGGTCATGGCTAGGTCTTTCTGGTGACCAGCCTTCATCCAGGAGCCACCAGAGTCACTTCATCAGCACAGAAAAAAGGTTTCCATCACCCAGCAAATACCAAGGGATTAGGAGCTCTGTGTTGGGAACCTCAATCAAAGACCAAATATCAGAACAAAAGATACTCCTAGCCCCGCTATCACTCAGAAAATTACCAGGGATTTAGGAGCTCTGTGCCAGGAACCAGGGACAAAGACCAAATATGTATTTTTATTATGTCACACAGCTGTTCCCTTCCCCCTTTTTAGTACACTTCTTATTTGGAGCAGTGGTGAGTAGAGTATGAGGAATTCTGACATACCCACACCCCACTTCCTCTGTTGTTAACACCTTACATTAGCATGGTACTTTTCATACATTAACATGATAGTTCTCCATTTGCAAAGCTGTAGTTTTTTCCTGCCATCCTTTTTCTGTCCCAGGATCCCATACTGCCTCACAGCTGTCATGTCTCCATGGACTCCTCTGGCTATGACAGCTTCTCAGACTGGTCCTGGGGTGGTCACGGCAGGTGGATAGTGGCCTGGAGCTTGAGAGCCCGATACGGGAGGGATTTGGGATGTGGGCTCTGAATTGGTGGGTTTGCATTAAAAAGGCACACTCATGAGCAAGTTGTTCACTATCTCTAGGAATTGGCAGCCCCTCCAGGGTCAGGAAGGCCCCAGATGTGAAAGCATCAGCATACAGAAAATAAGACATGGTGACTACATCTAGGTACCTCGTATAACTGGAATCATAGAATATTTGTCCTTTGTGTCTGGCATGTCACTTAACATCATCCAGGCTCATCCATGTTTTGGTATGTGTTTAGATTTTTTTTCTTTTCTTTTTCTTTCTTTTTTTTTTTTTTTTGAGGCGGAGTCTCGCTCTGTTGCCCAGGCTGGAGTGCAGTGGCGCAATCTTGGCTCACTGCAAGCTCTGCCTCCTGGGTTCACGCCATTCTCCTGCCTCAGCCTCCCAAGTAGCTGGGACTACAGGCGCACGCCAGTATGCCCGGCTAATTTTTTGTATATTTAGTAGAGACAGGGTTTCACCATGTTAGCCAGGATGGTCTCGATCTCTTGACTTCGTGATCCGCCCGCCTCAGCCTCCCAAAGTGCTGGGATTACAGGTGCGAGCCACCGCACCTGGCCGATTTTTTTTTTCTTCTTAAGGCAGACTAATATTCCGTCGTATGGATATACTATATATTGTTTATCCATTCAAATACGGACATTCCTCAACTTGGGATGGTTTGACTTTAGAGTTTTTGACTTTATGATGGTGCAAAAGCCATATACTTCCAGTAGAAATCTGTAACCCTGGCCAGGCATAGTGCCTCACGCCTGTAAACCCAGCACTTCCGAGAGGCCAAGGTGGGGGGCTCTCTTGAGGCCAGGAGTTTGAGACCAGCCTGGCCAACATGGTGAAACCCCATCTTTACTAAAAAAAATGGAAAAATTAGCTGGGCATGATGGTGCATGCCTGTTATCCCAGTTACTCGGGGGGCTGAGGCAGGAGAATTGCTTGAACCTAGTAGGTAGAGGTTGAAGTGAGCTGAGATAGTACCACTGCACTCCAGCCTGGGCAACAGAGAGAGATCATCTTAAAAAATAAAAATAGGAAAGAAAAGAAACTGTAACCCCATTGTAAGTCAGTCTTCCACTTATGGTGGGGTTATGTCCTGATAAACCCATTGTAATGTCAGAAAATCGTAAGTCGGGGATCATCAGCTATGTCACCAGCATTAAGTACATTTTTTAACTTATGATATTGTTGACTTAAAATGGGTTTGTCTGGACATGACCCTATCATAAGTGCTGGAGCATCTGTGTTTGTTTCTAGAGAAGATAAAAAATTCCACTTCATTTCTAAATCCCCTAGGAGTTCACTGGCCAATAGGACTCCCTTTGGGGGCTTTGGGGGCTTCTCCCATCTCGGCTAAGGGACAGCTCAAACAGGAAGGCAGGATAGGTCAAACTCATTTGCAGTAGGAGTTGGGTTGAATTGTGTAAGACAAAAGTACACTTTGTTATGTGTGATTAATTGTCACAGTTCCTGAATGTCAGCACGGACAGAGCAGCAGAGTTGGCTTCTGGGACACAGTTTCCATCTGCTGTCCCTGCCTGGAAGGAGGCTTAGGTGGCTTGCCTAGCATGGACTTAGTGACCCCATCTCCTCTCCTCCCGGAGCCAGGCCAGAGCGGCTTTGCCGAAGTCTCGGATGAACTGTCAGGCTGGAGCAGTTCTTCATCCAGGGGCTGTTTCCTGCTCTAATTACTGCTCTTTCTTCTACAGCTGAGAGGAATTGGTGGGTGGATGTGGGAGAGGTGAGCTAATGCGATGACATTTTGACAAGTGTGTTACAATAAAAAATAACTCCCCTGGGAGAAGGTTAATGCAGTTATCACCACGTTCATGTTGGCAGCCTTAGATCTGTGCCTGGTTGGGGCAGGATGCTTTGCTTTTCTCGTGCAGACCAAGTCTCACCCACATTCTAATGGCTAGTGCTTAAATTTTTTTCCAGAAACATCTATGAAGAATAAATATCGTGCTCTGTTCATAGATTTTTCCACTTGGGCTTTTTGCTGTATTTCTTTATTCCATGATAAGCTACTTCTTTCCACCTACTAGTTAAGTAGGCTGCTTCCCTCTGCTCTCAGATGACATGTGGCTGAGGACTTCATACTAACATTAGCCTAAGTAAAAATATAATTAGTATTTTTAGTCTGCTTCCAAATTAAATCTTACCGTGCATGCTAAAAGAGACTACAGAGCATTTGGGATTTATTTGTTGTGTTGGATCTTCTATTCCTTGTTCTCCTCTTATTCATTTTTAGTAATGTAGAATTTACTCTAGCTGGATTAGATATTTGCCATTAAGAAAAACAGCTTTATTGAGATGTAATTCACATGCCATGTAATTTGCCCTTTTAAAGTGTTCAACCTAGAGGCTTGCAGTATATTCACAGAGTTGTGTCCATCACCACAATACATTGTAGAATATTTTATCCTTTTTAGTACTGATGTGTATGAATCTGCCACGTTTTATTTATCCGTTCATTAGATGATGGACATTTGGGTTGTTTTCACTTTGGGGCTATTATGAACAATGCCGCTACAAGTATTTATGTGTAAGTGTCTGTTTGGTCTTAAGTTACGTTTCTCTTGTAGTGGAATGACCAGATCATGTGGTAACTCTGTTTAACCATTTAAGGAACTTCCAGGCTATTTACTAAAGTGGCTGCATCACTACCACCCAACAACATAGGAGAATTACAGTTCCCCATATCCTTGCCAACACATACTATGAACTGTCTTTTTGACTGTAGTCATCCTAGAAGGATCATTTTTTCAGAGTTGGAAAATGGTAGAGAGTAGTTGCTAAAAGTATAAATATGGCTCAGGTTAGTACTTATCACTAACTGTGTTACCTGGCTGAGTCACTTAATTTCTCTGAGCCCTGGTCTGCCTATCTATCTGTAAATAGGAGATGGTTACACCTGTCCCGTAGGGTGCTTGTGAACACTGACTGAGGGGGAAATGAAACAGCACAGCGTCTCCCATGCTGTAATGTTCAATAAGCGTGGACCTTTCTCATCATGCCTAAAAGGAGACCAACTGTGAGTCTCTGCCCCTCCTTCTACCCTGTCCATCCCTTCTTTCTGGAAAGGGGTGATTGATTAACAATGTTTTAGAGAAATGTGGGATCATCCAAAGCAAAGATGAGTGGATAGGAAGCATCATGGTGATGGAACCAGGAGCTCTATGAGCTGTTTCTGGATATTCCCTGATGATAATTAAAGGGTCCCCTAAACACAGCTGAGACTTCCATTTTATACTTGAAAACTAAATTTTAATGCAAAATTTTATCGAGGTTCAATTTATACACAGTAGAATTCACACTTTTTGGTTTACAGTTCTGTGAGTTTTGACAAACAACTGCAGTTGAGTGAGCACCACTGAGACAGGAGAGTTCCCTTACCCCTTTGTGAGACTTGCGATAGGGGTGTGGCTTGCTTACTTGGCCACCATGTGCTCAAACCCCTTGCAGGATGGGAAGCACGCAGATGAGTGGGTGCTGGGGCCGGAGCTAGTGCTTTTGGGCTCCATCCCACAGCAGTGGCGAGGGGTGTGTTACAATTAATGCTCCTTTAGCAGTTGCTGTCCATGGATGGCTAGGTGTTAACCAGCTCAGTGGACAGTCAGGGTGACAGCTTCTTACACCTTGTCCTCTTGGTACCCAGGTTCTTGTCCAGCACCCTGGAAGAATCAGGTCTCATGGACTTGAAGGATGGTGAATGCAGAGGTTGTATTGAGTGATGGAGGTGGCTCTCAGTGGGTTGGGGACCTGGAAAGGGGAGAGAGTGGGAAGATAATCTTCCCCTGGAGTTTGGCTGTCCCCAGCTGAACTCCTCTCTGACCATCCCCAGCTGAATTCCTTTCAATGTTCAGACACTTCGTGTCTTCCCTCCTCTGCTGCACTGCTCTACTTCTCTGCCAGTGCAGTTTGGGGGTTTTATAGGTACAGGATGGGGGTGTGGTGGGCCAGGGTGGTTTTGGAAAAAGCAACATTTGAGTGGGAAAACAGGGATAACTGTTCTCATTTAGGGCCATGGTGTCCAGGCTTGAGGGTGGGGCCTTTGCCGGGGAACCACCCTCTTCTACCCAGTATTTCCCTGCCTCCTGTTCGTATCACCACCACACTCAAGATGCAGAGCTCTATCCTTTTGGCTCGGAATATTCATCAGCTGTGGCCACCCTGGCAGTCCCACATCAGCTTTCTGTTCCTGCCGTTTTGCATTTCCAGAATGCCATATAAATAGGATCACAGAGTATGTAGCTCTTGAGTCTGGCTTCTCTCACTTATGTAGCACATTTGCGATTGGTCTGCATTGTTTTGTCTATCAGTAGGGTGTTCCTCTTTATTGCTGCATAATATTCCATCATATGGAGGTACCACAGTTTGCATATCCATTTAACACTGAAGGATATTTGAATTGTTTCCAGTTTTTGGCAGTCATTGATAAAGCCACAGTAAACATTGACATGAAGGTTTTTGTGTTAATATGTTTCCATTTCTCTTGGATAAATATTAACATTTAGGAGTAGAATTGCTGGATCATAAGGTGAATGTGTGTTTAATTTCCTTATAGGAAATGCCAGATTGTTTTTCAAAATAGCTATACCATGAAGTTAATAGTATTTTAATCAATAATAGGCCATTGGAATCTCTGAATTTGTTATTAGTCAGTTACTTTTCTGAATGGACTAGATTCTGAAACTGTTACTAAGGATGCCAGTAAATGCACCTTTCATGGACAGTTCATATAGGAAAACTTTAGGTTAGATGAAGTGAAACTGTTTCTTTATTGCAGGATTCTTAGTGCCTAAAACATAAGGCCCTTAAGGGGACAGATGAAACAGGCAATTTCTCTAAATTTTTTTGACCACGAATGTCTCATGGAGCTAGTGTTCTTTGGAACCAATTTTGGGGAACACTGGGCTAGAGAACACACATTCTTCTCAGCGAGTAGCTTGTATTTTATCTGAAACATTTCTGTATTGGTCAGGATAGGCTCTGTTGTGCTGCAGTAACAGGCTGCCCTCGTTGACAGCTGTTTAAAACAATAAATGTTTGTTTCTCATTCACGCTGTTAGATTATCTCAGCAGGCACAGGGCTCTGCTTCTTGTTGATCTCACAGGGGTGTGGGCTGATGAGAAGAGAGTGAGGCTGATAGCACACAGGCTCTTGGAGTCTTCTGTGTGGGAGCAGCACACACCACGTTTATTTGCTGAAACAAATTACATCTTCACACCTGACTTCCTGGGGAAATTCAACCATGATATGTTCCTGAGAAAAAGAGAGATGGAATATTGAACAGTTCTAGTTGCCACCTCAGATTCTAAAGGATTCAGGGCAAACTAGTTTGTTCCATTTTGTGTTTCTGTGTATCTGAGTTGTTGTATGAGTGTCCTAACCTCAGCACCTGTTGTCACCAGATCCCAACGTTTGACTATGGCATATCTTTATCTGATATCTTTAGAAGCTGCCCTGGTCCCTTCAGCCCAGTAGGCCATCATGTTCTCCTTTATGGTGAGGCAGAGCTTTAGAACCAGACCACAGAGCAATAAGCAGTACGGTTTTAGAGTTGGGAGGGGGGCCCTGGGAAGACTGTCTGGCCCATGGTTTCTAAACACTTCAGAGCGGGAGGAACCTGTCTTCTAATGAAGGTTTAAGGACAGCGAGCATGTAAAATAGATCAACCCTGAATAGTTCTGGGAGGACTGGTTGGTGGGCCAAGAATTCTCACTGCAAGGTCTTTCTTCTCCCCTCCCCCTTCCTACCTCCTCTTCATCCACCCTAGGGATCTCTAAGGGCCACTAAAGAGACCAGTTTGAGAGACCCTAATCTTTTCAAAGCCTTTGTGTGTGTTAGCTGAGGAGAGTGACTAGGTACCATACAAATCAGGTTACTTTTGAGAGCAAGGGGCCCTATTAACCCTCATGCCAGGACAACAGGTGTGGGTGGCACATGGGGCCATCTGGTCACCTGGAGAGCAAGAAGCAGGTGCTGCTGGAAGTGACTGGTAAGATGGTTCTCCTGGGTTTGAGAGATGCCATGGCATGGGCCTCGAAGGCTGTTGTTTGTTTGTTTTGCTTTTGCTGTTTTTTGGTGTCATTAGAGGGAGAGAGGGAGAGTGTACGTGTCTACCAACATAAAGATTGAAGGTGTGCAGTCGAGGCATCCCTGTGGGAAGTGTGAGCTCTGATGACAACACTTGTTAGACTCTCTACTGAGCCCCTCTCTCCCTGTTCTTATTTCATCTTCACGTGCACTCGGCACCAGGGTGGGCCTCCTCTCCTACATGCTTGACTGATAAAACCTCTTAACCCTGCCAAGCCAGATTGCACAGGAGAGGGCCTTCTAAGCTCACTGCCCTTACTTTAAGAGGCTGTGGGGTTGGTTTCACCTTGACCTATTATAATATGCATGCTCACTGCCTTTACTTTAAGAGGCTGTGGGGTTGGTTTCACCTTGACCTATTATAATATGCATGCTCACTGCCCTTACTTTAAGAGGCTGTGGGGTTGGTTTCGCCTTGACCTATTATAATATGCATGAAGCTATTCACATTTTGAACCTCTCCAAGATCAATAGTTTATTTCTGGGGGACATTTTTAGAACTCTTAATCACTGCCAAAAGAAAGAAAACTTTCTGGAAGTGAAAACTGCCTCCCAATTACAATGTAATATACTTGCCTTTGGACCTCTTATTAATGACCAAATTCCCCTCGGTCCTAAAGTCCAGGTTGTTTCTGCATGCAGTGTCGGGGCAGGGGAATAATGAGCAATGCCCAGCAGTGCCTCCAGAGTGTGCGAGCATCCCAGTGAAGCACTCTGGAAGAGCTCCCATGTCATTGGAGTAAGCTGTGCATCACTTCCATTCTCTTTCTCCTCAAACTTCACCTTGAGCACACAGCTGTGAGCCGTGTTTTTTAGGAATCAGAAAAGGTGGTCTTCTTGGGTCAGTGCATTGTAGGAAATAAATGGTATATTTTGTTTTGGTTATTTCTTTGCATACACTTGGTTGAAGATGACAATGAATGAGGGCTTTATTTTGTTGAGAAACAGGGACAGTACCATTAACATTACCACGAGAAGATGCTGCCCAAATGGGGAGATTAAAGACGCCTAAAGGTCAAGGTCGAAGAAAGGAAATCCCAGGTGACACTGCCCCTTATTTTATTCTTACAGCATGGACTGTTTCCTGTTTGCAAACTGGTGCTGCCCTGAAGTGAGGGGTGAGCCTTCTTAGCCAGGAAACAGCCTATACATTTAAGAGGACTCTCCTCAGAGATCAAAATTGCAGGTACAGTCTCCGGCTGTGAAACGCTGCAGTGACCTGTACTTACAGCTCAGGGGACAAGGCATAAGTATAGTTCTAGGGCAGGGAGAGGCAGTCCCCAGAGAAATTTCAACTGGCCTAAGGGTTTAATATTAAAGACCCTGGACACAGAAAGATCAGGGGAAGCTAAACTTAGAAGGTAGAGAAGCCAACACAAATGAAAGCAGTGACATCATCTCACTGCAAACAATGTTAAAATAAGAAATAAACAAGAATGTCAGGCCAAAAGACAAAATACACATGGAGGAAAGATGTTCACGGAATAGATTTTAAAGAGTTAATATTTGTAATATATGAACACTCTGTTAAAAGTGGTTGTTTAAAACTACTAAAACCAGACCACCAGCAAAGAATGTATAGAAATAAGTCAGTAGAGGAACTGACAATAATTAATGTTGGAAGACATTTATCTTTATCAGAAAACATGGAGAAATGTTTGATCTTGGTAATCAAAGAGGTACACATTGAAAAAAAATGTTGTTTCTCAGCTTTCAAAGTAACAAAGAGTATAAAAAAGTGCACAGTCTTAACAAGTCTATGGAGAAGGTTGGTGGAAGGCTGGTGAAATAATGCTTTTGGGAACCAGCATGATGGATTGGAAGTCTTTAAAACAAGCTTGTCCAACCCGCGGCCTGCAGGCTGCATGTGGCCCAGGGAATGGCTTTGAATGTGACCCAACACAAATTCGCAAACTTTCTTAAAACATTATGAGATTTTTGTGTGTGTGAATTTTTTTTAAAGCTCATCGGCTATTGTTAGTGTTAGTATATTTTATGTGAGGCCCAAGACGGTTCTTCCAGTGTGGCCCAGGGAAGACAAAAGATTGGACACTCCTACTTTTAAATGCCCGTGTCTTTGATTTAGCGATGACATCTGGGGATCTTCCAAAAGAAAATCATCCTGAAAACAAACACAAAAAACAAATACTTTCTACACAAAGTTTCCATTTTAGTATAAAATAAAGCAAAAAATGAAGAACAACTTGGATATTATTAATAGTGTGGAGATTGCTAAATAAGCTATGGTATATAAATTAACTTAGTGTTATGCCACCAAATTAAAATGGTTTTTATGACCACGCAATGGCTCATGCTTGTAATCCTAGCACTTGAGGTCAGGAGTTCAAAATCAGCCTGGGAAACATGATGAGGCCCCATCTCTACAAAATATTAAAAAATTAGCCAAGCATGGTGGCATCTGCCTGTAATCCCAGGTGGAGCTGAGGCAGGAGCATTTCTTGAGCCTTGGAGTTGGAGGCTGCAGTGAACCATGATCATGCGGGTGCACTCTAGCTTGGGTGACAGAGTGAAGCCTGTCTCTTAAAAAAAAATAATAAAATAAAATGGTTTTTATGAAGACTAATTCAATAGAAAAGTGTTGGCTCTAAAAATGAAGCAGGATACCAGATGGCAAGTACACTAATATCACTGTATTTTTAAAAATCTTATAAATCTATGCACAGAGACAAGGCTGGAAGACAACTACCAGAGCATGACAGCTAGATTGTGGGTGCTTTAAAAAATTTTCTCTTTTTCTTTAATTTATACATTTCTTGTTTGTTATGTATATTTGTGTGTGTGTGTGTGTGTGTGTGTGTGTGTGTGTGTGTGTGTGTGTGTGAGAGTGAGACAGAGCCTCACCTTGTTGCCCAGGCTGGAGTGCAGTGGTGCGATCTCTGCTGGAAACTGGAAACTTTGGAGGGGACATTTTTTCAGGAATTCTTTTTCGCATTATGGATGCCACTGTTTCAGAGTTTCTTAAACCCAGAGTGTGATGAATGGAGGAGGAGAGTGCTCACAGGATGGCCTCACTCCACAGAGGACCGGATGCCCTTGTTGCTCAAGACTTCCTTCCCCCAGGCAGCTGCTACATGCTTGCATCCTCTGTGGCTCTTGCAATACAGAGGCAAGGCCCCTGATGAAACCCGGCGAGGTGTGGTCTGCCCTGGAGGACAGCAGCCAGTGTGGGGGGCAGTCCCTTCTCTCTGTCCCAAGGGAGGATACAGCTCCACTGTGGTCACTGGCTCTATGTGAGGGGGTGCATGCATCAGAGACAACAGATGAGAGGGCCCTTCAGTTGGCTTTTCTGCCTCCAGTTCTTTCTGTTCATGAGAGGAAAAGCTACTGGTAGACAGAACAATGTTAAATGTAATAAAAATAAGCAAGTTCCCTGGGTTTATGCAGTGCCAAATGTCAAGATGGTTGTATACAGGAGAAGACGTCCAAGACACGTCTTTTCCGAGTGTCCCAGAGCTCAGAACTCTGTGAGCACTTTGAGCTTCCCCAGACCTCTTTCTTCCCTGGGTGTGAGCCCTGCACAGTGCTCCGAAAAGAGCTGGGGTCCGTAAATACGGATGGCAAACAGCTCACCTGGGTTTCTCACATGGATTTGTTTTCTTGGGGGTCTCTGTATGGAAGCTTTTATCCCTTCCTAGGGGGCTATAGGAGTATTTTTGTTAAGATTCAATGGGTCATTTCCAAAGTAGTCATTTCTTTCTCCTCACACAAAAATGAACTGAATAAGAATAAGGATACAGTTTTCTAGTGAAAATTGGGGTCTTCCCTGCTCCTTGCCTCCAATCAAGTAAAAGCTTTTTAGAACAAACGGACTACAATATTCTGAAGTGATTTTGAATTTGGCCCCATATTTGACTCTGCGGTCCGATGAGGGACACGGGGTTAGTGGGCAGACACCATTGTTTGCACACACGAGACTGGGTACAGAGCCAGGCGTGATCATCCAGGATAACAGGGAGGAAAGAGAGGCCGATGAAGCCACTGATTTTTAAGAGCTTTCTTGGTGGAGTAATAGATTTTAGGGAGGGAGTTGCTCTGCCAAGTGCTCCAGCTTAAATGGAGCCACCTGTGGAAAGGAGCTGGCGGCACTGCTGTGGGAGTCCCTTGTCTTTGGGAGGGGTGTTTCACGGCCACCTGCCTTTCATCCCCACAGCTCACAGCAACTTACAGAATTTCCGACCGTCTCCTTGGAGACTTAGAGAAATGTGTGCTGAAGGTGAGGAGTCACTCAATCACTGGCAGCCAGGCGGAGGTGACTGATAGCAAAATGTGCTCTAGTTGTAGTGGGGCTTGCAGCTGGGTATCCTCTGTGGAATGCTTGCTGGCTCATGATAGATGAGTCACTTGTCTGTAGTGGTGGCCGGGGCTCTGGCCCAGACCCTTCTCTGTTTTCTTATGTGAGTGAAGGCTGTTGTATTGCATAGTGGGTGAACCACACCTGGGGATTCTAGACTTGGCACTGCCCTCTCTTCTTGTGGAACCATGGATCACCCATTTATCACCTCTGGGCCTCAGTTTTCTCACATGCAAAATCAGGGTTGAAGCCAGGCATGGTGGCTCACGCCTATAATTTCAGCACTTTGGGAGGCCCAGGAGGGCAGATCACTTGAGGTCGGGAGTCCAACATGGTTGAAACCTCATCTTTACTAAAAATACAAAAAAATTAGTCAGGTGTGGTGGCTCATGCCTGTAATCCCAGCTACTTGGGAGGCTGAGGCAGGAAAATTGCTTAAACCTGGGAGGCGGAGCTTGCAGTGAGCCAAGATCGCACCTCTGCACTCCAGCCTGGGCGACAAACAAAAAAACAAACAAACAAAATACAAACAACAAAAACTAAAACCAGAGTCAGGGTTGGGCTTGATGGTCCCTATCAGTAGCAGAGTCCCCTGGTGTGGCACTTTGACTTGTGGATAAATAGGTTTTTCATTGCTGCAGTTTCAAACCTTCAGCTTCTCTAATATCCCCTGCCACTGACGGATTATTTCACACGAACCAGAGAGGCCATTAGGTGAGAATGCCTTCATCTTCCCTCCCTCCCACCTCTGAGCACCCTTCTGTTTCCTTCTGAGCTTCTTCCTATTTCCTCCTGTCGTCCTTCTCCTCTCTAGACCCTGAGGGGTTTCTCTTCTCTTCTAAGGTTACTTCTTCCTACTGGACTCCTGACACCCCCACCCCCACCCCTGCCCTTGGGAACTTGATTCCATCTCTCTCTCTCTGTCTCTCTGTCTTGCTCCCCGCTTCTTTTCTCATGTTCCATCTTCTTTCTCCCTCACCTCCTTATAATCCACATCCAAACAAGTCCACATCTCCCCAAAAACTCCATGCCTCCCTTTTGGCCAAAAAGAACTCTATAGAGCATCAGAAGAATAATTACTAAAAATATATGTTTAAAATAAGTGGCCTTAGTAGTAAGCTCTGAGAATGAGAAGCTTCATTGTCTAGTAAGTTAATACAAATTAGTCGACAGTCAATGATGACAAGAAGAGAGCGAAATAAGTTTGTACTTACATACCTCAAAACAAAAACTCTCTGAAAAAGCAGTTTGTTTGTCTCTTGACCTAACAATTCCAGCCTAAGAATATAACAACAACAACAGAAAAGACAAATTCATTTGTAGTAATGGCCATTATAAAAGATGGACGGATATTGGAGCATTTGAAGTGGAAAAAAAGTATACAAAATTCATCTTGCTGTGGGACCCTCTCCCCTTTTCTAGGGCCATATGGGTATAGATGCATTGGGGGAAAAAATGGCTGGAAGAAATACTTTAGGAATGTCCTTTTTTTTTCTTTATATCTTTTGAAATTTCCTACATAAGCTCGTATTACATTTTGTTGGCAGAAAATCAGATTTATAACCATCCGTCCTCCCTCCCACACAACCTTCTTCCCTCCCACTTGGCCTCAGGCATTGAGGTTTGGCTTGGTTCGGTCAGCTCTGCTGGGAGGGCCCCTGGGACTCTCTGTCTCCCCGCCTCGCCATGGTGAGGGTTCGGCAGTTCTCTCCCCCAGTCCCTGCAGTCCCTCTTCTCTGGCTTCTGTATCTGCCAGTTTTCTGTTCCCACCCTGCGTGTTTCCCTAGTGTCTTGAATAATTTTTTTTTTTTTTTGAGATGGAGTCTTGCTCTGTCCCCCAGGCTAGAGTGCAGTGGTGCGATCTCGGCTCACTGCAAGCTCCGCCTCCCGGGTTCACGCCATTCTCCTGCCTCAGCCTCCCGAGTAGCTGGGACTACAGGGGCCCACCACCTCTGCTTGGACCTGAGACACGATGTTCCCCAGAGTGCTGCTTTCATGGTGGTTTTCTTGGCCTGACACCTGTGAGTGATCAGACTGGGAAAGAGGATTCCCTTTCCCAGTCCTTCGTCCTGCAAGTGGCTGGCTCTGGTGTAGACGGGGGTGTCATAGGTAGCCTGCCACACAGGGTGGCTCCTCTGTTCGCCTCCTGTTTTCCCTGGTCATGGTGGGCTCCCTGAGGAATCACTTCCCCTCTTGTCTGTGTTGGTGTCCTAGCTTAGGTGGCCCCTTTTCCTGCTGTTCTCAACTTTGGTAGCACCTTGGCACCATCTGGGGAGCTTTGTAGTCCTGAGGCATGGGTTCCCCCTAGCAGTTTTAATGTCACCAATTGGGTGGAAGCCAGGCCTGGGAGTCTAGAAGCTCCCAGCTGAGTCTGCTGGCTGCTACACTGAGGACCTTGTCTCCTGTCTGTGTCGTGCCTCGTTGCAGATGGTCACACCCATAGAGCAGCCCGTGCCTAGAGTCCTGGGCCTTGGGGCTCAGAATGGGGCCAGGCCTTCCTGCTGAGCCGCCCCAGTGACACAGGCACTGATTGGCCACTGGAGAAGCGGGAGTGAATGGCAACAAGGCCAAGTGGGAAGCCTGTGTCTGCACTGACCACCGTGCCCCAGGCCGGCCTAGCCCAAAGAGACCTCCTGCTTTGACTTTTCCTTACTGGGCTGTGCCTACCTTGTGAAAACTCCAGTAAAATTAATCCAATGGCTGCTTGGCCAGACAGTCAGGACACATTTCGTGAGCCCTGGTCTGGGCTCAGAGGTTTGGAGTCCACAGCTGGGCCTTGATCTTCTTTCCCCAGTGACGTCCTCAGGCTGGGGTGTGGCAAGTTTGGAGAGGATGGGGACCCTCACTCTGTGGCCCAAATAGAGCAATAGGGCCTTTTTCTTCTGCTTCAGATTATCTATTCTCACAAAGGGAACAGGCATCCAAAAACCTCACAGAACAGCATTAGGAAATCAGGAATTGCAGCCAAAGGACTCTTGTCCTCTGTGTGAGGCTGAGTCGGACTTCCGTGACTCATGGTTCTGTTATTCTGAGTGTTTGAGACTATTAAGGAAATTGAATTTAGAGTGTCGTGATTTGTGAGAACAATGAAATCGGCTGTTCATATTCCTGTAGCGTCAGCAGCAGATGAGATGGGAGGTGTTGTCTTTCAGGCAGACAATTGGGAGCAGGCTATTGCCTTGTGCAGGTGTCTTGTAAGGGCTGAGGAAAGCTTCTTGAGGTCTGAGCAGTAGCTGAGAGGTCTGCAGATCCCCTGCCTCAGTAGAGGGACCCATCAGCAACTGCCAGTCCTGGGCCAGAGCCGGCGTCAGCCGTACACCGCATGGATCCTGAGACTCCCGTGTGCTTTTGCAGCCCTGAGATTCCATGTGCTTAGTCTCCTTCTGTTCACCCCTTACCAGATATTCCCGGGGCACATGCTGGAGTGCCTGTCCTTTCTTCTTGCATCAAGTGTGTGGTGGCAAATGAGGAAGGGATTTTCGTATTCTCCTCGTGTGCATTCCAGCCAGGGAGGCCAATGAACAGGAAATGCTCATGAAAAAAGTCAGATGGGGCAGGTGACATACAGGTAATTAACACCATGGGAACCTATAATGGAGAATGACAGAGAATGACTTTTATATTTGGTGGCTGGGGAACATTTTTAAAGAGATGGTGTCTAAACTGAGAGCTGAAGATATGAGTGGTGAGAAGGGGCCAGGGAGGCAAAGGTCGGGGACAATCGCCTGGTACAGGGAGACTAAGGAGAGATTGAGCATGGTGTTTTCAGAGAACCTCGGGGTGGCCCGAGTGGTTTTGCAATCCAGGAAAGGAGTTTGGGACATGTTCTCTGTGCGTTGGGAAGCCATTGAAAGGCTGTAATCAGGACAATACGTGATCTGGTTTGCTTTAGAAAGATCTTGAGTGAGTAAATAGATGAGTGAGTAGTGAGTGAGAGAGGCTTAGACACCAGAAGAGCTCATGCCACCGACATGCAGCCATGGGCACTTGGTGGTTCTGTTTGCCCTGCCCAGCTCATGTGCTCATAGGTGAAGTTTTTGCCATCAGCAGTGATCATTAAACAGTGAGATGGGTAATTGTAGCGAGGGTATTTTCTCTGTTGGTCCTAGATTGCCTAGAATCCTGATAGAAAGAATAGTTTTCCTTGAACTTACAATTCAGCAAATCCTCTGTAGCTATTTTTTTTGTACTGTTTGAAGGATGTACTATTTATGGACTGCAAAACAATGGATTCTAATCCGAGCTGGAGATAAAACATGACGGGGGCATAAAACATTTAAGAAGCACACAGGAGGTACAACAAAGCATTATGCAACAGCTTCTTCAGGCAAATGTGCACATTTTGCATCTAGGAGCAGGTGAGAAAAGTGACACAGAGCAGAATTGTCCTAATATATAAACCTCAGGTGGTATTATGAAAGTAAATACTATATTCAGTCTTTAGGCAAAACCATCAGTACTGATTTTTGCCCATGAATGCAATTCTGTCTTCCTGATGTGTTGGAACTACCCCCAAACAAATGCCAAATGTGAGATTGAAAATTAAATTTATAGGGCCCTAAGCTGTTTGGAACTGTTTTTAAGATGAGAGCTGTTCCACCTAATAGTTGCTATAGGAATAAGCTGGCAGGATGAGGAAAACCCAAGAATGCCAGTTAGCAGGAGAAGATATCGGAGTTTCTGTTAGGCAAACACAGGGAGGAAATATGGAGATGGTATTATCTGCAGCACTGAGAATCACAGCCTCTAGAGACAGGAGTCAAAGTCACTCAGAACCTCAATGCCCGGGCCCTTGAGGCAGCCTGTGGCCCAGGGCAGGTGCCCCTCCTGCTGCTGGCCTTGGAGGGGTGGCCTGAGAACAGGGGAGGTTTTACACACCTTTCCCACTGCAGCCTGTGCCATCGTCATATTCTGCAGGGTGTGGACACAAGTTAGAAGCAAGACAAAGTTGGCTGGCCCTGAGCTTGCCCTTGGGTTTGAGACTTGATCAGGTGCCAGTATCTCTATGGAGAACTGTGAGTACAGTTCTTGCTGTCTTTGTTGTTGGATGGCGTCCCCTTTAAGTGTTTAGTCCTGTTGTCTGGGCAGCCTTGTGCTGAGGGACCCATTGCTGAGCAGAGTGTGCCCAGTTCTCAGCAGATAGAATGAGAGCCCCTCCACCATCTCACGGGAAGCTCCCCTGCTGGAGCCCACTTGGGTTCTTGCCATGTGGCTTCTGTGCTCCTGGTGAATGTATAGCTCCTGTCTCTCTAGGGTCATCTTACTGGCTGCTCTGAGGTTTTCAGACCACAGAGACAGGAGTAGAGCTGTCTGCTGCCATGGTCAAGGTGAGGCCCATGCCTGTGGTCATTCCCTCTGTCCCCAACTTGGGGACAGTGTCAACCTCTGCTGTAACTGGAATTCCCTCTTGGTGCTTTCATGTAATTTTTGTTTCTTTGTGGTTTTTGTCTGGATATTCAGACCCTCAGAGTCTGGCAAAATAATTTGCACATTAGTGCTTCCTATGTGAGTTGATTATTTTCCTTTCTAAGAGTCAACTAGAAATAAAAAGTAAATTAAGTTTTTATTTTTATTGGACAAACTGCACCTCTAGCCTGACATGTTATTATAGGAACTTGGGCTTTGAGGAGACAAATTTAAGTCTATATATAAAATAACTTTACGAGTTTTCATATTTGCTTCTTATCCCTTGAACTGAGACCATATTTGTTAAGATTTCTCTCTGAAATTGGCCACAATAAATATCTTAACAAATTCAGGAAATTCATTCTAAGTCATCATTTTTGCTATAATTCCTGGACCTTCAGATTTTCTGGTTAAAGTTGCCTCAGGGGGACCCTCAGATCTTTATGGAGTTTGTAAATCCATCATGAGAGATTGAATCTAGAGTACTTAACACTTGAAATCTAGAGTACTTAACACAATCCCGGGCATCATTTACTGGTCTCAGGAAATCCTTTGAGGGAACAAAAAAAAATTACTGCTATAATGAAAGTCTCTAAGCTGGCTTATTCACAAAAAACCAGTGTGGTGAAACAAAAAAAGAGCATGGATTTTTGAAATCAAGACACCTGGATTCATACTTCAATTTTACACCTAGGACTGTGATAACATTGGGCAAGTTACTTAGCTTCTGTTTCTTCATTTGTGAAGTGGGAGGATACCTGCTTTGCAGGGTGGTTGTGAGGTTGACAGAGGCTGCCTTAGGCTTTTCAAGCTGCTGTAACAAAATACCGTAAACGCAGTGGTTTAAAAGCGGCAGCAATTTATTTCCCACAGTTCTAGACGCTGGTCGTCCAAGATCAAGGCACTGGCAGATTCGATGTCTGGTAAAGACTGGCCTCCAGGTTCACAGACGGTGCCTTCTCACTGTGTCCTCCCATGGTAGAGGGGGCAAGGCAACTCTCCGAGGCCTCTTTAGTAAGACACTAATCCCATTCATGAGGGCTCCACCCTCACGATCCGGTCACCTCCCCAAAGGCCTCAGCTCCTAATAGCATTACCTTGGAGGTTAGGATTTAACATATGACTTTTAGGATGACACATACATTCAGTCCATTGCATACTCCAAGGAATATCATGCCTAACAGGATGGCTGGAGAGTGTAGATGTTTCACCACTGTAGTACCCTCCAGCCTTCCTTTCCACACACAGCCAGTGTATCTCCCTGCACGTGTCTTATTTGACCTGTGGACTTAACGTGCCTGGTGGAATTGCCCTGGCTCGTCCTAAGGCTGGATGTCTCTGCTCAGATGGACTGGGAGGCAGTGGGGATGCCGGGGTGGAGATGATACCTGAGCCTGGAGAGCCTCGCTTGCTCTGAGTTGAACTGCAGTCGGATGCCCTAGCTCATCCACGTGCTTCTGTTGTGACAGCGATGCTGGGGGTGTCTTCCTTCCATTCGGTGGCACAGGTTTGATGCTAGGACCCCTCTGACTCAGGGCTCCAGGCCAATGCTGCAGCTCAGCCTTGAGGAGGCGTTCCCAGAGCATGAGGAGGACTCATGGTGGAGGATGCTGGTTAGTCTCTTTCTGGTCGGACCCTCACTTTTTGAGATGATGTGACATCTTTCCTGTAGTCACAACTACATTCAACTCTAAAACCATTTTAATTTTTCATTTTCCCCTGTTTGGGGAATTGTAATCCCATGGGTGTATGGATATTATCCAGAGACATGAAACATGGAGTTTGGGTTTGCAGAGGACAAGGAAGCTATGAGATAAGGGAGAACAGAATGAAGTCACACCCCACACAGATGCCCACAGATTATGTGCTGCAGTGAGTCCTTAATGTCCTGGAATCGGTGACACACCAAGGATGGCTTTCAAGAGCTTTCTTGAGCCCTTTATCCAAATCTCTGCAGCCCCTCCCTGAACTTCGTTAGTTTCTAGATCAGTTTACTTCCTAAGTAACCTAGCACACTTGTGTAAGACCAGCTGAGCTTCCCAGATGATCCCTGAACGTCACGGCTCCTGACCGTTCCTCTGAGGACACTTCCTGGAAGTTTTTGTGCAAAACCATTATTCTTCCCACCTTAAGGCAGGCATGGGTGGTCACGTGTCAGTCCAGCCTGCTGTGCTCTTCCTGTGCAGAAACTCTTGCCTGGTTACACTTGGCGACTTCTCTTTGTAAACAAAGGTGTGAGTGTCCTTAACACCTCACAGTTGACGGACTGGCTGCGTTAGCTCTTCCTTTGTTAGTTTCTGATTGCCAGTGAAGGAGAACATCTTCTATATGTTTTTCCCTGTATCAGTTAGGATTTGCTGTATAACAGAAACCCAAAACTTAGAGGCTTAAAATAATACCTTTTTATTTAACTCACTGTTGTGTGTGTTGGCTGGGGTTACTGGGGCAGCAAGGATGGCCTGGGTTCCTCTCCACATGGTCTCTTATATCCCCCAAAGGCTAGCCTGGGCGTCTTCATGTGGTGGACTGAAGGTCCCAGTAAGCAACAAGAAAAGGCAGACTCCAACGTGCAAGCGCTTTTTAAACCTCCATCTGCATCATAATTGTTGTTGTCTCATTAGCCAAAGGAAGTCACAGGGCTGCCAAATCTAGAGGCAACCTTGGATGGAATATTCCAAGGGCCTGGATCCAGGGAACATGAATCAATTGGAGGCTGTTACTCTACAATCCACCACAAAGTCCACTGCCTGTTTTCTTTTGATTGTTGATCTTTTATATTAGGAGGAGTTTTTAAAATATATTCTGGATATTAATTCTTTCATTGCTATATATGTTGATTCAGATGAATAGGAGTTCTTACTTTTAATAAACAAGGTCACTTCTCTCAATCTTTTTCTTTTCTGATGTGCTCATTTTGGCTATTGTTTTAAAAATCTTCCCCACCCTTGAAGCCATACAGATATTCTTCTTATTGTTTCCTGAAAGTTTTATGGTTTTGCCTCTCATGATTATGTGTTATCGCTCTCATTTTTTTCCTTTTGGTAGGATAATTAAGAAGTGTTTTTATTAGGTAAGCTCCATTTTCTCACTGCATCAAAGTCATTTATGCAGGCCTGCTCTGCAAGTGGCATTTTCCAAGTGGAATTAAATGGATGTTACTACCCTGTAGTTAATTCCAGTCTAAGACAATTGCAATGCAGACAGAAACCTTGAGACATTAATTGACCAAACATGTATATTAAATAGGTTTGAATATTCAAGTGCAAGCAAATAATTAGTACACTTGGTGAGTGAAGAGAAAAATGAAGTACTGCATTTCTTTCCTTTCCTTCTTTCCTTGCCTCCTTCTTTTCTTTCTTCCTTTCCTTCTTTCCTTCCTTCTCTCTCTCTCTCTTTCTCTTCTTTCTGTCTTTCTCTTTCTGTCTCTCTTTCTCTTTCGTTTTCTCTCTTTCTCTCTTTTCTCCTTTTCGTTTTCCTTTTTCCTTTCCTTTTTCCTTTCCTTTCCTGTCCTTTCCTGTCCTGTCCTGTCCTGTCCTGTCCTGTCCTGTCCTGTCCTGTCTTGCTCTGTCACCCAGGCTGGGATGCAGCCTCCAACTCCTGGGCCTAAGTGATCCTCCCACCTCAGCCTCCTGAGTAGCTGGGACTATAGGTGCATGCCACCATGCCCAGCTAATTTGTAATTTTGTGTAGAGACCACAGCTCACTATGTTGCCTAGGCTGGTCTTAAACTCCTGGCTTCAAGCAATTTCCCTGTCTTGGCCTCTCAAAAAAGGATTGATTACAGGTGTGGGCCACCACACCTGGCCAAGAACTACACTCGTTAACTTCAGCTAAGCAACTCCCCCCCGACTCCTACCCTGTTCTTTCTTCAGGTTTCTGTTGAAAAGTTATTTGGTAAAAGAAGAGGGCCTGAGCAGTGATTCTTAAGATGGAGGGAAGGAAACCTAACACATAATCTTTGCAAAAAATCCCCGAGCAAGTTGGTATTATTGCCATGACTACATGAGGAAACCAAAGCTCAGAGGATCTGGAGAATTGTTGAGCAAGGAACCCTTCCCTCCTGCACCAGATCTCTCTCTCTTTCTCTCTTTCTCTTTCTTTCTTTCTTTCTTTCTTTCTTTCTTTCTTTCTTTCATTCTTTCTTTTTCTTTCTTTCTTTCCTTCCTTCCTTCCTTCCTTCCTTCCTTCCTTCCTTCCTTCCTTCCTTCCTTTCCTTTCTTTCTTTTTCTTTCTTTCTTTCTCTTTCTTTCTCTCTCTCTTTCTCTGTTTCTCTCTTTCTTTCTTTCTTTCTTGACAGAGTCTTGCTGTGTCATCAAGGCTGGAGTACAGTGGTGCGATCTCAGCTCACTGCAAGCTCCGCAAGCTCCGCCTTCCAGGTTCACGCCATTCTCCTGCCTCAGCCTCCTGAGTAGCTGGGACTACAGGCGCCCGCCACCGCGCCCGGCTAATTTTTTGTTTTATTTATTTATTTTTTAATTTTTTTATTTTTTAGTAGAGACGGGGTTTCACTGTGTTAGCCAGGATGGTCTCGATCTCCTGACCTCATGATCCACCTGCCTTGGCCTCCCAAAGTGCTGGGATTACAGGCGTGAGCCACCGCGCCCGGCCTGCACCAGATCTCTACCAAATTTTAAGTCAGTGAAATATAAATGAAAACTTGTTATTTTTACCATGACTGACATCAGTGTTTTTGAGGGCAAAACAGTAGGTGTTCCTTTTTTTTTTTTTTTGTCTAATTAGAATTCTTGTTTTTATCTGTCCTTAAGGTTTTTCTCTGTCTTTAAGGTTTTTCTCCACTCCTAGGAATGTTCCCTAAGGTTTTGATATAATTCAGGAATTTGTATTTAGGGAAAGGCAACTGAACCAAGTTACGAGAATGTTTAGAACTTTGGAAGCCCTGGGGAAGACATCTCGCCCATTGCTGGTTGGACAGAGCCAACGTGGGGGTTTCTAAACATGCACAAGCTAACAGTCTCCATCAGCTCTGAATTCACTTCTGAGCTTAGCAATGTAAGCTTGTATTATATACAACTTCGTTTCTTCATGAAACAATCATCATAATAAATTTTGATATACTCGGAAAACTTACCAGGTTTAAATATTTATTATTATTATTAAAATAAATGGAATAATAATGGACTGGATTTTAAAGGATCTAGAATTTGACCGTTTTTCTTTTTCAAAACATGATAAATACAGAAAAACCTTTAACAAAATAATAACAGTAATAATAATAATAATAGTGGTATGTTTCCTGGGCTAAATTTAGAAAACTATTGAGTATGAGGCAAATATGGAAAACATATTTATATCAAAGGAGGACCTAGAAGCAAACTACCATAACTTGCCAAATTCAACTTCTATGTTTGTTATAATTTAGTAATTAGCTATTTTAGAAAAAAAAAGTGCTTCAATAGGGAATTAGGATTTTCAGAATTTTGAAGCCCTGGGAAATAATTATATCCAGTGCTGTTTAGGTAGAACAAAAAATCAAATCACTTACCTGGAGTAAATCCAAAAAAGTGAAACCATTTTAAAAATTATCTTTTTAAATTTCTAAATTAACGTTGTTTAGGCATATACATTGCATTCTGTATAGCTTTTTTTTTCAAATTATTAATATTTTTATTTATTTATTTTTTTTGAGATTGAGTCTCACTCTGTCGCCCAGGCTGGAGTGCAGTGGCATGATCTCGGCTCATGGCAACCTCTGCCTCCTAGGTTCAAGTGATTCCCCTGCCTCAGCCTCCCACAGTAGCTGGGATTACAGGCATCTGCCACCATGCCTGGCTAATTTTTTTATTTTTAGTAGAGATGGGGTTTCACCATGTTGGCCAGGCTGGTCTCGAACTCCTTACCTTGGGTTATCCACCCGCCTCAGCCTCCCAAAGTGCTGGGATTAATTACAGGCGTGAGCCACCATGCCCGGCCCAAATTATCTTTAACAAAGAATTAGAGAGATGCAAGACACCCGGCCTGCCGCGGGAGCATGAGGGAGTCTGTGCATTCCTTTCCAAGGCATCTGTGAGTGCATGGAGTAGACACCATGAGCAAAGCTCACCCTCCCGAGTTGAAAAAATCTATGGACAAGAAGTTGTCATTGAAATTAAATGGTGGCAGACATGTCCAAGGAATATTGTGGTCATTTGGTCCCTTTATGAATCTTGTGATAGATGAATGTGTGGAGATGGCGACTGGTGGGCAACAGAACAATATTGGAATGGTGGTAATAGGAAATAGTATCATCATGTTAGAAGCCTTGGAACGAGTATAAATAATGGCTGTTCAGCAGAGAAACCCATGTCCTCTCTTCATAGGTTCTATTTTACTATGATGTAAAAATTAGGTCGTGTACATTTTCATATTAGACTTTTTGTTAAATAAACTTTTGTAATAGTCAAAAAAAGAATTAGATAATACTAAAAAATACCAAATATTTAATATTTTTAATACCAATTTTCTAATCCCTTTAAAGTACATAATGAGTTTTAAGAGGATGGGTTCCAGGGTTCTAGACTTTGAGTTCTCAACCTTATGTTCTTAAATCGGCAAAAGTACCCCCCAAATAAAACAAGATAAAACTTTTACTGAACACAATGGCTCACGACTATAATCCCACCACTTTGGGAGGCCAAGGTAGGAGGATGGATCACTTGAGCTAAGGAGTTAGAGATCAGCCTGGGCAACATATAGAGATGCCATCTCTACAAAAAATACAAATAGCTGAGTGGGGTGTCACAGGCCTATAGTCTCAGCTACTCAGGAGGCTGAGGTTGGAGGATGGATTGCTTAAGCCTGGGAGGCAGAGGTTGCAGTGAACCAAGATTGCACCACTGCGCTCCAGCCCAGGTGACACAGTGAGACCCTGTCTCAGAGGAGAAAAAAAAAAAAAACTTTCAACATTATAATTTAAAAAGATGTTTTAGGCTTAATTTAGAAAGTTTACATTGTTCAACAGAAGCCGGGTTTATTTTTAGAGGAATAGTTGGATGCAAACTCTCAAAATTTTCTGAACTTAATGTTTACTTCTGAAACTGCTTCCTCAGGCTTGTTTTATAAGCTTTGTCTTTTTACAGGCCTTCAGTTTTAGCTTTATCATGGGTTGATCAGCCGTCCTGGTGTTCCTGGGACTGAGGAGTTTCTTGGGATGTGGGACTCTCAGTGCTAAAACCAGGGATATTTCAGGCAAACTAGAATGACAGAATGAGTTAAGATGGATTATGTCCTGATAAACCCATCAATAGTTGGAAGTATCATAAGTTGAAAACGCATGTAATACACCAAACCTACAGAACCTCATAGCTCAGCCTAGCCTACTTTAAATGTACTCAGAACAATATACATTAGGCTGGCTAATGTAATCAGCCTACAGTTGGGCTGAATCATGTAACACAAAGCCTGTTGTATAATAAAGTGTTGAATATCTGTGTCATTTACCTAATACTGTCTTGAAAGTGAAAAACACTGGTTATATAGGTATGTGAAGTACAGTTTGGGTATTGTATTGTACCATCATAAAGTAGAAAAATCCTAAGTCAGCCCATCGTAAGTAGGGGACTGACTGTAGTCAATCACCCTATTCTTCTTGAACCTCAAAAAGCAAAATCCATCAGTTTAAATGTAGACCCACATGTGTAGCCTTTACTTTTTTTTTCTTTTTTTTTATTTAAGAGCTAGAGTCTTGCTCTGTTGCCCAGGCTGGAGTGCAGTGGTGCGATCTCAGGTCACTGCAACCTCCACCTCACGAGTTCAAGTGATTCTCCTGCCTCAGCCTTCTGAGTAGCTGGGATTACAGCTACGTGCCACCATGCCTGGCTAGTTTTTGTATTTTTAGTAGAGATGGGGTTTCACAAGGCTGGTCTTGAACTCCTGACCTGAAGTGATCCGCCTGCCTCAGCCTCCCAAAGTGCTGGGATTGCAGGCATGAGCCACTGCGCCCGGCCTAGCCTTTAAATTTGATTAAGGTGCTTTGATTAGTTTATTTCCTTGGGAGGCAGAAGTGTTTACAAAGAAGAGGCCCCAGGATAGGCTGTGTCCATGTGGTTTCAGGACGTGGGCGCTGCTTTCCGGGTGGGCTGGTGAGGGCATTTTTTGCTGCCCAGCTCTCATGTTTCCCAGGCTTGCTATTTGTTTTCTAATCCAGGCAACAGAAATACCACTTGTGTCCATGATTTTCATGCTGGATCTAAGATGTTGAGGCAGCAAATTCTTATTCTGACTAATTTAACAGTCTTTCGGTTTAGCCTGTGCTTGGGGCTGTGCTTAGAATTTTGATAAAAATGGTTGTATCTGGGTCATTTGGAAAGGAATTTGGCTGTCTGGAAAATAGAACATATAATAGAACAGGTGGTTATTAAAGCACCAGGCCAAGTGGAGACCATGATTTCTCTTTGATTTAGATGCAAAGATTGCTATATAGGTTGACACACAAAGATTTATAATTTGTAATTTAAGAAAATAATTGTTCAGGGAGCAGAAACCAGAAAGTAATGTATGAGTATTTTTTCTTGAACTGCATTTTCTTCTTTCTAAAAGCATGGAAGTCTTTAATTCCCCTTCCACAGCTCTTAAGGCTGTCAAATGTATTGGGAATGGGGCCTGGCCCCTGAGATGTGTAGGTTATACATCATACAACTCAGGGGCCAGGCACCATTCACATCACATTTATCCTAGATTTGTCTTGAAGGGGTGCTTTTTCTGACCCACATGAGAATTTCCCTGGGCTAGTGGCAGCCAGCATGACTGCCTCACCAACCCCTCTAGCAAGGACTCTTAGAGGAAAACATGAAGAAAATCACATTTTTCTTCTGTTAGCATTTTATAGACTTCTTCACTCCACTCCAGACCTTTGGATGTCTGACCTGAGGACAATCAATATGTTTTTCTAGAGTTTTTAGCACGCAGCAGCATAGTGGCTTAGAGTGCAGACCAAGGAGTCAGTGCCATAATTTTCTACCTGTATAATCCTGTGCAAGTTGGCCTCTCTGTGCCTCAGTTTCCCCATCTGTAAAATGGGGGCAGCACATTCCTCATTGGACTGTTGGGGAGGTTAAATGGATTAATGCTGTAAAGTACTTAGAATAGGGCCTGACACATTGCATGTAAATGTTACCAGCCTCGTTCAGCTTTGCCTCTGACACTGAGCTGATGTACCTGGGTCTGGCAATACAACATTGTAGATGCTGATTAAAACTTGAGGCACATGTGAAGAAACCATGACTATTCCCATGACCCCGTGAGAAGGTTGGTCAAATAGTTTCTTTGTCTTCTGCTGGGTTTCACTTCCTGCTGTCTCAGCTGTACCCCCTAATGTTGGTGTGTGGTTGTCTCTTTCTGTGCCAGCCGCTCCCATGAGAGGAGCCTCTCATTGCCGGGACTTTAGTGGCTCGGGACAGTGCCCCATGAGCGCTCCAGTTAAGCCAACAGATGGGTACTTCTAGGCTGGAGGCACTGCCTCGCCAGGGCAGTATCTGCTCTCTGTGGATGTCCGAATTCTCACGGGTGGGCTCAGCGAGACAGTACGCTCCATGTGACCCACTCTGGTCTCAAAAGCTAGAAAAATGCTCTGGAAGGATATTGAACACCTATGTGGGGCTCTGTGGTTCAGGTTAGGTTACTCCATTAGATCATTTGTATCTGGAAAGAACAGGGATGGCTCCAACACTGTACAAGCCTGCAGTCCTCCTAAGGCTAAAAGACACAAGGTGGTACCCGTGTCATGGTGGTGGGAGGTTAAAGATTAGTGTTTGTGTGTGTGTGTCTGTGTGTGTACATGTGCACGTGTGCAACTCTTGCTTTGTGTGTGTGGCATTTCACTTTCCTAATCAATTTAGGCAACCTGTTGGGGCTTCGGAATAGTGCATCTAGGTTGGAAGTATCTCCCAGTGAATGGGTCACACTGTCACACTGGGCTTCCAGCAGACCCCATACCACCCACCGGTGAAACTTGAGTAAAGCTACTCTAAGAATACAGAGCATTGGAGAAGTGCTTTATTCGGTTAACTTTACCACCACCAGGGAATGTCTGGGTTGTTCTCAATGATCAGTATGAAGGTCTGTGGGGTTGTGGACACATTCAGGGTTGGACTGGGGTTCGTATTAGTCAGCCGACTGGGTATCTTTATTCACAGAAGAGGCAAAATTAGCAAATAACCCCATCAAAATCATCTTGATAGTTGTTCTCACCAAGGTTGCTATCACCTCTATAATTATGAAAATGTTTTATGAGGTAGGCTTGGGAATTTGAACACCTTTTGAGAACTGTTGGGAACAACCTTCTCAGTTAAGTAAAGAAACTACTTACCAGAAAACATGTGGAGGACACTGGGGTGATAATTCATGGTCATTTCCGATAAGCTACTTCTAGGGCCAGAATCTCTGCTGAATCTCAGCTTCCTGATTTAATGAAGACAAGGAAATGAAACCGCCCTGCCGACTGTTTGTGCTTTTAATAGGCCGAGTTTTCAGAAAGAGAAGACAGTTAAATTAGTTTTCCTTTTTGCCCTTTTCATTCTCCCTGCTTCTGTCCTGCAGATCAAGGCCTTTGAAAGGAAGGGGAAGAGGAAGTGTTTTCTTGCTTAGTGAATAGGATGCACCTGTCCCCTGAGGAAGATTCCCTGTGTGTGCTTGTATGTAAATGTACATACTCTCTTACTGTCCTCTTTTTCCTCCTCACAAATGTAAGCCTGTATGTGCTTCATATTAATACTTGGCATTCCCATGAGCCTGCAAAGTCTGGAGGGAGAGGCCAGGCCCGTGCTTCTGGCCGCTGTGACCCAGCACCTGGCGGAGGCCCTCACTGAGTCCTGTCCCCTGAGTGGAGGTGAAAGGTAGACAAGGAAGACCCCACAGTTGGAGAGCCTGCCATGGACAGGTCGCGCATTGTTTCACTTGGGCCTGGTTGAGCGTATTACTGGGAGTGGGGGAAGTTGACGCTGTGACGTAGTCCTGGGGCGAGCTTGGAAGGTGCTCTGGGCTTGTCAGTTGACAGTGTGTCATTAGGGATATGAGCGGCAATGCGATGTCCTCCCCTGCAAGGAAGGAGATGTTTCAGACTTACCATTGACTGAAACAGGGAGACGAGTGCTCTCTCATGGAAACAGGGGAGATTTGAGATCAGTCACAAACACTTACCAAGGCCCAGGTTCAGTCCACTCCTGGAGCTTTGAGGGGCTAGTGTGTAAAGGGCACAGAAGCCCTTTTGCTAGGTGCACTGGCCTGAGAGCTTCGAGGGGATTTGCCAATGGGATTGTGCCACAATTTTTATTACTTTTTCCCTAGTCTTCGTGGTCTAAGTTTTGTTTTCTCAATCTTTCTTTTCTCATCTTCCTTGTGTGGAGTTAACTTTTAATCAGGGAAAGGGAATACATCGAGCTATTGATGAATGAATCACTGGAGAAAACAGTGAAGTGGGATTTTTATTTCAGGGTCTCTTAGGTGGCAGTGCCGGGTGACAGGTGGGGGTGTCCCTTGTCTTCCATTGTCCCGGAGACTAACCATCAGCCTCTACCTAATTGAATGGCATTTTTATGTGTTTTTCATGAACGGTGGTGGATGGAGATGTGTGGAGGACTAGCAGCTCTTCATGCTGGAGGGAGTTATTCCGCCTCTGCTCTCAGACAGCCTGTGACCAGGCACGGGTCACATTGCTGCCCTGGACTTGCACTGTATGGCATTTGAATGTCATGTAGGGGCACCGTGTATTTCAGTGGCTGTGTCTAGGCAGCCCGAAAGCCACTGAATCCCTCATGTCCACTCTGCAGCCGACATTCACTCAGCATCCTGGAAAAGTGCCCACTGGGGCAGGAGCTTCTCTTGCTCATGTGGACATGACGGTAAGTCCTTCTTGGAGAGGCAGCATCAAGTCATGTTGTTCGTTCTGTGGCCAGGAGGTACAAAGTCAGCTGTTTCTGCTTTTAAGTGATGTGGGCTTAAGGAAGAGGGAAGGAGGAATGAAGGAAAGAAAGGAATTGAGGAGGGAATGAAAGAAGGAGAGGGAGGGAGGGAGAGGAAGGGAAGGAGGGAGAGGAAGGGAAGGAGGGAAGGAAGGGAGGAAGGGACGGAGGGAGGGAGGAAGAAGCCCCATGGCTTTCTTGTAAATAGCAGCTGCCCTGAAGTCTGTGAAGGGCACACCAAGAGTCTGGCTGGGAGGTTGTCAGCTAGGAAACTGTGGCCCAAGTTCGTGGTGAGTGAGGAGTTACTTTCTTCCCTTGACCACTGGAGCAGGATAGACTCTGCCTGCCACCCATCCCATGAAGAAGACTTTCCTTCTGAGTGCCTTGGTTTGCGCTTCAGGGAAGCCACTGACACGTTCATTACCTGTTTCCTGAAGTAGACAGTTAGAGCTCCCTGTCTCAGTGTCCAAAAAAACCAAGGGGCCCCAAGTGCAGAAACAAGGGCTGAAAATGTATGTTTTACGGACAGGAGACAGCCAGCCTGTTTAAGTGGAGGCTTTTTTGGAAACCCCACTTTCCCAGTGAGTCACAGTAAACACAGACAGAGCACACTGCTTCTCTGACACCAGGGCCAGGGCTGTCCTGGGCTCAGAATGAATTAGACCAGCTTGCCTTTTGTGTTCACCATTCTAGCATTTCTTTCCCTGCTTGATTGTCACCACATGTGCACACACATACCCACATACCTGTGCACACATGTACACTTTCTTATTTGCTGACCCTCACAGCCCTGCCATCCCTGGGCTACCAGGCAGACTTTCTGATCTGGAGCTTAACCGGCCCAGACATTGGAAACACCAAGCAACTGGTAGCTGGTAAGACTTTTACCCCATCAACGAGGCTTACGAAAGAGTAAACTTACCTTAATAATGCCTAGTGGCCAGGTTTCCAGGAGTGGGGGACAGCCTGGCGCTGTTTGTAGGGGCTGAAGGGAATGTTTACTGAGGGGATCCTGATGCAGTGGCCGCTGTGACAGCCAGTCAGGAGGTCTTGTCCCCATTCTAAAGAGCGAGAAACTGCAGAGTTGAGAGGACCACAAACCCTAGTGCAGCCGGGTTTTCTGCAGGGGTCTCTACAGCTCAGAGCCTCTAGGCTTTGTCACCTCCTGGGTATTGGAGGCTTCCTCGGGCCCTCAGCACAGCCCACACCTACCAGGGCCAATCCAATCATGTAGGCTGGCCAGGGCGGTGAGCCTCCGAACAATGTATGGGTGGTGCCACCAATCCTTGTCCTCACTAGGAATCCAGTCAGTCATCCCGCAATTCCCCAGGCCGGGCCACAGCTGGCTGTGCTCCTAACATCCCTGCACTGACCAGCAGGTCACCGGTACCTCTAGGAGCCTGACTGTGTGGCAGCCGTGTCTGAGTGATGACTGCCAGAAAGTTCTGGTTTGTTATTCAGACATATAATACGTGCTGCTTTGAAGACAGTGGCCTGCACTGCTGTTGTCCTTCCTAATAGGGGTAGGGTCTTGCCAGGTCAGAGCAGGACCCATCCAGGGGCAGTGACCTGTGCTGATGTCCTTGGCTGTGCTGGATTTGACGAGAACACTCTGTGGTCAGGGGTTTTGCCTTTCAGCTCGAGCTGCAGAGAGACCCTCTCTGTCCTGCTGCTTCCCCAGATTCTGCCCACGGGGCATCCGCATGCCCTCTCTAGCTGGGTGAACTATGTGGGGTCAGCTCACTGTGTAGGCTGCCTCGGGAAGGAGGGAGAGCCTTGTGCTGCCAGGGCCCTAGTTTCCATTTGGCTTCATCAGAGAGTTTCTGACACATACCTACTGCCAGATCACATGTAATAGCTGCAACATGCCACGCGGCTTGTGGCTGAAGTTACTTACAAAAGCCGGGTTGAGGAATCCATAAAGTGTAGGCTTCTCTGGCCTTCATGGGTCGGATTAAAGGGTGTCCTGGCCCTGAGGAGCACCCAGACCTGCAGCTGCTGCTGGCTCCTGAACAACTGGCTCTGAGTGTGCAGAGGCCTGGCTCTGACAGTTGAGCCTACCTGAAGCCCTCTGAGACCACCATCCAGAGCCGGAGGCATCCTACATACCTGCATGCAAGGGGAGGCTGGGCCTCCAGGTCTACTCTGTTGTGATTTCTGCTGGGTTGTGTGACGGTGGTGCATTGGCTATTGTGGGCCTGTTGGTGGACTAGAGTCCTTGATTTTCCTTCTGTGCAAAGTCAGGACTCTCCGGGGCCCTTCATGCCTTAACATCCCAAGAGGCTTGTTTTGTTATTTTCTTCCACAATGCCCTGGAGTTACCATGTTTGGGCGGCATGTTATTTATGGAGAAGTTGGTGACAGGGAGACCCTGATGTAACTTGAATTGTGATAATGTCTATACTTGCTCTCACGGCCTACGGAAGAAGAATTTGTTTTTCTTGATTTGGTTCTTTTCACTTCTTTTTCTTCATGGAGGCTTCACGTAGGTGCATGTGGAGGGAGCTTTATTCAGACAAGTTTCCTTGACATCTCTGGGAGGTCTCTGTTTGTCTGGCTCTGAGAGCATCTGGTGTTTGGACAGCCTCTGGGCCGGGCGCTGTGGGGATGGCTCTGGAAACTGTCAGTCATGTGTGTGCTACACCGTGCACAACAGGGGCTCTGCAGATGATATCCATGTTCTCAGACGCCCAGGGGTTTTCTTTGCTTAGGTTCTCTTTTCTTCTCCGGCCAGAGATATCTTTTCCAAGTAGTAATTGTAATTTTTTTGGTGGAGGGTTATTTGTGATGTTTATCTCAACCCTGGGAATACCTTTTTGAGAGTAGAGAGGCTCTCTGGGATCTTTTCATTTTCTAAATTCTCAGTGTATTTAGGGAATAAATGCATTCCCGAGACTTTCCTGGCGGCTGTTGATAAGCCTGCAGTGCACTACTGATGGTTGGCAGCCCTGTGATTTACCGTCCTCTCCCTAGTGGAAAACCATGCAAACTGACGCCTAAACCCAAGGCGCCATGCACAGTCACTGCTGATCCCAAGTGCTAGGCAAGGCCCAGGTGAGGTGAGTGAGGGAGACCTGTGACCCGAGGTCAGGGAGCTGCATGTGCCCTTCCAGGAACCACCAAAGCAGGAGAGCAGGTGCAGTTGGCTTGGATGGGTTCAGGGCCAGAGAAAGGTGGAGAAAGCATCTGCCTCCCAGTGGCTGTATCTGGGTTTTAATTCCAGTTCCATACTTACCCTCTGTGGAGCTTAGCACTTTCACTTGTAGCGTGGGCACAGGGACACCTTGGTCATAGGCAAGAGGGCTCCCGATCTTGTATGTGGAGTGCCTGATGCAGGATCTGACTGGTGAGGTGGCCCATGGCTGAGAGCTGACAGGCTGTCCAGGGCCAATGGAGGCCCATGGGAGAAGCGGCCTGCAGAGGGTGAAGAGAAGACTTGCAATCTTATGGCCTGATACTGTCCATGGGCAATCCAGGGACAGAAGGCACGGAAACTTCAGGTGACCCTAGCGTGTGTCTGAACCAAGTTCCTAAGTGCATGGTTTCAGGGGAGGGACTTCTTCCTCCCCTACAGAGAGTAATGGAAGGTAAATGGTTGAAGCCAGGCAGGCAGGTGACTTCAGAACCCCATCCTGCCTCTGCTGTGAGAGGAAGGCCACTCTGTTTACAAGCAGTGAGGCTGGACTGTTTGAGGTGTTCTCAGCCCCATGTGCCCTTCTCTGGATGGAGAGCCTTTCCCTCCCTTTAGAGGGCACTGTGTCTGCAGGAAGGAGGTCAGTAGCATGAGCACTTGGCCTGAAGTGTCTTACACGGGTCCATTTCTGCCAAGACGCCCAATGGGGGCCCAACAGCCAGGCCCGTGAGCTAGCCTTCTGTTGTGTGGACACATCAACATTTCTGGCTCTGTCACACAGGTATGGTCAGGGCCCTTTGTAGTTGCATAGGTGTAAAGCGAGGGCCCTGGCTGATGGCTCTTCCTGTCAAGCAGAACAAAGCAATGATGTGGAGGTGATTGTCCCCTCCCCAGGGCTCCAGGAAGCCTTGATCCGCACACTGTGCTGAACAGCACACAGCAAGAGCTCTAGTTAATCATGAGGATTAAATTGTGTTTGTTTTCATTGTAATTACAGCAGAGCAGTAAAATGTGCAGTCTGTGGAGCTGGACAGGCAGAGGTCAAGGATGTTTGCTTCTTGGCTTTGGAGGTGTCAGACGTGTGTGAAATATGCTCAGCCTCCCACCTGTGTGTGCAGCAGCCAGGCACCTCCCATCTCCCAGGGACAAACACAAACAAGTGCATTCGAAGGGAAGGGTGTGCCCAGAAAGAAGTGGCATGGGGCTGCAGGTGGTGTTCAGTGTTCATTGAGACTCTGATGGCTGTGTGCTGGCCAGGCCCCATGACGACAGGTAAAGCTTAGGACTCTTATTGAATTGGGTGTGTATTTAAAATTTGGCTCATTGAGAATCAGTGTAATCGGCAGGCATTTCAAGCCTTTGTCATGGATTTATACAGTGTTTGGGAGGTGGGTCACCCTACTGGTCAGCCTCCCCACCCCTTCACTTATAGTAGGGAAACTGAGGCTTGCCTTTTTTTTTTAAATTTATTAATTGGGCTCTCTGCTGATACGAGACATGTTGATGCATTCAGTGTGGTGTGTATTAAGATCTTTACTGGATGTGTAGCATTCCACTTCATTACATCAGAGGAAGGGCCACAAAGCTCTATAAAACCAGGTCCCCTAAGAGTGGCTAGAGCAGGAGACAGGTCGGTGGCCCGGCTGCTGATGCACCAGCCCCAACGGTGCCAGCAAGCATGAGCAAGCCCACAGGTGCCCTCGGCCTCAGGGCAGGAAAGCCCTGGGAAATGCTTATTATTACAGTGCTGGGGTCTTTCCTGTTATGGTTACAGTTGTATTTGTCTAACAGTCTTATTTAAAGAAGACCAACATCATGATTCTGCATTTAACCATCTGAGGCTTGAAAGCTTGGAGAGAAACCAGTTGTCTAAGTGGTTTGTAAATGGGAGAGATAAATGTCTCGAGTAACCACGGTGGAAAAGCACCAGGAGGGTGGTGCTTTCACTGTACCTGGGGGCAGCCATGCTGATTGCAGGAGCTTTGGGGTTACTGCCTTCAAACTCTGCTTTCGATGCCCTGGGAACCTCTCATGGTGCCTGTGGGGTACCCAAGAGCCCATAGGACAGTGTCCGGAGGCCCCACTCTCTGCAGCCAGGTAAACCTACCCAGGCCCTTTCCTTGCGGCCTCATCCTTCAAAGGTTTTCTTGTTTTATTATTTTACGTAATGTTGTTTCTTTTAAAGAAGCTGAGAAATGAAAGAGCAATTGTATGTCTACAACTTTTGTGATATTAACCTTATTTTGAATTTCTGGTTTACCCCATTTGTGTTGGTGCATTCAAGTTATTATCAGGAGATAATTCTTTATCCGCAAATAGCTTTGTTCTCACTTACCTCCTTGGTTCCATTATTGGAAAATATATTACATTTATATATGTAATGGGCCCAATGATAAAATTATATTTTTATTTTCATACAAGACTTTCTTTTTTCTTTTTTATTTTTTTGAGACAGAGTCTTCCTCTGTTGTCCAGGCTGGAGTGCAGTGGCATGATCTTGGCTCACTGCAACCTTTGCCTCCCGGGTTCCAGCAACTCTTCTGTCTCAGCCTCCCACGTAGCTGGGAGTACAGGTGCCCGCCACCACACCTGGCTCGTTTTTTGTATTTTTTTTTGTATTTTTGGTAGAGACAGGGTTTCACCATATTGGCCAGGCTGGTCTCGAACTCCTGACCTTAGGTAATTCACCCACCTCGGCCTCCCAAAGGGCTGGGATTATAGGCGTGAGCCACCACGCCCAGCCGCAATCACTTTGTTAAATGAGTTAAGAACGGCAGAGACATGTGCATTCATACTATCTTTTATAATGACCCGGCTGTCTTTACTAGTGCTCTTTGTCATTTTATGTTGGTTTAAATTATTATCTGTGGTCACTTGATTTTAGCCTAAAAAAGCTTTCGTTGCTATTTTCTATAAGGTGGGTAGATCAACTAGCATCAGATTTTCTCAGTTTTTGTATATCTGGAATGTGTTTATTTTGTCTTTATTTTTTATAGGTAGCTTTTCTGGTTGTAAAATTCTTGATTGACAGCCTTCAATCAAATAAGTAATGAAATAGTAGCTAGAATATGGAGACTTTAAAATGTCCTCTGTGGATTAGGGGGCTGATGCATACATAGAAAGATTGATTCTCTCAGTTTTATTCCTGGGGAGCCAGGTAGAGAATTTGCTTTTAGGAGGTGGATTTTCATTCCTTGAGCAAAGCTAATAGATGAACTTAGCTCATTCTGCCAGGACAGTCTGTCAGTGGAGAGACTGTACTATTAATAGAAAGGAATGTGAGGCCGGGTGCGGTGGCTCACGCCTGTAATCCCAGCACTTTGGGAGGCCGAGGTGGGCAGATCATGAGGTCAGGAGATTGAGATAGACCTGGCTAACACTGTGAAATGCCGTCTCTACTAAAAAAATACAAAAAATTAGCTGGGCATGGTGGCGGGAGCCTGTAGTCCCCAGCTGCTCGGGAGGCTGAGGCAGGAGAATGGTGTGAACCCAGGAGACGGAGCTTGCAGTGAGCCAAGATCGTGCCACTGCACTCCAGCCTGGGCAACAGAACGAGTCTCCATCTCAAAAAGAAAGAAAGGAATGAGAGCTGGACAAGTCATTCCCTGGTCAGGACACTCCAGAAGCCCTACATGGTTTGCAAAACCATCTGGGCTGTTCCAGCTCCTCCCTGTCTTTAAGCTACAGATCTCAGTCTGTGGGTGCTACCTGTCCACCTCCCCAGGATCCACCTCGAGTCTGTGGGTGCCCCCCATCCACCTCCCCAGGATCCACCCCAAGTCTGTGTGTGCTCCCCGTTCACCTCCCCAGGATCCACTCCGAGTCTGTGGGTGCTCCCTGTCCACCTCCCCAGGATCCACCTCGAGTCTGTGGGTGCCCCCATCCACCTCCACAGGATCCACCCCAAGTCTGTGTGTGCTCCCCGTTCACCTCCCCAGGATCCACTCCGAGTCTGTGGGTGCTCCCCGTCCACCTCCCCAGGATCCACCTCGAGTCTGTGGGTGCCCCCCATCCACCTCCCCACGATCCACCCCAAGTCTGTGTGTGCTCCCCATCTACCTCCCTATATGTCCTGCTGGGCTTCTTACCCTTAGAGGTGCTCGATAGATAGAAGATGGCAAAGTGAATCAAGTCTCAGGGCCAAAGCCAGGCTTTTTGTAAGATCTCAAGGCACGATTTAAAACCATGTGCATGAGCTGACAGTTGGATGTCAGGAGGTCAGGAGTCTAGGTGGTGGTGAATTTTACAACAGAGATGATAACAGCCCCTCCCACTGAGCCCAGTGGATGCTAGATGTTTCCGTAAGGGCTTTCTGTGTATCCTTAGCCAGTGCCCTTCCCAGGCCCACTGGGCGGGCATCTCATTCTTCTGAGGGCCGTGGAGTCTGGCCATCACCTACCGTGCATGCCGCACCCTCCTGAGGCTTTCTGGAGTGTGCTATTTTCCACTTCCTGTTGGACAGACATCTTAAACATCCTTATGTTTCCCAGACATCTCAGTCTGCCTTCCTAGCATAATTCTTCTTGTAAGAAATGTAGGATTTTGTGGGTGGCAGGGGGACTAGGGAACATGCATCAGAGATAGCCGCATGCTCTGTCTTAGAGGCATCATCAGCCTGGGGAACCTGGCCAGCTCTTGTGGACCGCAGTCTAATTGGCCTGCTCCCTGCAGAGTGAGTGGGCTGCTTAGACTTTGCCCACTTGAGGCGTTGCGAAATAGGATGGTGTGTGTTTTATTTTTTTTTCCTTGTTATTTAAGAAGGAACATTGAAGAGAGCCAGGAGGGTTCCTAGTGGAAAGGAAGGCAGGGAGAACAGCTGCACATTAGGATTAAAGGGCCAAGGCAGGACAAGGCCAGGGGAGCTCTGAGGGCAGCTCGTGGGCTGTGTTCGCCAACTGCTGGAGATGGGTGAGATGCGGAAAACAAGCAAAATACTGCAAAATGGAAGAAAAATTGACCTTTCCTGTTATCCATTCTCCTCACAGTTTATCAGATGGTGGAAGGAAACACTGTAATTCTAGAAATAAGCCCCACCCTGACAGTGAGCCCCCACCTCCCAGCGTGGAAATAACCCATTCAGGGCAGTGGCACCCTGCTGCCCACCCTTAGGCTGCTATAGGCCAGTATAGGCTGGGGTCCCTGCAAGCCCAGGTCTCCTTCAGGGCAGGTGTGGCTCTTCCTCTCCCAGATGACTCAGAAAGCCCCCCAGGGGCCTGCATGGGTCCTGCCAGGTGGCCAACGCTGAAACAGAATGTGTCTTTGATTTGGGTTGAATTTATAGCCACAGGTCATCTGATTATAGTCAGAAACTCTGAAGGGAAGTTGCAGGGTTTTTATCAATAAAAAATGTTTAATTTAAAAAAAGAGATTGGCACATAAAAGCTTTTAATATGCAGGGTTGCAAGGGCAGAGAGAAATAATGAGAGGTCCTGGGTGGGTCAAGGGGGTGGACACCACTGAGCTGGGGCATTGAGACCCTGCCAGCACCAGCTGTGCCCAGTCTGAAGTTTCAGAGATTGAAGGAAACTTGAAATTACCCACCGAGCCCTGGAGAAATCCTTGGGAGCCCAGACATTTGCTTATGTGCGCATGTGTGTCATGTGCATGTGTGTGTATTGTGTATATATGTGTATTCGGTGTGTTGTATGTGCATGTGTGCTGTGTGTGTTGTGTATGGTATGTGTGTTGTGCGTGCATGTGTGTGTTGTGTGTATGTGTATTCAGTGTGTTGTAGGTGCATGTGTGCTGTGTGTGTTGTGTATGGTGTGTGTTGTGCGTGCATGTGTGTGTTGTGTGTTGTGTGCATATGTATGTTGTGTGTATGTGTATTCAGTGTGTTGTGTGTGCTGTGTGTGTTGTGCGTGCATGTGTTATTTGCATGTTTGTGTTGTGTGTATGTGTTGTGTGTGTGTTGTATGGTGTGTGTGTTGTGTGTGTATGTATGTATACACAGGATCCACTCTGCATCTGACAAGAGGCTGCCCCAAGCAGGAGTGTCCTCCGATACAACAAGACTCGCAGGAACAAGTCTGAGGACTTGACAAGGGACACCTATGTTTGGGAGTGGTCCCAGAACGGTATCCTTAATCTGCCCCTTCACTGCCTTCAACTCTCATTGTTCTCCTCAATACAGTGAAGTCCTTAAACCACTGGTGACACCAGGGACGTTTTGTGCCTGATGCCCGTCACCGAGACCTTGGAGTGCAGAGCAGGGCTCCCCTCAGGGCTTAGCTCAGCAGAGTCCTCAGCACAAAGGGCAGCTCAGGAGCCAGTGCTCAGCCACAGATTGGGAAGGCTTCTAAGCCGTAGTCAGTGGGCAGTGACACGGCCCACGCTTGCTTCATTAACAGCCTAACAAGAGACAGGGGTGAGCGTGTGCCCACTCGCACATGCATGAGAGAGCCAGGGAGGGAGTCACCTCATGTTATTTAATCACCCTCCAAATATTCAGAGCTGGAGACCACTGCTGCAGACCGCCTCCCACTAAGGACAAGCTGATGTATGTCCCTGAGCAGGAGAGGATGTCTGTGAGCTGGCTTATTTACAAATACGTGTAAGTGGCAGTTCTTAATTTGCAAATCTGTGTCTTTATAAGACTTGAAGAACAAACAATAATACCTGCAGACAGAGGTGGATAAAAGCATTGCTCAGTACTGAGATACATTATCAGTGAAGGCACCCTGAATGCCTCTGGTCTCTGATGGGTATCGCTCAGTAATCAGCCAGGGAGGTGGTCAAACAGGATGGGAGTTGCTTCCGATCGGTGATTTCCCCATGTGTGCTTAGGTTTCGTCATATTTTTTAGGAATCTCCCTTCCTCTGAATAGGAAGTGCATGTAAAGGCACACAATGGAACCAGACATAGCTTCCTGTTAGGTCTGTGGGAGGTCATGGCTGGTGAAAGGGCAGGATCCAAACACAAGCATACCAGGGGAAGAAAACCCAAAAAGACCCCAAAGGTGATCACTGTGCGCTTTGTACAAGTGCTGAGCTTGCCCGAAGAAAGAAAGAGACGCAAAAGAGAAGCAGCACTGAGGAAGCCTGGCTCCCGGGCTGCTTTTCATAAAGACAGAGTCAGTGTTGCTGAGACACAGGTGGAAAGTCTTTGTGCTTGCTTCTTTGATCAGCCCCACTCCCTTCCAACAGAGCCTATCAAGTTTGCTTCCTAATGAGGGCCCCCGAGTGCCGGCTGTGATGGGTGGACCAGGCTGAGGGAGGGCCGGGAGCCAGGGGAGCCACTCCCAGCTGCCACCCCTGAGGTCTGGGAGGCAGGAGCCCCACCCGTGATCCCCTTTCCCTTCTTTTACTCTCCCTTCCCTGTTTCTCAGTGCATGTCAGGGAAGCATCAGACAGAACACAGTTCTGCGTCTGTCCCTGGAGCGAGGCCGAGTCAAGCCCTGTTGGGGAGGGAGAGGCCCTGTGGTCGGGCAATGGGGCCAGGCTCCTGCTGGACAGAGGTTGCTTGGGAGGCCACTGAGGGGAGAAAGGAGCTGCTGCAGCACAGCCACACTCCTGGGCCCCTGGACAGGACAGGATGGGAGAGGACAGAGCACCCCAGCTCTCAGCCCTGCTGCAGTTGTGCGGGTGAAACGGACATCCCCACTAAGGGTCCTTGGACTCTGTGTCCAGTCCTTGTGGGTGAGGGGGTCTTCCAGACTGTCCCCTAATCCCACCTGGAGCCCAGAGAAGGGGCCGATGGGGAGGAAGGGGCTGGGTGGCTCCACTCACCTCCTTTGGTCGTCACTTTTGCTGATGTTTGTGATGTTAAAAGAGATGGAGGGGATGGGCAGGCTAGAATAGGTTTATCTTCCCCAGTGGTTTCTGTGTGGAATGGAAAACCCTGAGCCCTGCCTGCTGAAGTGAGGTGCGGCCCCTTCTCTGGGCTCCAGGTGGGATTGGGGGACAGTCTGGAAGACCCCCTCACCCACAAGGACTGGACACAGAGTCCAAGGACCCTTAGTGGGGATGTCCGTTTCACCCGCACAACTGCAGCAGGGCTGAGAGCTGGGGTGCTCTGTCCTCTCCCATCCTGTCCTGTCCAGGGGCCCAGGAGTGTGGCTGCAGCAGCTCCTTTCTCCCCTCAGTGGCCTCCCAAGCAACCTCTGTCCAGCAGGAGCCTGGCCCCATTGCCCGACCACAGGGCCTCTCCCTCCCCAACAGGGCTTGACTGGGCCTCGCTCCAGGGAGAGGTCCCCCACTGAACAATTTTTAACTTCAAGATGGTGCAGAAGCGATACACATTCAGTAGAATCTTTACTTTGAGTTCCTACACAATCACTCTATTTTTCACTTTCAGGGCAGTGTTCAATAAACTGCATAAGTTATTTAATACTTTATTATAAAAAAAAAAAGGCTTTGAGTCTGATGATGTCGCCTACTATAGGCTAATGTGCGTGTTCTGAGCATGTTTAAGGTGAGCCAGGCTATGCTATGAGGTTTGCCAGGTTGGGTGTATTCAATGAATTTCAGACCTAATGATATTTTCAATTTATGTTGGGTTTATCAAAATGTAACCCCATTATAAGTCAGGAAGCATCTGTATCTTTTTCCGTTTTCTGGGGGACACAAATGTCTGAGGAGGACCTTCTGAGCCCTAAGACATGCCCAGGTGATGAGGCTTGAGGACAGCTCCTCCCAGGCACAGCCCTTTCTCTTGTCCCGCACTGTGCTCTGTCCATGGAGCCACGAGGCACAAGGGCCGCACGTGGATTTTGTGCTGAGTGGCATTGGAAGCGTGGGCATCATAGGCAGTTTCCCTGGGGGAGAGGGACCACAGGCTGAGATTCCTCTCCAACCTTCGCCCTGGGAGCAGCTACTGTGATAGAGCCAGATTCCCAAGTTCTCATTCATGGTATTTTGAAATGACATAAAGGGACTGCCACCAAACAAGGCAGGATAGCAGCAGCCAAGATGGGAAAACCTTGCCTTCCCCCCGGGAGAACAGAGGGAGCCTCCCCACACACCGTGTAATTTCCAGAAAACACTGGTGCTTCTCCATGGCTCTGCTGGCCGACCACATCCTCCTAACCCTTTAAGAATCCAGCCCCCCTTTCTTCTGACTTTAAGCACCAGGTAGTGCTTAAAAGATAGTTGCCAAGCCAGGCGTGGTGGCTCATGCCTGTAATCCCAGCACTTTGGGAGGCCAAGTCTGGTGGATCACTTGAGCCCAAGAGTTGGAGACTAGCCTGGCCAACACGGTGAAACCCCATCTCTACTAAAAATAAAAAAAATAGCCGGACATGGTGGCGTGTGCCTAGTCCCAGCTACTCAGGAGGCTGAGGCACGAGATTTGTTTGAACCAAGGAGGTGGAGGTTGCAGTGAGGTGAGATCGTGCCACTGCACTCCAGCCTGGGTGACAGAGCAGCCGGGAGGGGTGAGGGGAACTGAAGATAGTTACCAAGATACTTGTGCATTTTAGGAATTGGGACCAAGACTCCAGAATGTTCGTGTGCTCAGGCATTTGTTCATTACATCATCCTCAGTCCCAGTGTCCCCTCATCCCCTCCCAGGAAAGCAAAACGTAACTACTACTAATAAGCTGGTTGTACAGAGAATTCCTAGCTGTACAGAAATTAATGAAGCCCTAGGAAAGAGAATGTGATGAAATACTTAATAGATTGCGATTGAAGCCACTGTCTGAAGCTGAAGGAAGCAGGATGCCGTGAGCTTGGCTGCCGTGGGGCAGGGGCACCAGTCCCTCTTCTCTACCCAACCACCCTCCTCCCAGCAGTCTCAGCCCCCACCTGGGGGTGTTGGAGGAGTGTTTGGATTGATGATCAGCAAATTGGGGCAGCATGTGGCCTGTCACAAGGAAGATCTGGGGGGTGAGGATGCTGGTTAGGCTGGAACACCTGAAGCGTAACCTTAAGGCGAGTCTGTGGTTGCCTGAGGTGGCAAGCAGCCCTGTTGGAGTGCCGGGCATGGGGAGGATTGCCATTCAGAGTCAGAAAGCTGCCTAGCGGGATAGGCAGGCTCATAGAGTGGCTGTGATTCCTGCTGTAGGACTGGCTGAGGGTGCCTGCAGCTGCCACAGGGAAGGAAACATTTCTTCTTGTTTCCACTGCCTGAGCTGGGGCTCTGAGCCACTGGACTTAATGTGGACAGGAGGGTGAGTAGAACCCATCCATTCCTCTGTGATCAGCGGTGACAGCCCGGGGCAGTGTGGCCGTTTCAGGTCAAAGCGGACTTCATCCCAGGAGGCCACGGGTGCAGGGCATGACCCAGAGATACTGGGTGCTAAGCAGAGGTATGACATAGGTGTCTTGGCCCCGTATCTGGGCCACGCAGGTGGTGTCTGGAGCATCCTTTGGAGACCGTTCCTGGACTGTTACTCCTCTTATGTAGATTGACCTTTCTCTAGCTGGGGATGTTGGGCCAGGCATACCTGCCCATGGAAAACCAAAACTGTTACAGACAGAAGTCACAGTGACAGAGCGTTGGTAGGATGGAGTGGCCAGGGAACCTGTGAGAGGAGCCTGTACCGACACTGCCTGCCTCACACAGCATCAGGAGGGAGACACCAGCGGGGCCCTCCATGGCTAAGTGGGTTCTGCTTCTGAATTGCAATTTCTTTTATATGTTTATTCCATTTTCTGGGTCACCCCTCATTGAACATTTACTATGTGCCTGGTGATGTCCTGAGTATACATTAGTCTAAGGCGGAGTCAGTGTTGATCCATTCCACCCCAGCTCAAGCACCCAGCCAGCGAACGGGGCGAAGTGCAGGCAGAGAGCCAGAAGCAGTGAGGGTGTGTGCTTGGCTTCCTGGAGTATTTGCTAATGAGCAAAACAAGGTTTGCCGGCTTGAAATGGAAAAGCAACAGGGAACCAGGAATGAATTGCTCCAGAAAAGCCCTGGCCCTGCACCCAGGAGTCTCCTACCTTGTTTGGTGTGAAATCTGTAAACATCTCCTTCCTCAGAGACACAGCTCCTCCCAGGAGGAACCTAGAGGGATGTGCAAAGAAAATCTCAACCCAAAAGCTCAAAACTGTAGAGTAAAAACATTTCACATTTGGCTTTTGGAGTAAGAGTTTTTCAACAATGGATACAGACCATATTGCTGTTCACTTTCCCGTAAATCAACGTGAGACTTTGCTGTCAGCCAACATGACAGCAGTGAACAGAGCCCAGGGAACCCCTCAAACTCAAGATAGTCAAGTTGTAACTATGGCATCCCAGCCAGGACCTTCTGGAGTGGGGACCAACAATGGGGTGAGGCCCCGTGTGGTTCCCAGGATGCCAGAAGCCCCATATCCAGATACGTGGTGGGTGCTGCATTGTCATTTAGGACGAAGGGCCCCCCTCTGCCAATTCACTGCCTGTTTGCACAGAAAGTCGTGTGTCCTCAGTATTGGACTTTTGTGGTATCAGTATTGAGGCCCACAATGTATCTGACTATCTTTAAAATGCTGTACAAATCTGAATTGAATATAAGTATCCTATAACTGGAGTATTGAATGCGGCTAGAATCATCCCAAGGCAGAATTGAGATTCTAACCGCTACGCACACACACTCACAGCCCTGGATCCTCCTTTGTGTGTGTTCTTTCAACATGGTGATGGATAATTTTCAGAATGGGGTCTTTGGGTACATCTGGTATGGGTGAACCATATCTTGACACTGAGTGACATTGGGGTGCTGCCCTGTCCCATCCCTGTGTCATGGCCGGGCCTCCTGCCCCCACCACTCAGGGCAGCCCGTCTGCCTCTGGCCAGCTGTCGGAGCTGGACTTATCCCTCCCTGGTCTGAGGAATAAGATGTACCCTTGGGTCAGAACCCCCCACAGCCCTCTGCAATGACTGTCTGACAGCCTTTTTCCTAGTAAGCTGCTTCTTGCTTGTCTAGGTGAAATCTCTAGCAATTGCCCAACCAAAAACTGGGTCTTGGAGCTGATGGCTACACATCCCCTGAGGGTACCTCTGAAAAGCAAGACCTTTTGAAGGATGGAACCCTGAAGAGCTGGTGCAGAAGCAGGACTGTGCAGGCACCATGAGGGCAAGCACGAAGCCAGCTGTCTGCACAGACCCACCAGCATCCCGCAGCTCCACACTGCTTTCCTGGTGTGTGGGACGCAGGGAGCCCCCTTCGCCTCTAACTGTGTGCTGCACTCACAGGGGCCGAGTAGGGTGTGTTTCTTTTGGTGATGATGTCTACTTGGGCTGAAGGCTCAGAGCGCTCGTTCCTTTGGAGACCCTGCTGCAGGCGAGTGGTGAGCACATGCTTCCGCACAGACACAGCTGCCAACGGTCCTCCTCCACACCAGCGCTGAGTTGTCATGGAGACAATACAGGCTGGGCTGTGTGTGGTCAGCAGAGGGGCACTGGCCCAGCTGGGTGGGTATGTGAGAGGATTTATGAACCAGCATCAATGCATCTCAGTTAAACAGCCCCCGGTACTGCCGCACACGCAGGACGTCAGGCTTGGTGTGTGTGGGTTCCCGGACTGGTGTTCTGTCGGCAAACGTTCTCTAACATCCCTGACCCGGTTCCCTTGTCATGCCAAGACAGTTTCCTAGCAGCCTTAATCATGAAAGGAATCACAAAGGACCCGTATTTTTTCCCTATTAAGCTACTGGAAGAAATTAAAACAGGGAAAGAAAATGGTTACCTTTAAAAAGTTGGTTTTAATTTTACCAGTGGGAGAAAGACCAGTAGTCAAATAGAAGTTGTTTACTGAGTATTTCGGGTTGAAGAGATACTGGTTCTTGATGACCATCTGGATGATTTAGGATGAATTTTAAAATCCGCTGTACAGGAAATTAAGGCAGTGCTCATTAACTAGGAAGATCCTAGGCCTGTCCTGAGAATAATTGCACAGTCGTCTGTTCAGTGCTGCCTGCCAGGCTGGGAAGGCACATGTGTTTCTGTGGATGTATCTGTGGGGCACTCAGGGCCCTGGAGGCAGAGTCTTCCTGAGCTTGTCTGGAAGGAGTGCTTCCCTTGGTCATCCCAAGCTCCATTGAGCCTTAACGCATGGATGAGGGGGGAGGCAGGTCTCCAAGGGGACCCTGAGACCCATGCCTGCCCCCAGGAGGTGTGCGGGGCTGGGCGGAGGAGGGGAGAAGGGAGAACTGAGAGCCTGCAGCATGTGCCAGTGGAGGACCAGGTGAATGCAGACCCCACTCACTGGGCACGTGTTTAGTGAATGCATGTGAGGTGCCAGGTGTCTTGTACAGATGGGGAGTTTTGTGGTGGGACAGGCTTAGAGTCCTCCTCTGCTAGAGCTTATGGCTTCATATGATGATAGACATTAAACATGCGCAACTGCTGATGGGGACACACGTTGTCAGGGACGCATGAGATCTATCACGTTGCAGGGTAGGAGTCACATTTAGAAGGTCATAGATGTCCCTTTCATATGGTGACAGGGTATGCAGGTTGTGACTGAAATCCAGATATGCTGCTTGAGACCAGGCTCAGCATACATGCTGATTGCTTATAAAGGGGTTGCTTGAAGTGAAAGGAAACAAGTAGGCTGCTAGATGAAGAATATGGGCTCTGGTGTGGTAGGACTGGGTTTGGTGCTTGCTTTAGGGCTATGTGACTTTCTGTATGGAAAATGGAATACTAATTATGCTGGCAAGGATAATACTTACCATAGTTCTGGGCTTATAAAAGAGTGCCAGTAATATTACCTCCTATGTGTGATTATTATTAACATTACTGCTATTTTATTATCTTTATTGTCATGTCAAGGAAAATCATTTGTGGTAGTATGTCAAAGGCAACTTGTAGTTCTGGAAATCTTCTAGGATCTGGATTTCTTAGAAAGTTAAAAAGTCATTATTCCTTGGAACAAACATTATGGAGATTTGAGATTTCAAGTTCATTGGTCCTAAACATGTTATCATTTTTTTTGTATATCAAAAGTGAATTCCTAGGTGTGTGCCCAAAAGAATTAAAAAACAGGTGGTCAAACAAGTATACAAATGTTCATAGCAGCCCTATTTACACAGTAGCGAAAAGGTGGGACCAGCCCAAGTGTCTATCAGTGGATGAGTGGATAAACAAAATGTGGCCTGTGCCTGCAATGGACTTTTATTCAGCCATCAAAGGAAATGAAATTGTCATATATGCTGCATCTTGTGTGAACCTCAAAAACATTATGCTCAAAAAAAGCCAGCCACAAAAGGTCACATATTGTATGATTTCATTGGTATGAAGTATCCAGAATAGGTAAATCCATGGAAACAGAAAGCAGATTGGTGGTTGCCATGGGCTGAGAAGAGGCGGCAATGGAGCAGAATTACTTCACGGGGGTAGGGCTTTATTTTGGGGTGATACAAATGTTCTGATAGATAGAGGTCGTGGCTGCATAACATTGTGAATGTAGTAAATGCCATTAAATTGTTCACTTTAAAATGGTTAATTTCATGTTATATGAATTTTGCATCAATAAAAGAGCTAGTTCTAAGCACCATTTATACTGTAATATTTGTAGATTACCATAATGTAAAATTGTCCCCACCATATAAAAATGTTCTAGATAGAGGTAGTGGCTGCACAACATTGTGAATGTAGTAAATGCCATTGAATTGTTCACTTTAAAATGGTTAATTTCCTGTTATATGAATTTTGCATCAATAAAAGAGCTAGTTCTAAGCACCATTTATACTGTAATATTTATAGATTACCATAATGTAAAATTGTCCCCTTAGAACATCTCAGAACAGCTTCCACCATTAAAAAAAAAGAAAATGTGTTCCACGCTTGTCTGCCTTATTATCACCACAGCAAGAGCCTGAGGTTGACCTTTCATGAAGCTTTGCACAATCATCATGAAATGTGGTTTCTCGTACTTTGCTGCATACAGTGAGGCCCCGCAGAGGCTGCCACGTGAGACTGATATTCACCCTACCCTCTCTTGTGATCCAGAGAAGTAGGAGAGCCTAGAGGCACACCAGGGGAAATCAGATCACCAGGCTTCAGTTTATATTTGTGATAACGTTGATAAGTTGCTCAGAGCCCTGCCTGTTGGTTAGTGTGATGTGGCCTGAGGAGGGTTCCGTGACCCTCCATTCAGTTGGACCGACACCGGAAGTCTGCTGTAGGCCAAGGCAGCAGCTTAATCAGGGCCTTATTTATTGATTCTGGGTTGTAGATTGTTCCCGATGACCTAGTTGACTAGAAAGCGTCACAGGAAATGTGCAAGTTGGCTGATGAGCACTCAAAAGAGTGCCCCGCACCCGCCGTGCTTCTGCCCTTTTCCTGCCCTGCCTGGGGAACGGTTGCACTTCCAAGTTCAAGGATTAGCTGAGGTTGTCTGGATGCTTGATTAGCGCGTCCTTTTAAAAGGTTCATTCCTCATCTCGCTGTTTGCCGGGTACCCTTCCTCTCCCGGACAGCCGCACCTGCTTCCCTGTGCTAATGACAGTTTATGAAGCGAGGCACAGTGAGAGGGATCTGAAGCGTTCGCGGGGAGCTGGTAATAGGATCTAGGATTTTCCCTTCAAGGTCGGTTGGTTTTTTGAGTCCACTCTAGGTTTATGGAGAGGAAAATTCATTATAATCTGACATTATTTGGCTATGACCATGGAATGGATTTATAGCCCACGTCATGTGCAGCTGGGTGAGGGGAGACGAACATGCCCCCATTTGGTCTCCAATCCTGGAGAGGATTTCATGGTTCAGTTGGCAGAGAGGAACCCAGCAACCCTTCATTCAGGAGGCAGTGCTCTTCCCAGGAAGGGGGATCTCGGACCCAGTGATGGTAGAAGGCATTCTTTGGCTGAACCCACGAGGGTTCGAGTTAGGAGCAGGCATTCAACTTAAGACCTGAGAAAACACCAGCGTTCTCCCACATCACCATATGTGTGAGTCTGAACGTCCCTGGAGGTGGCATACGCTCATGTCTTAGAAGAAGAAAAAGTTATTTGCTCTAGAAAAGGGTCACGATTAGATGGATATGGGATTTGTCCTTTGAGCTAGGAATGGCATTGATGGCAAATATGTGTCCCGTAGTAGATGTAGCAGCTGTCACTGGGTGATGGCCTGAGAGTGACTGTCAGTCCAGGCCCGTCTGAAGGCTGTGACTGTCCTCCGGGACCCAGGGAGGGCAAGAAGCTTTAGCCCAGGTGTCGCTGCATGGAAGGCCTTGTTCAAGCCACTTAGTGATGTATTTTCTCACCTGGAAAGTAGATGTAATAGTAACTGGAGAAAACTTGTGTTTCATTTGTATATTGTGAAACTAAATGGCATGCTTATTATTGTTTTGCCATGGTGCTTTGGGCTAAGGCGCTGGACAAATCTGAACTGTTACCAGACAAATATTCTAAGTCAGATAGAGACCCTTTTTGGCTTGTTTTAAATCACATTATTCCAGCTTTTGTGATACCTCAGCCTTCTCTGTTGTTTTGTTTCTAGAGAAAACAGTTTTGACTTACATATATATATACTACCTTTTTCCTAAAAGGATCTAAGGGGCCTTATACAAACAATATAGTTAAGCAAGATAAAATAATCTAAATTCACATGGAAAAAAAAATGAGATTAAGAGAGTAGAGATGACCAAGGTTCATGTTTCGGGGAGGGTGTAAGAAGGGGAGTCCTGAGCTGGGGGACTCGGCTTCTCCCTGAAAGGAGCAGTGGGCAAATGGACAGAATCAACAGACTTCCCTCGAGCACCTGTCAAATGGCAGGCACCATGCTCTGTGCTGGGATAAAGCTGAAGTCAGCCCCACGCCGGCGGTCCCTCAACTGTCCAGAGCCCTCAGGACTGTAGGAGGGGGCATGGGGTGGCAGGTCAGCCTTCTGTATCTTCATTACGTAGTTAGAAACAGTTCCCAGAATTTCAGTCGCATCTGTGCCTGGTGTGCCCTGCATTTCGGATGTGTCACACTTGGCCTCTCCCTCACTGTACAGGAACCTGGATGTGACTCTGGAATCAGGATCACTGAGGTTTGCAGATGATGGTTTGATTGGATTTTGAAATGATTATTTTCTCAGTGTCATTTCATTTACTGCTCTTTATGTGACCCCGGCCTCGGTGATGGAAATCAACTTTGTGTTCTCAATTACTACGACTGTATAATTTCATAAGATTTAGTATCTCCCGTGAAGAGTCCTACTTCTGCTAGGACATTGGGCAGCTGCTGCATCTCCGAGCAGTCCGTGGAATACCAAGTGACAGGCGCTGGTCCGTTGAAAGTGCCTCCCTGAGACTTACGTGTACACTGTCGTTATCTATCACCCTGCACTCCTCCGCGTGCGTAGCTCAGAACTGACTCTGAATTAAACAGGCAGTGCTTGGGTTTGGATGTCCTCTCCCACTCAGGGTGCCTCCCATTCATGAGGAGCCCCAGGTGTATTGTGACAACAAGATCATTACCACAAGCGTGGCTGTGGGTGGATGTGTAGGTTTTGGGAAATGATTACTTGGAAAATTAAGTTCTTATACCTGGCAGTCTTACCTCTTAAAAGTGGAGAAACAGTGGCCAGGTAGACTTTGCTGTGAATTACAAGGGCATTTCTTCTGCTGAAAGGCATTTCAGGCCGGGTGTGGTGGCTCACGCCTATAATCCCAACATTTTGGGAGGCTGAGGTGAGAGGATCAGTTGAGGCCAGGAGTTAGAGATCAGCCTGGGCAACAAGGAGACCCTGTCTCTAACAAAAAAAAAAAAAAAAAAAAGCCAGGCATAGTGTCATGCACCTATAGTCCCAGCTACTCAGAAGGCTGAGGTGGGAGGATGGCTTGAGCCCAGGAGGTCTAGGCTGCAGTGAGCCATGATTGTGCCACTGCAGTCCAGCCTGAGTGATAGAGCAAGACCCAATCTTAAAAAAAAAAAAATCAATTTCAGTAATTCACCAGGACTATTTTCTCTGCACTCCTTTGTGGAGGATGTTTCCCTGAGCCCACGGTAGGCACTTTATCGGCAGGGCCCCGTGCTTCAGCCACCCTGGTGCACACATAGCAGCAGGCTGGTGCCCGTAATGGGGGTGGGCCCAGGGGCATCCCAGTGGGGCTTGCCAGTCTGCAGTGGTGATGACACTTCTGAAGGAATGGGATAATTTCATCTAACTTGGTGTTCAGTGTTGTCTGTTCAGCTAAAATAAATGTGCCCGATGAACAAAGACTCATGGTTGATGATGAGGCACAAGGATTCAGCAGAAGGGACAGCCAACCCTGGGGTTACTGGAATGTCGGGCCCCAATGTCACTGCATAGCAATGTATCCCAGGAGTCAGCGGCATATAGGATAAGCACCTGCTATTCACAGTCACTTGTGAACATCTGCCTGGCTTGGCTTCAAGCTTTGATTAGGTCCAGGTCTGCTGAATTTTACCTTCTTTGGACCAGCAGCTTCCAGAGCCATGTCTTCATGGTGAAAGGCAAGTCCCTAGGGATGCAAGCCCATCTGTACCCAACTGAAACCCATGTTACCCTTCACCTGTATCTTGTTTGTGGGTATTGCATCGGCCAAGGCAAATCGTGGGGCTAAGCCCAGGGTCAAGTGTGGGGACGTGCACTCTGCAGAAGTGGAGGGTGGGGATGAGTGTTTGCTGGGCAGTAGTACACCCGAGGCTCCGTGAGAATGTCTACTTTGAGCAGTCAAGAGAAGACACAGATTTTAGACTTGTAGGTTTCCTCATTCCAAAGTTGGTGTGCTTGTACTTGATTTTGAAGTTATCTTTCTTCCAGGGTGATGGGGGAGCATGAAAGTAAGAGGATCTTGGGAACTGCTGTGCCCATTAATTTTATGGCAAATCCACGTATCACCTGGAAAACCATCCATGGGATATTGAGTAGTGGACCAAGAGCTGTGGTCCGGATTCCATGCATACGTTTTGGGAAGAGGCTGACATGAAGCGTGCTATTAGCTTGTCGAGAGCCCTGCTGACTTCTGAATGTGGCTTAGCTCCTGCCACGTCCTTTGTTCTTCCAAGGTTAACTGCTGCAAAGGGATTGCAGTGGCCAGTGGAGGGCTAGTGAAGGTTCAAGCACACTGACAATTAGGCTAAATCGGCAGTGGCAGGTTCTTGCATGGAAGTTGCATCACCTGCTGGAGTGACTGTCCCTTGACCTCCTCCTGTCTACTGGGTCTTCCTCCACCTCACTTTAATGCTGCTATGCTGCTAATGTGAACTCTGAGGCTTTAACTGGGGAAGTCGCCACCGCCCCCTCCATCACCCTTGTCCTACAGGTCAGGGCTGGAATGAGGAGCACTTGCAGTTGCCTAGTGGGTGGGATTTCAAGGAAACGGGATACCTTTCTTCCCCACCCCTTCACCTTTTCCCAGAAATGGTCTCATCACTGTTTCCTTTTGGAATTCTGTCATTGGAATTTCCTGCTTTTGCAGCTCTTGCCAGCTTGCGTTTCTTTTGAAATTCAGTACGCTTGGGAGCAGTGACGCGAAACTTCGCAGACGCTGACCTCGCTGACAGAGCCAGGCCGGGCAAGAAGAGGTCCGGGAGGATCTATCAGGAGTGTGGGGGCTGGTGGGGCCTGCCCTGTAGCGAGGCTTAGGGTATGGGCCCCTGGGGGGTGAGAGAGGACAAGGGATGAGAGTTGGGAGGTAATTGGGGGGCGGTAAGAGGTGGAGGGTGAGGGGTGAGAGGGCCCCAAAAACACACCCCCTGGGCCACGGTTTCTCTTAGGCTGTGCTGCCCCAGGGTGGGAGTAGAGGAGATTCTGGACTTCAGAATGCCAGCCAGGCTCCCCTCCTATTTTTTTCGATCCCAGAGACAACAGAGTTCTTTTTTTCTGCATGTTTTTTGGGGGCTCCTCTTTTCTTGCTGCAATGCTGTCAGAATCATAAAGAGCTGACATCTATAATTAATGTCAGTGGCCTGCACTAGTGAATGCCCGTGGCACACAGAACACCTGGCTGTGGAGAAGCAGCAGCAGGACCTAGCGTGTTGGCACTGGAAGGAAACGCAGAGGCCTTTCCCCTCATTTTACATGCAAGGAAACTGAGGCCCAGAGAGGGGGCCCCACAGCCAGCCAGTGGCAGTGGGCTCTGAGGGGCTCTGGACAGCAGCATCCCACCTGAGTGCGCTCTTGGCTAGGCAGGGTGATGGGGCCCCAGTCTGGTGGACGCTCAGCAATAGGAAGGGGAGCGGTGGGGAATCCCTTCTCGTTCCCGGGTGCTGGTCTACCAGACTGGGGCTCCACTGGGGCCATGGTCCAATACCAGTCCTAGCAGTCATTGAAATATGGGGTTTCAGGCTCCTGATCCTTAAAAACCCTGTGTAAGTAGTCTCCAAGCTAAAAACAATCTACACTAATAGATCTGCTCATCAAAAGATTATTTTGAGAGCATTCGGGTAATGTAAACAACCTTTCTGCTTTGTAGCACCCAGCAGTGAGTATCTGGAGACGTTGGAAATGGGGCTCACCCGATGAGGGCTGTGAGCATGAGCCTCGAGGGCGCTGCAGGGTTCATCTCATTTCTCTCTTCATTTATTGAGCACCTGCTGGATAACAGTGGTCGGCTGTTTTATGTCCGTTGCACATTATTGCATACCGTGTCTAATAAGCCTGCAGAAGTGGGTGCATTATCCTCACTGCAAATGTGGAAACTAAAGCTTGGTACTAGGAACTTGCATCAGGTTCCCTAGGTGGCAGTGGTGATGCAGAACACACACAGATCTGCAGACCTTAAAGCCTCACGCTCCTGACAACTGAGCCATGCTGTCCCCAGAGCCGACCTTGTATGCCATGACAGGGCCAGAGAGAGAGGACTGGTTACTTACTGCACACCCTGAGAGACAGGAATGGGCACAGTTGTCACCTATGCCATAGGAAATGGAGTGCCACCTGCACAATGCAGTGAGTCACGGTTCTCCCTGTCCCTCCTGCGACCCCAGCTTCTGCCCTGGGCTGCTGGAGGGCACACTTAGGGGCACAAACACACCTGACAACAGGTTGTGGGTTTTGTTGGGGTGGAGCACCCTCAGACCCCTCTTGCCTCTTCCTTCCCCGGGCCCCCTCCGTTATCCATCAGGAATTCTACTCTTGGGACTTGGAAAGTGAGGAGAGGGAAGGACTAGCTCTGCCGATGTGACAGTCTCAGAGCAGGATGTCCCTCTAGTGTCCTGCATCCAGCACACGCACAGCACGTGTACTGGAGGCAGCTCTTCTGGTTCTGACTCTGTGGGTGCCTTTCACCTGCTGGTCCTCAGCAGAGCATGCAAAGGGATGAGGGAGGGTGATTCACTGTGGGAGAGTTAAGGATGGGAGCCTCTGGGATCGAGCTCCAGGTCTGCTGTTTGGTAAAGTGCTTTACTTAATTTGAGTATAAGTGTTTAGAGTGAGCAGCTGCTGAATTCCCCACAGTTCTTAGATTCAGGGTAGAGGAAATCAGAAGAGTCCGTATCTGATTTCCATGATGGTGGAGTGGGTGCAGGCCCAGAGAGCAAGAGCAAGCCTGCACAGAGGTTCTGTGCCAATGGACACACTGACTGTCGGGGGCACGCTGACCATGGGAGGGTGTTGGGGAGCACACAGACCCCCAGCGGGCTAGAGCTGACGGTTCCCACTGAGAGGGAGGCAGAATGTAGAGATGGCCATGTGGCAGGAGCTGAAAGGCCTGCCTGGCTCTGTGGTTTGTAGAGCAGAAGCCCAATGGCCGAGCGCTGGGCCAGGCTTTCGGGATGCTCCAGGGCTCAGGTTCAAGATGCTACATCTCTGCTTGGTGTCAGAGGGGATGCTGGTGGGATATGAGTGGGGGCTGCATGGCGAAGCCTGTCTCTAGTTGCATTCTGGCTCAGGGAAGGTGGGCTTGCTTCCTCCCTAAGGAGCAGTTTCTGATTGATGATGGATAGCAGCTATTTTTCTTTTTATCTTGTTGCCATGAGTGTTTATTGGGGTTAAACCTGCATCTTTCCTTTACACATTAATGTAGGGAGATATTGGCTTTGAGAAATGAGTGTAGATCAGATTGACTGTTTAGTCTAACGTGTTCATAATTGGTGCAAGTTGTCTGCATTTTCTTAACCAAAAAAATCTACCCCAGGGGAAAAGTGGACTCTGGTTTTGCTGAGATACCAAAACATGGGTGTGAAGTAACTGGGAGAAGCTCTAGGAATCTTCTGGTCCTGCTCCACCACTGCCAGGTCATGAGCACTGCAGGAAGGCCCGAGGGTCACCAAGACGCCGGCCTGCCCTGCGGTGGGAGGACAGGGGAGGGGTGGTACTGCCCTGTGCCTCAGCTGACTGCAGGGCCTGGGAACACTGGCCAGGAGAACGGCGCACAGAGCCAATGCACGCACTCCACCTCTCGCCTCCGTGGTGGGAGACGTCCGGGCACCCTTGTTTGCTTGGAGCACTTCACTTAAAGTGGGTCTGGCTGGTCATTTTCTTGCACTTACCAGCTTTATGGCTTTGTTTCATAGTTTAGTCCTCAGAACGGCCAAAGGAGAAAGCTGCAGAAGAGCTCACCAGGAGGTAGACCATGTCTGTGTCCTCCAGGGCTGGCAGGCAGGAGGAGGTGGAGGGGTAATGGTCCTCCTGTGAGGAGAGGAGCTATGGATGGGGAGTCTGATGGCCCCTGTAGACTCAGGTGACAGTGAGAAGGAGAAACTCAGTGTACCAATGGTGGCATTGGGGCTGGCTTGTTACTCTCCCTGGGTCCTACTCCCTCACGTGGAGGAAGGGGTGACTGCTTGGCATGGGTTGGCAAGGACTGTGTGAACTGTGTATGCAGACAGAAGGTAAGTCCAGGCTTGGCCAGGGCCAGAGTCATGGGCAGCAGCGGTGATGATGGCAGATGATCAATCCTGAAAGGTAATAAAAATGCCCAGGGTACAGCCCAGAAATGCCTGTGATAGTCCCAGAGGTGCCTGGAGCATGCCTCTGTTCGCTCCCTCCAGGCCCCAGCCTGGCAGTCTCCCGCTCTGGGTGCTTGGGCCATGGCCACAGCCTTCCCCCTACTTAAGGCCTCTGTTCCCACTCCCCACTTGTGGGCCTGCTGGACACCTGCTCCCCTGCTCCTTCCTTGCCACCCCATTGCCAGCCTCTGCCAGGCCTCACCTCACTGCGTTGAAATTGAGTGTTTTGGTGGCCAGTATTGAGCTCACAGAGGGAGTGGAGCTTTGCTCCCCTGTGGAGGAGCACTCAGAAATGCTGGTGACCACAGAGACCCCTGGTGTTGTCCACAAAGGTCTCCAGAAGAGAGTAGGGGAGGGATGGGCCACCCAGGGCCGAGGTAAGATCCTGGTGAGCAGGATGGGGGCACACTTCAGCCCCTTCCTAAAAGCTGGGGCTGAGGGAGAGCGCTGCAGGGAGCTGTACTGTACTGTGATTCAGTGCACATGGGGACCTGGAAGCAGGGGACAGTAGCCCCCTTTTGTGGTCAGAAAATTTGAGAATTGGGGATGCTAAATCGCTGGCCTGAGCCACAGAGGTGCTACGTGCTGGATTTGGGATTTGAACTTGGCTCTCTGCCTGGCTCCTTGTGTTTGTTCTCTCTGCTCCCTGGGAGGATTTGCCAGTCTTGCTGCTGAGCCACTGGGGATGCTGGGGAGTGAGTATTCTATATGCATCAGCTGGTGAAGCGCTTATCAAATGACCCCCAGATTCCATCTCACTTGGGGAGGCCGTGTTTCCGCCTCCCTCCTGTCCCCACACCTCTGCCCGTGGGTGTTTTTCCAGGAGAGCTTGCCCTGGGTAGGAAAGCCGAGGGGAGGGTGGCATTGGGCTGCCTTCTCACTTGCTGTCACCTCCCTTGTCCTGCCCCCTGGCCTTCCCAGATCCACCGTAATGAAAGACCTTGAACGAACACATCCCTCAGGTACTCAGCCCAGGGTCTTACAGAGGGGCGGTCCCAGGGGAAGGGGGTTGGGGCCTGCAGTTTTCTCAAGTGTGGTGTGACCCTCAGGAATTTCTTTTTGGTGATCTTGTCATTTTGGTGGGTGTTCATTTCCTTGAGCATCTTCACTGTATTAGTAGCCATGAGTATTACTGAAAGGCATTTTTATTCTTAAAGCATTCAGGGACTGATAGCAACCAAAATTATCAGACAAGCTGCAGGAGATGAAATCAATGGAATTTGGCAATTGTGGGGCAGGACCTTATTCCCAAAGGTGGCTGGTCTAGGGCGTGTGGACTGGGAGGCAGGCATGCAGAAGGGGACACACCCCTCCCATCACTCTCCTCTCGTCCAGCCTTGGAAGCCACTGGAGTCACATCTGCTGCAGGAAACCCTGTGTTTGAATTATGTGTGGAGCAGTCACAGGGTGGTTTTGGCTGGATGAAGGGCATAGAGTGGCATCTAGAAGTGCATGGGAGACCATTGCCAATGTCATGGGTTAGACCATGTTTTTGAGGCTTTAGTGATTTTTTTGAGACCCTTCCCAGTCTAGGCCAGGCAGATCATCTTCTGTGCACACCTCTGCAGGTGAAGTCCCCGCATGGCTAAGCACATGTGTGTGGAGTGTGTGTGCTTAAGGATGTGTGGCCTCGTGTCAGATGACATGTGTGTGGGGTGTGTGTGTTTAAGGATGTGTGGCTTCATGTAGGTTGATGCTCTTGAACGTGCTGACTTTAAAAAATCCACACTGGGCTCGTCTGCTTCCCTGATGACAGAGTTTGGGAAACTAATGAAAGACATTCTGGCCTTGTGCCATCAGAAGTGAAGTCAATGTGGGGAACAGCTGCCTCTGGGAGGACGTTGTCTGTGCGCTGTGCCGCGGGGCCTCTGCTCCATGGCCGGCCACACAGCCCTGTCCTGGAAGAGGCCCAGGCAGCTGTCACCCCTTAGCCCAGTCTGGAAAGAGCCCAGGGTCTGGAGTAGGGGTGACAGTGAGGCTTTCTATGGAAGCTGCTTTAAAGAAGGAACAAATTGAGCCTGGCACTGGCCTTCTGGTTTTGGAGACTGAGTTGCCCTGCCCTGTGCTTGCAGATCCACTCAGTGTGAAGGGCAGGACAGCTTCCCCTTTCCACACCTCCTCATAACCTCCTGGGAAGCTGCTGAAATACAGGTGTTCATGGTGGGGTTAAGCCAGCTTGTGAGTCATTAGCATGCCTTTCCACGGCCAACGCACAAAACTTTTGTCTTAATTAGACTTGAGGCACAAACCGCTGATTCTCCAGTGCAGTGTGCCTGCTGTGCCGTGCGTTTTTGTTAGTGTGTCTGGACGTGGTATTCATATATTAACAGTGCATGCTGGGGCACTTGGACTGCAGGGCAATCGCTTGCCTGGCGGTGGGAGCCCAGAGGCTGAGGTGGTGCGTCATGTTCTGGCCACGGTCAAGCCCCGGAGTGTGTCTGTGCTCTGTGGGGAGCCTAACCTGTCATCTGTGTCAGTCCTCTCTGAGTGTCCTATGGGGAAAAGTTCACTTGGGGCTCATGAAAGCTTGCTTTTGCATCTGTCCCTGAGCCTGGTCCAGTGTGAGCAAGCTGATGCCTTGTGGAACCTGGATCCAGACCTGGCAGGGTGTGAGTCTGTGTGTTAGAGAGCATCCTCCTTCCAGTCCTGGCCTTGTTGGCTTCACTGCCTCTGCGTGGCTCCAAGCCTGACCACTCCCTTCCTCCCATGCCCCCAGCGTGCCTCCTTCTACTGCATTCAGATTTTTGTCCACTCACCCGGTTTTCCTCTTTTCTGCCCTGGGTTCTGAGGGTCCATGGCCTGCAGGACAGTTTGCCTAGGATAAGCCAGGACACATCAGAGGCTGGTGGAAGCCTGATCTGCTGCTTAGAATCAATGGTGTTTCTGACATGGAGAGGTGGACATTCAGGTGCCTATCATTACATGGCAGTAGGAAGGTGCTTGGACCCTGCAGGCCTGGTGCTTTGTACCTGTGGATTTTCCAAGTCACTTTATTCAAGGATTTCATTTCACTTTCAGTTCTTAAAGTAAGGGCCTGGCAAAGGGATAGGCAGCATTCTGTTTCTCTGAGGGAGGTAATGCTCTGCCATCAGCAGATTTCCTTATGATGATGGAAAAGTGTGGTCAAGGGATGTGTTTGACCCTCCTGTAAGAAGAATGAAGGTGTGCTGCCCACGCAGTGGTCACTCCAGGGGGCCCTTGGTTGCAATTCAAAGGCAAGCAGGAACCTGGAGGCCCAGAGGGGCAAAGGGCATGGGGCTCAGGTCCTGTGGTCACTCAGCACATGCTCTCTCAGCTGCACCACAGTCCCGCACAAGGCCATCTATGCTTATCACCTGGGTGCAGAAGACCAAGTCACTAAAACCCCAGAGCCAGGGGTTTGCTCCAGGTGGGCCTGGACTTTCAGCTAAGGCCCCTTCTGGATTGGCACATGGTGAGGGGAGCTTCCACACCCATGATTCTAAATCCCAGGAGCTCTGAAGCAGGAATCTTTTCCCCCTGTTTGGCATAGCTCATCTGCTAGCAAAACCTGCTTTGAGCTACCAGGATTCCCAGTACCTTTGGGAGTGTTGGGTTTCCCTACAGAGATGTGGTGCAGAGTGGACGCTGCCCCATACCTCCCGGGAGGAGTGACATCTCACAGGGCCAGTAGCCATTCTACCTTTCCCAGATCCAAACTTCTCCAACTCTAAATTCGTTGACCGGTCTGTCCCCAGAGAAAGCAGTCAATGCTGTGAGTCTGCATCTGAAAAGACAGTGAGCATTTGTGGACCCTGCCCAGGTGGTTCCGCCATCCTCCACAGACTGGCAGCACTGAAATGGGACGTGCAACTGTCCCTGTGCTCAGCTCTGCACTGCTCTTCCCTCTCAGCAACTTTCTGATTTGCATCCATGCTTGCTCTCCATGTTTCTGTGATCTCATCTGTGACATACAGATGACAGCCATGGTATTGGCCTCATGGGGGGTTGTCCAGAGATAAAAAAGACCCAGTGATTATATGCCACAGAATTTTGCATCCAAAATTTGCATTTTAAATTTTTCCAAGGGACTTTTTTCTGCTCGGGTCTAGCGAATGGCCCCTTGGTCTCTCCTGTGTAGTGTTTTGTGGTCACAATAACCCTGGATTCCTGATGCCCTGGTGGAGAGGCGATACCAGTGTCTGCAGACCATAAGAAAGTACATCTTGACTCTGAACCACAGCTATAAATAAATTGACATGTTTATCTGTGGGCTTACAGTGACATATAAAATCTTTTCTTGAGGTGCTTAGGTATCTCTAGGCTACCTGAGATACCTAAGAGAGATACCTCCCTTCTGAGAGCACCAGGTTGGGACACTACGCTCAGGTGACTTCCATGCACCCTGCAGAGCCACCCTCCCCCTTGACCCTGTTGGTGCTGGAGACTGCATCATCTGCACTATATACCCAGGCGCAGGTGGTTGGATTTGTCCAATGGGAGGCGGGAGGGGAACTGTGAGATCAGGGTGTTCCCCTTCTGGGCCCTCCCTCGGATCCTATCAGAGGCCTCAGATCTCATCAGAGGCCCTCTGCACAGAGCTCTTCTCTGTGGCCTCTGCAGAGCTTTTTGGCCCTTCCCTTTCAGGCCTCAGATATTAAAGCTTCGCACTGTTGCCAGTTTTAGGGCGCTGCACTCTCCTGTGTGCAGTTTCCTAAACCCCACTCATAGTCCTATAGTTTTTCTTTTGCTAACTCCCCTTAGTGACCCAATTAAGTGTGCCACCTCTCTACATCCAGGACCTGCCTGTTCAAATAAGCAAGCCAGAGAAAGGTTCAAGTTCTTATTTGAAAGGCGAAGTGAGCCCTGGCATGGGCCATCCCATGGCCTTTTGGCTGACTGCCACCAGCAGGTTGAGCTGTCCCATTGTCACATCACTAGCCTTAATATAGTCTCATGCCCTGAAGTTGTCTTGTTTGCCCACAAGACAAGGCTATCAGGAAAATGCTGTGAACCTTGGTTTCCAAGAAGAACTCAAACTTAGATGCGATGTGTTTGCAGCCATTCAGAATAGGTGCAAGGATCCAAATCCCTGGGCCTCAAGAACAAAGAAAGTTAAAAACCGAGAAGACTGTCATTAACTGTAATTGCTTTTGCATAACTCCTTTCAGAGTTATTGCAGGCATGGAGTCCGGGGAGTTGCCCATAGTTCTTAATGTATTAGGGAACAGGAACACTCAGAGGTATTCTCATCTAAAGACCAGTTCACAAAGGAGGCATTTGAATGTGGATATGCCAGCTTTAAAACCCGATAAAGCCAGAAAGTATGAGAGCCCACAGAGATGTCATTAAGGAAATTATTTCCTCCCAAAATAGAGGCACCCCAGGTGACCTCTCAAAACAGAATTTTTGTCATGTTGGTCTGGAGTCACCTCCATTTCCTTTCTGTTGAGAATTGTTCTGTTTCCTGACAGCACACTGGGATTTTTGCAAGGCAAGTCATTGTCACCCAAGGAGACTGACTTCTTTTCACTCAATTACGTTTTTTTCTCTTTGCCGGGAGCCTGGGAGATTGCTGGACCTGACCCCTGTCTTAGGAACATGGGTAAAAGTTGTCATGATGGAAGACACATGGCTGGGACAGCAGATGGCTAGAAAGCTACTACAGGAGGACTCAAATCACTTTCTTATTTAGTAGCTTCTGGAAATCTTTATGCCCATGTGGTAGAAAAACAGATGGGTGTTCCGTAAAGAAAGCGGCACCAGTGTCTGCAGAGCATAAGAGATTGCATCTTGACTCCAACCCATAGCTATGAATAAATTGACAAATTTATTTGTGGGCTTATCAAGGACATAAAAAATCATTCTGGCTGGCAAATGAAAATGGCATTGTGTTGCTCACTAACATTCGTTTGTCAACTGTTCCTGGAATAGGTGCTAAATTATAACTGAGGAGCTGGCGTTATAAAGCTGAACTGGATTTTCCAAGCTGTCATATGAAAAGAAAATTATTAACTATCTCCTCCTCCATCCCCTGTCTCTCTCTCTCTGCAGAAAAAGCCCCTTTCTCTGCTGTCATATGACTTGGACTGCACGCTCTATGTGCACACGGTGTAATGAATGCCACATTATCACCCACTGGCTGGGGTGAGCCTTCTTGTTATTTATTTCCAACTGGAACAGGATTTCACATCCCATGCTCCCACACAAAGGTCTTAGAAACAACCATTTCAGACAGTTCCTTGCATCAGAGTTTTAGGGTACTCTTCTGCACACAAACTGTTGTTGGAACATGAGCTTGGATTTCTTGATGCTACATGTCACGGATTGGCAGGAAATGGTCTGGGTGGTGCTGCTCTTATACGCACTCTTGGTCAGACATTGTGTGTGGTGGAAATCTGTGTAAGGATCTTAGCAATTATGGGGACCATGGTGTAGCACTGGGATATCTTACTTTTCACTTAGATGTCTCTGCTTTTGGTTTTGAGACATCACGTGGAAAGCTATGTTGGTTTTCATCCTATTCCATGGCTCTCTGGTGTTGGCAGGCTGCACTTCATAGCATAGAAGATGAAACATGATATGACTTCAGGAACGCATGCTGAGGGAAGATGTGTTGTCATGAAAATACACTTTTTTTTTTAAGCTGGAAACTGGGTGACAGTGAAATCTTAAAAACTGGGGAAATCGGGAAATCAACTAACTTTCTCAGATCTTGGTTTCCTCATATTGTGTATCGCATTGCGGGTTTGAACCAGAGGATTGCTGAGGTTCCTTCCAGCTCTGCTTCTAGTTCTTAAATCCAAAGCCTATGGGGCTCTTGGAGTAGCTCAAGGCTTCTGATCTTTAAGTTGCAAACAGACCACTGGGGGGACCTTGTTAAAATGCAGATTCCGATTCTATAGGTACAGGGGGATGCCTGGAATTCAGGATTAACCAAGGAATCTCTCTTGTGATGCCAATGCTGCTGGTCCGTGGACCACACTTTGATTACCACAGATATAGATGACCAAAGTTGCATGGTCCTGGATGAGCCAGATCCCTTCTTTGTCCGGGTGGCTTAGGTCTGGGTGGCTCTTTCATATCTTCAGACACATCACATCATTCCTTCTCTTTGTCAGTAAAGACAGACAAGGAAAATGAAGTGAGAACTTCTCTTTCTAGTAATATAACACATTGCCCCCAGGCACGTAATACATACTTATTAGAGTAAATGAGTGATAAGAGAAATTAGTGTGATCAGGGATGAATGTACCATAAATACTCAAAGTCCCTTCAACCTGCCACACACGAACACACACATATATGCATGCACCAGATTTCATTACCCGGAATCCTCATGTTCGTATTCTATAGCGCCCAACTTCTATTTTCCTCACTGTCTCCTACACATATTATGCCTAGCTAGGCTATGTCCTCTGACTATCCTTTGGCCCGCCCAATGCCTATCATTTTCTAGATCAATGCAAGTCCTAAGTCTTCTTGAAGCCTCTGGATTCCTCCAACTCAGACGCCCTCCCTCCCTGTTGTATCCATGGTCTTTGGGAGCAAGGATGCAGACCCAGACCTGACTGCTGCACCTGCCCAGCTGCACTCAAGGGAGGTGCTGCTGTTACACCCATACCTTTCCTGGGCTCAGGACTGGGCTTCAGAGCCTTTACAACACAGCACTCTTGATGGCTTCTAACAACTGCCTGAAACATCTTTTCCATCCCTGATTTAAGGCTTAAATATTATTTTTATTCTTCATGTATATATTCTCTTCCTGTTTTGCCAGATGGTAAATTCGTTGAGAATAGCTGCTTTTTACTGTTTTCCTGGGGTGCCCGGCAATATGCCGGGTACATAGTAGGTGCACATTAAATGATGAGCTGACTGCCTGGAGCAGCACTGAGTCATACATTCTCATGTGCTGGGGTAATGCTTAACACAACAAATAATCCCATAGCTTCCTTGACCCCAAAGGTGTCCAGAACCAGTCACTTAACAGCTGAAATGGACCCTGATTTGGGGCACTTGTCTCATGAACGTGGGGAGAGTGAGAGGGCACCATCTCACATGATTCCTTTGAAAATGCTGTCAGGATATTATGGAGAAATGCCAGAAAGCAACAACAGAAGGCTGTTGGGAGAAAAAGAAACAGAGTAATCTCTTTTTTTTTTTTTTTTTGCATTATGCTTGAAGGAGGTTGTTTGCTCTTCAGTGTTCTACATGCAGCTGCCTCTATTGCTTTTGGTTGGACCAGGCCCATCTGCCCAAACAGTGAGTGGGGATTATGCATCTCAGTTCCTGCAATCTCGCCTGGCTGCCGTGCAGGAGTCAGATGGTAGGGCCAGGAGGACCGGGCTCAGGGCCAGGGGCCTTCGGGCACGTGCTGCGGAGGAGCGCTTGTGAGATGCACATGCCATGTCTGCAGCCGGCGATGCCCTTGGAAGAAGCTCCTGCCACTGTCCCTGTGATCTGCTGAGCCCAGGCAGCTCCTCGTGGTGGGGAAATGTGTGGAGGAATTTTGGAAGACTGGATATTGTTCCAGTGGGGTGTGAGATCCTCTGGCCTTAAGTCGCTCCTCTTTGCTCCTCTTTGTCTCCCAAGCCAGGCTTATCCGCAGGTTTCAAAGTGGGGAACCTGAACTTGGTAAGGTCTCCAGTTTCAGGTGACTGTTGTGTCTCAGCTCTGTCAAGGAGCAGCTCCAAACTGAGCCATATTTCATGCCTTCTCAGTCTAAAGATAATATACTTTTTTGTTTGTTTGTTTGAGATGGAGTCTCGCTCTGTTGCCAGGCTGGAGTGCAGTGGCACAATCTCGGCTCACCACAAGCCCTGCCTCTCAAGTTCACGCCATTCTTATGCCTCAGCCTCTCGAGTAGCTGGGACTACAGGCGCACGCCACCACGCCCAGCTAATTTTTTGTATTTTTAGTAGAGATGAGGTTTCACCGTGTTAGCCAGGATGGTCTCGATCTCCTGACCTCGTGATCTGCCCGCCTCAGCCTCCCAAAGTGCTGGGATTACAGGCGTGAGCTACCGTGCCTGGCCCCAATATGTATTTTTAAATGTTTCTTTCTAATTAAAAGCATCATTTATGTTCTCTACAGAAAATTTGTAATGTATAAATGTATAAACATAATATTTTTAAATAGGAAATAAAAGTTGCCCTTTTCAGAATCCAGAGAGTCCCCTTGTTAGTGTATTGGGGTTCCACATATGTGTTTGTTTTTCAAACATGGCTGGGATCATATAAACATGAAGTTTTGTATCCTGGTCTTTTCACTTAATGCTATGTTTAATTGGAATATTTTCACTACACTAAAATGTTCTCAAAATAGGATATTTCATAGCTGTGGAAGAAATCATTGCGCATATTTCCCATGATTTCTGTAACTGTTCACCTATCCGACGTTTAGCTTGTTCCAGTTTTTCTCTACTTTAAATGACATCATCCCCTAGTTTCACATTGCATTCCCTGATTTCTATTTTGGGCATTTTTCTTTCCTCTTGCCAATTTTCTATCTATAGACTCTGCCTAGAAAAGCGTCTTTTTGGGATGGTGCTGAGAGGAGCACAAACCGGCCTGGTCCATGTAACAGCAATTTGACATGTATTTATTCATTTTTTATTTTTTTGAGATGGAGTTTCACTCTTGTTGCCCAGGCTGGAGTGCAGTGGCATGATCTTGGCTCACTGCAACCTCTGCCTCCCAGGTTAAAGCGATTCTCTTGCCTCAGCCTCCCCAGTAGTTGGGATTACAGGTGTGCACCAGCATGCCTGGCTAATTTTGTATTTTTAGTAGAGACAGGGTTTCACCATGTTGGTCAGGCTGGTCTCGAACTCCTGACTTCAGGTGATCCACCCATCTCAGCCTCCCAAAGTTCTGGGATTACAGGCGTGAGGCACCGCACCCCAATTTGACATTTAAATGGCATCTGTCAGCTGCAGTTCAGGGAGGGTCCCTGCACAAGCAGGAAGGACTGTCTCGCCATGACACTGCAGGGGACACACTAGAAGGAATGGGACACAGGGACAGAGCTCCGCAGGCAGTGCCCTGGGCCTCCGATGGTGCTGTGTGGGGCCCTGCAGACAGACTCAACTGCCTTAGGGCACCCGTAGGAGGGAGGACAGAGGGATGGTGGAGGGAAAGCCTTCTGCTAAAAATACCCAGCACTGCACTGCGAAGGAGTTTGGATGACAACTTGTAGGACACAGAAGTGTCCATTTGTGTGTCATCAGGGGCCAGAAAAATCTGGGAAAGGGGCTGCAGCCCTGTTCTCTTGTCTGGACTGATCTGGACATTGAGTCCCTGATGTCCCAGGCTACCCCAGTGGTGACCGGGCTGCCTGCCCTACCCTGCCCCCTTCTCTCTCCACTGCCAGTGGTGGGTCAGCCCCCATGTCAGGCAGTCATCCTCTGTCCCCTGCATGCACTGACCACTAGAAAACAAAGGGTGTGAAGCCCATGCCAACCTGGGAAGCCTCTTCCTGAAAGTAAGTCAAGTTTCCAAGACTCCTTCATTTGTCTTTGGGCAGGGCCCTCTCAAAGTGGGGATGAGTTACATCGGAAAGTGAGTGTCCTGTCCTAGCAATGTTCATGTTGGCTGTCAGCCTTCCCTGAATCACCTGCTCAAAGCCATGTGAACAGGGTGCACCCTCTCCCAGCTGTAGGTGAACGCTGGGGTTTTGTTACAGATCAGGAGTCGGGAATGCTGGGAGCCGCAGCCCAGGTGTCTTGCTCCTCTACCTCACATTTCCCTCCTGTGAAACAGCCTGAGGCTTGTTGCCGAGTAGCCCTGACTCTTTACCAATGGCCGGCGCCCTCCTCTATGTTCTCCAAGAGCTTCCCTGGGTGGGGGTCTAGCATCCAGGGGGCAGTGCTTGGCCGAGCAGCTGGTTGTGTCACATCCCTTCTTGGAATGGTCTTTTCTCTGCCTGGAAAGTGACCTGGATTCTTCCTTCTGACATGTAAGATGGAGCTCTGTTGTGGTTTATGATTGCTCCTTGGGCCCCTCCATGTAATCAGTTTACTCTGCCCGAAAGTCTTTCTTCCACTGTTTCAAAGGAGGAATTTGTATGTCACATACAGCTCCTTGGTGGGGGATTTTGCTGGAGACATGGGGAGCTGCTCTGAAGACAGTGTCCTGCCTGTATAAAGAATTGCTGTGCCGTGTGCGGTGGTCATGCCTGTAATCCCAGCACTTTGTGCAGCCAAGGCTGGTGGATCGCTTGAGTCCAGGAGCTCGAGACCAGCTTGGTCAACATGGTGAAACCTCATCTCTACTAAAAATACAAAAATTAGCCGGGCATGGTGGTGGGTGCCTATAGTCCCAGCTACTCAGGAGGCTGAGGCACAAGAATCACCTGAACCCAGGAGGTGGAGGTTGCAGTGAGCCAAGATCACACCACTACACTCCAGCTTGTGTGATAGAGGGAGACTCAGTCTCAAAAAAAAAAAATTAATTAAAAAAAAGGTAAAAAAAAAAAAAAGAATTGCTGTGAGAGCCATCCTTGCATTCTTCCATCTGATCATCATAGGCTTGAGCACCCTGCTGGGTGATGTGGTGACGGGGCTGGGCTCAGCTGGGAGGAAGACAGACACAGCCCTACAGGGGAAGCTAGGGCCACACCCAAGAAAGGGGCAGTCACGACCCGAGTGGGAGGATGGCTCCAAGTGAGGAGGTACCGACTCAGCCCAGGCTTAGCCAAGCCTCTGCCCCAGAGCTGGGCATCTTGGGGTGCACAGAGGAGGTGCTGCATGAGTGAGAAAGACTTAGTGAGGAGAGAAGCAGGGAGGGAAGGAAGTGGGTGGCAGTGGAAACAGCACTTTCCCAGTTGTTCTTTCAGCCGATGTTCATTCAGGGCTCATGGTAGCCAGGCCTTTTCCAAGCTATTCCATGGATTAGCCATCGCTATGAATTCTCAGGATCCCTGCAGGAAATGCCACTGTTGTCCATGTCACAGATGAGAAAATTGAGATGCAGACTTAGAGTATCTCATCCAGTGGCATGCAAGTGGTGTGGTACGGAGCACCCACGCCTGGCCTGCAGGTGCCTGCCCCTCTCCACCCCTGTCCAGTGATGAGCGAGCTCATGGCAGGCATGCAGGCACCCTGGGCTCCTTTGCACACACTCCCTCGCTTGGGCCTGCGGTGGCTCCAGGAAGCAGGTGCTCTTGTCATCCCCAATTTGTAGATGAGGAAACCACAGGTCAGAGAGGTTAAACAATTGCTCAAGTCACACAGCTGGTGAGCACCAGCCAGGCTGTAACCCAGGCCGCCTGGCTCTGAAGTCTTCAGTGTCTAAAGAACTCAGGGCGGGAGCCGAGGGGCACGCAGGGCAGGGAGAGGACCCTGGGAGGTGAGGCTGGGAAAGGAAGCAGGGCTGGACCCTAACAGCTTTGTCCTTCTTGTGAAGAAGGGGGCTTCATGTTGAGAGAAGGAGGTCTCACTGTGGAGGGCCAGGTGGTGATCCCAGCCACATGCTTGTAGCCACCTGCAAGTGCCCAGGCATGCTGCAGACTCACTGCAGCCCCACAGGACAGGGGCCTGCTGCCTGGTTGGTGTCAGGAGGCCGGCATTTGGGGACATGAAGATCAGGGAGGGGGAGGTTTACCTGGGGAGGTTCACCTGAATCTCCCATGGTTGTGAGATCTTGTGGGCACGTCTGTGGTGGACTCTGGCCGGCTTTACGGATGGCTGCAATTGGCACTCCCTGCACGGGCATCTCTGTGTAGCTTGAAGCTGGACTCTCTCTCAGGTGTAAGTGGGAGCTCCTTAGAGGTGGGGCTTGAGGACAGAACCCAGCCTCCTGCCTGTGCCGACACTGCTCCCTCTGTGACTGTGAGAGACATTGCAGCCCTTCACTATAGCTTGGTTGGAGACTGACATCTGTGAAGGATTGATGGGAGGCTCTGAAGGTGCTGTAATGAAGTTTCCTCCCCAGGATCCCTTCCCTGCCCCAGCCAGGTTGGCCCCCCAGAAGGCTGCTGGGTCCATTCACTGTTCTCTACGTCTGTGCGCAGCCCCCAACCCCGCCCATGTCAGCATTATCCCCTAGGACCCAGAGCCTCCTCCCATCTCCTGGCTTCCACTCTAAACAGAATGACCTAGTATTATTATTATTATTATTCGAGATGGAGTTTCACTCTTATTGCCCAGGCTGGAGTGCAATGGTGCTATCTCGGCTCACTGCAACCCCTGCCTCCCAGGTTCAAGTGATTCTCCTGCCTCAGCCTCCCGAGTAGCTGGGATTACAGGTGTGCACCACCACACCCAGTTTTTTTTTTGTGTGTGTGTTTTTTATTGTTAGTAGGGATGGGGTTTTACCATGTTGTTCAAGCTGGTCTCAAACTCCTGATCTCAAGTGATCCACCCGCTTCAGCCTCCCAAAATGCTGAGATTACAGGTGTGAGCCTCTGTGCCCAGCCTTCAGAATGACCTTTTAAAGGTCATCAGGGCATGATTCCTGCCCCTCCTTAACATCCACCTGTGGCTTCTCAGGGACTCAGGGTAAATGAGCTGGGCCCTGCACCATCTGTTCTTGCTCCCTTTGCTCCTGTGGGTGGAGGCAGGTGTCATGGGCAGCAGAGATTCTGCAGAGTCCCCTGTGAGGTGAGGGGAGTGCAGAGGATTCGCGTGGCCTGGGACTTGCCATGGCGTGTGGGAATAGGCAGTGGTCAGCTGGGGACACTGACCACACTAGCAGAGCTGCTGCCAGTGGCCCCCAAGGCGTCTCACCTCCTGACAGCACTGCTATAGCATTGCCAGATGTTATTTTGAGTTTTAAACACAGGAGTGTGGATTGGGCTGCAGTGTGGATTAACTAGGCCTGGGGACCTACCCTGAGGAGCTAGTGATTTACCTATTTCCTCCTCCATTCCTGTAGCATTCTCTTACTGAGCACCTGCTGTATGCCTGGCCCTGGGTATTTGGTGGGGCCAACTAGACTGCAGCTGTTGGTCCAGGTGGGGGGTGACCGGGATGGGAAGCCCAATACGGCTCCACAGAGAGTAAGAAAGCTGTGGGGGCAGTGAGCTAGGGAGGACAGCAGAGAGAGCAGGGCCTCTGCAGGGGGGTGAGTTCCCCAAGAAGACCCTGCGATTCATTCAGCTGTTTTTCATTGACACCATCATCATCATCGTCATCACTGTTAATACAAATGCTGTACGTAACAGAGAAGACTGACTTCTGCTTCCATCTTCGATGAGACCCTTTGCTCAGTTGAGAGAAAACCCACCAAAGAGGGGAAGGGAAGGAGGAGAGATTCTGCCCCCCAGGGGAGCAGCCCACATAGCCGCCTGCAAGAGGCCTGTGTACCCACCCTGGGCATACCTCCTCCAGAGCCAGAGGGGTGCCTGGTGTGGGTCAGTGCTCCCCACCAGACCAGTGCCTCCGACCCAAGTCAGTGCCTCCCACCCAGGCCAGTGCCCCCCACCCAAGTCAATGCCTCCCACCTAGGCCAGTGTCCCCAACCCAGTCAGTGCCCCCAACCTGGGTCAGTACCCTCTACCCAGGCCAGCCCCATCCCACCAGGCCAGTGTCCCCCACCCTGGTCAGTGCCTTCCACTGGGCCAATGCCCCCCATTCTGCCCATGCCCCCCAACTGGGTCCGTGCCTCCCACCAGGACAGTGTCCCTTATCCAGTCAGTGCCTCCCACTCAGTCATTGCCCCCAACTAGGTCAGCTCTCCCCACTAGGTCAGTGCTCCTCACCAGGACAGTGCCCCCGACCTGGGCCAGTTCGCCCCACCCAGGCCAATACCCTCCACATGGGTCAGTGCCCACAACCATGTCAATGCTCCCCACCCAGATGTGTGTTCCCCCCCCACCACCAGACTAGTGCCCCTCAACCAGGCCAGTGCCCCAGGCAGCCTTGGGTTTGCGCCTCAGCTGGTGACAGCTGAGGCTGGTGTGTGGTGCAGTGTGGGAACGTACCCTGTGGGATGTTCTGCACTGGAGGTGGGGATCTGTCCCACTCAAACCTGCTTCTCAGGGGGATGCAGAGGTGAATAGGGCATTGTGGCAGTAGCCAAGGGCGGGTGGATGGCCCAGCTGGTAGAAGTAGCTGGGGATAGAGAAGTCACCAAATAGATGCAGAGAAGGGAAGGAGAGGCATGGAGAGCAGGCAGGAGCATGATCTCAGCTATGTCCCCGAGGAGCAGAGAGAACTCCGTGGCTGGCTAGACAGGCGGGAAGGGAAGCGCATCTATGTCTGTCATCCTTGTCCCTGCAGTTCTGGAGCCTGGTTCAGTTTCTGCTGGGGTAGAAGCACCTCAGAGCAGAGTGATGGCTGCCCTAGTTCCCATGGTCTGTGGGTCATTGAAGGAGGGTCCCTCACGGCTCAGGGAAAAACCATTTCTGAGCCCAGGCTGGGTGGGGGATGATTTAGGTCACTTTGCTCCAGGTGGTGAGCCCCACCCTGACCTTGACTTTGGCCAACTGTTGTCTGCCAGCCCTGCAGGAGGATGAGCCCCGGGGTCCTCAGGGAGTGCCAGCTGAAAGGGGTGTCAGTCAAATGCTCCTCGGAGCACACCCGTTCCGTGCTCCCTCTGGCCAGGCCTTCCCTGGCTCCTGTGGGTCCAGGTCCGTTTCCCCACACTGACATACCCCATCAGCTCACCCTGTGAAATATCCCTGATCTAACCTTCTTCCACCCCTGGTCTGGTCCCTCTGTGTCTCTCCCCAGGATGACAGAGCTGCCACCAGAGGGTCCTGTTTCTGCCCTTGCCCTAGCATCTATTCTCAAACAGTGACCAGAGTGATCCTGTTGAAAGGGAAGGCAGATCATGCCAGTCCTCAACTCAGAATTCCCCAGTGCCTCCCATCACTGTCAGAGAAAAAGCCAGGCCGTATGACACGGCCCACGCCGGCCTGCACCAACCCCCACCCACTGCCTCCCTGGTGATGTCTCCCCCCAGTGCCCTCTGGGTCACCTGCTTCAGCCACACCAGCCCTGTCTTCCCCACAAGCCACTGGGCAGGCTCCCCCAGGGCATTTGCAGATGAGGCCCCCTCAGCTCCTCTCCCCATGGGTGTTGCCTCCATGCCACCTGCTCACGGGGCCTCCTCTGACCACTCCAGTTAAAACTGCGACCCTGCCTCCCCAAGGACTGCCTGCTGCTTTCTCCAAAGGACCTCTCACTCTTTAGCTTTCTTGGGATTTTATTTATAGATTTTATTTTGTTATTTCAGATGAAAATTTGAAGCTTGCAGGGGCAGGGATATTTTCCCATTTGGGTTACTGCTGTGACCACATATTCCAGAAAGTGTTTGGCACATCAGGGTCCTTGACACATCCTTGAGTGGCCATCCTTAAGATCACCCTAAGGGTGATCTTAAGTCTGCCAGCCACCAGGGCCTTTTGAAGCAGGGAGACCTCCCATGATGTACCCCTAGGCCTTAGCCTTGCACCCCAGGACAGGAGGACTGCGCTCCCAGGGGAGTCACCAAGCATCATCATGGGGTGACATTTCCTTCCATTTCCTAAAGTTTCCTTGCATGAGCTCACAGGAAACCTTGAATTGTAAGGCCCTTCCTTTGCCCTGTACTTGCCGAACCTAAAAGCCAGTTCTGCCCGGAATGTTCTAAATAATCAGGGGGATAAAGAAAGAGAATCCTCAAGCAAGGCTTTTCTTTCACTCTCTGCTCAGTTGGCAGCACCAGATGGAGGATGTGGCCGTGGTGTGGGCTCGTTTATTTATTGATTAAAATGCTTACAAAACCCAGCATGTACAGCCAGGCTGAACATTCAATTAAAAAGCCCAAAATGAAAATTCAGAACTCCTGAATGACAAGTAGGATGTGCAGAGCCAGCTCTTAGCAAAGGAATAGGATGATAAAGCTTTAAGCAGGGATTTGTTCTATTTATTTATTTCGCTCTTTCTTCAAGAATTTGGAAACTGGAAGGCACTGCACAGTGCCCAGTCACTGCATGGGTGAGTGAATGAACAAAGCTTACACAGTGTTGGGTGAGCAGCAAGGATAAGAGAGGTGGACATTTGATGACAGCTAGGTGCATGTGTCCCTGCACACACAGGGATGGGAAGAATAATGGCCCTGAGATATGCTCTCGAGAGGGCATCCTGAAATTTTTTTTTCTTTTCTTTGAGATAGAGTCTCACTCTGTCGCCCAGGCTGGAGTGCAGTGAACCTCCACCTCCAGGGTTCAAGCAGTTCTCCTGTCTTAGCTTCCCGAGTAGCTGGGACTATAGTCGCACGCCACCATGTCTGGCTAATTTTTGTATTTTTAGTAGAGATGGGGTTTCACCACGTTGGTCAGGCTGGTCTCCAACTCCTCACCTCAAGTGATCCACCCACCTCAGTGTCCCAAAGTGCTGGGATTATAGGTGTGAGCCACTGCGCCCATCCGCACCCTGAGTTTTTATACCAGGTAAGCCCTTGAGTGAGGAAAAGACATGAATCCATGCTCCAGAGATGACAGGCATCCTTTTCCATAGGGGATGGTTAGGGGTATGATTGGCAAATATGCACTGGGACTTCAGGTTCTTCCTGGTGGTAAGAAACCACTCGTCCTCCATCCATCTTCCTCTTCCTTCTCCATCCAACCACCTTCCTCTTCCTCCTTCACCACCTTCCAACATCAGACTGAGCACACTCTTCAGAGCCCACCAGCTGGAGCAGACTTCATGTGGGTTGGGCTCCACCTCCTTTCTCAGAAGTGAGTGTCATCACCTAGAGTGTCATTACCACAGTCTTTGCCTTCCAAGGCTCCTACTAAATCAGAACGACTTAAAAAGCAAGCAGAGTGCCCTCTCTGCTGCTTTGGAGGCAGCTGGGCCATGGTTAGAAGGTGAGGGCCACAGCATGGCTGCTGGCTACCAGCTGCAGATGCTGGTGCCGACTAGCCTTGCCTGAGTCTGGCTTCCTCATCTGCAGAGGGGCAGGGTGTCTCACTTGAAAGTTGGGAGACTTCAATACAGTTGTGTATGAAGTGCCCAGTACAGTAAATTCTCAATAAATAATCATTGCTATTTTAATACTGTGGGAATAGAAGGCCAGCTCACTAGCTGCAAGCCTTAGATTAGTCCAAAGACAGCAGAGTCAAGAGGGGGATTGCCCTGGTTCCTCTGCGCAGGCTGATGTCAGGGGTTTGCTGATCTCTGTGCACCGGGACTCAGACTTTCTCCCGTGTGGCCACACTTGCTGTGTGTGGTGTGTGTCTGTGTGTGTATGTGGTGGGGGGCGGGCTGTGTATCTGTGTGACGTGTGTGTGTGTGTGTGTTTGTGTATGTTTTGTGTGTGGTGGGGGGACCTTGGGTCTCTGTCTGTGTATGAACTCATGTAGTCTCCCCTGCATTCCTCTCCTCCGGGGATTGCTGGCCCCTTCGCTGTTTGATGGCAGGTGTCTGAGGATGGAGAGGGCAGTGCCGCAGAGTGACAGCACAGGGCATGCCAGGACACCAGGGTGCCCAGAGCCCATAAACCACAGCCTCTGACAGCCTAGTGTCTACGCTACCACCGTCCCCAGGGCCTCTGTGGGCTCAGAGCATTCTCCCCACCTCAGGCCATGCCGAGACCACTAGGCTCCTTTGCATAGAAATTTGAGCTGTATTTTGTTGTTTTGAGGAGAAAAGTGGTTTCTCAAAGGCCTTTGATTCCCATGTATTTGCTAAGCTGGCCTTGCACTTTCCTACCCATCCTTTTTGGGTGGGTTGCCCACAGGTACCATCCTTCTTGTCTTCATTCTGGCCCTGTCTTGCCTCTTTAGCATGTTTGAGAATTTTGGACAAATGGAGAGAAGTCTGTTCTCAAGGGTGTTGGCCTAAGTAGCTTCCCCGGTGCGGGACCGGGGTCCATTTTCTGCCCTCCTTCCCGCAGCCTCTCCTGCATGTCTTCCTGGACCTGTGCTGATTTCAGCATCTTCGTTGTGTGACTCAGTTCTTCTCAGGAAGCCATAGAGGTTTTTCTTTCTAGAGCTTTGAGCATTTGAAGAATTCTGCCCACTGTGTCTTCTCTCCTCCCACTGCAATCGATAGCAGAGAATGGAGAGGCTGGTCATTTTTTCAGACTGCTCTGTTGAACACGGATCTGCAAAGCTGGCGTTGGTACTCCTACAGCCAGTGCTGGGACACATGCAATTTGTGGTGTGTGATGCTTTCAGGTTGCTCTAAGTGTCAGTTTGACATACCTGAATCCTGGGGCATTTTTTTGTGACTGTAATCATCCATAACAGCATATCTGTGATGGATCAGTCAGGATGGGAAAGTTAGGCTGCAGGAACAGCAAGGTGAAATGCTTGCTGCTTCTGTTCATGCTGACCATACCCAAACACAGAACTGGTGCAATCCTGCCATGCCATGGAGGCAGAGAGCCAGGAATAACCAGGCACAACATGTGCCTCCTCTTAGGGCCCCCATAGGGGAGGGCTCTGCCTGCACCGAAGATGCTCCACAGCCCTCTAGGAGCTTGGGGACCAGGCCAGAGACCCTGTGCTGTGCTGCTGACAGTGCTAAATTTTGACAGTGCTAAATTTCACTGCTGCGTAGGGGATTAGCCAGCCCAGGCCGCCAGGTCTGGCTCGGGATGGCGTGACCTCTGGAGTTTTCCACAGTCCTGCCATTGGAAGTGATCCCGGGAGACAAGGCATCATGGTGCTCCTATGTTCTTCCTGTTTTCAGACACGACATTTCACCTGCCTCTCGGAGGCTGAAATAAGTTAAATAAGGTTATGCTGGAGAAAAGTGGACATTCTAGTGATCTCTACATCTGAACATGAGATCAGATTATCTGATCTCCTTAGCTTTTTTTGTTTGTTTGTTTTTTGAGGCAGAGTCTTGCTCTGTCCTCCAGGCTGGAGTGCAGTGGCATGATCTTAGCTCACTGCAACCTCTGCCTCCCAGGTTCAAGCGATTCTCCTGCCTCAGCCTCCCTAGTAGCTGGGATTACAGGCATGCACCACCATGCCCTACTAATTTTGTATTTTTGGTAGAGGCGGGGTTTCATCATGCTGGCCAGGCTGGTCTCCAACTCCTGACCTCAGGTGATCCGTCCGCCTCAGCCTCACAAGGTGCTAGGACTGCAGGCGTGAGCCACCGCGCCCGGCCGATCTCCTTAGTTTTTAAACTCCACTGTAGCCAAAGAACTTTGGGAGAGATTCACTTGGCCCCAACAGGATCTGAGGACCACCTCCCTCACATATGCTTCCCAGTGAATTTGGAACGTCCATCCATGTGAGGAAAGAGCTTGCCTCTGGCAGGGTTAAGACAAGGTGTGCGTTCAGTTGAATGAAGGTGGGCACTCCCCACTTTGGGGGCCAGACTTTTCTCCTTCGCTCACACTATATTTTTAATGTAGGATGATCTTTGTGTAGACTGGTACATGGCAGAACACTAAGAAGATGAAACTTTTTAAGTGAAAATATTTTCAGGCCTAGGTAGCCAGTAAGGTGACCCTGCAATGGTCTGTTTCCTTCTGAGCCTCCAGGAAGGAAACCCACCCGATGATGCCCAAGGGACGGGAGAGGGCCGCCACACGGGCTGGCGAGACAAAGTCAGGGAGGCAACAGAGCCAGCTGGCAAGTGCAGGAGACTGCCCACATTCGGGTTTTGTTTTGCTTGGTATTTTAGTTTTTTAAAAACCACTTTGTTGAGGCCTGGTTGGCATATAAAAAGCTGGGCATATTTTACATACTTAATTTCTACATCTCGATGAGTCTGGGGGTGAGTCTGTGAAGCCATCACCACCATCAAGACCGTGAACAAGTTCATCACCTCTCAGAGTTGTGCATCGCCTCCTGCCTCCTTTGTTATTAACATTGTTATTATTTTTGGTAAGAATCCTTACTATAAGATATAACCCCGTCTCTACTGAAAATACAAAATTAGCCAGGCATGGTGGCACTTGCCTATAATCTCAGCTACTTCAGAGGCTGAGGCAGGAGAATTGCTTGAACCTGGAAAGCAGAGGTTGCAGTGAGCTGAGATCGCGCCATTGCACTCCAGCCTGGGCAACAGGAGCAAAACTCCATCTCAAAAAAAAAAAAGAAAGATCTACTCTGCTAGCAGTTTTAAGTAGACAGTACAGTATTGTTAGCTGGAGTCACACTGCTGTACAGTAGATCTCCAGAACTTACTCATCTTGCAGAACTAAACTATAGTCTTGGACCAACACCTCCCCATTCCAACCCCAGCCCCTGGTAACCACCATTCTACTCCCTGCTTCTAGGAGATTGACTTTTTAGCTCCAACATATAAGTGAGATCATGTGGTATTTGTTTTCCTGTGACTGGCTTATTTCGTTTAACATAATGTCCTCCAAGTTCATCCATGTTGTCACAAATGACAAGACTTCCTTCTTTTTTAAGGCTGAGTTGCCCCACGTTGTCTGCTAGGGGTTCCTTGTTCCCTGTCTCTGGACCTGCTTCCTGAGTCTCCTCTCTCCAACCCCAGGGTGTCAGTGATGTTGGCTCTGACTGGGTAAGAGTGGTTAACTCCGCTGCACCCGTCGGCACTGCCCTCACCCTCTATCTTTAAGTTCAGACTATTTAGAGCTATTTGAGTTTGTATTTAAATGAATTAAAATTAGATAAAATTAAACATTTGATTTCTCCGTCTCACTAGCCACTATTCAGTGCTTGGTGCTAGTGACCACAGCATATAGGAGCTAATCTAGGGAGAGGTGCAGCCTGTGGAGGAAAGGAGCAGGGACCCGGCTCAGCCCTGCCCGGGACAGCTGTGAATTGCTAGATTAGACCTCGTGAGAGCCACTTCAGGGGGAAATGGGAGCTCAGAGAGCCACCTTAGAAGACATGGGGTGACGCTGCTGAGGTCAAGTGCCAGAGTGAAAACTGCTCGGTTGGGTTTCTGTCCTGTCTGTAAAATCAGCGTCAACTTATGAGTAGGAATGTTTAATGTGTGTTGAGTGCCTCATTTGTCTGGATATCTGGTTTCACTGGTACTTCCCCAGCCTGGGTTTGTTGCGGTTCCCCGTCTGAATGTTATTTGGGTCCATGCTGTAAGACTGCCTTCTAAGAGACTTCTGATTATTCTGATAATATTAATCTCTTAGAAAGGGGTCCACAGTGGGGGTTATGTTGATCTTCTGGGTTAGTTGCCAGGGTTGTGATGTTCTAATATATCTCTTTCTCAGCTGGTTTTAACCTGCTGACGGTTTCCCCCTGGGAAGTTCAGTGATTCATTCCAGACTGGAGGCGTTTTGACTGAGGCCTGTCATGAAGTTCCCTGAGAGGATGAAGCGCCTCTTCTGTGGTTACCTTTAATGGCAGGTATGGCCATGGAGGCCCATACAGGTGTCTCGGGGCAATCAAAGGCCCCTTCTTAGGGGAACATCGTGCTTCCTATTTCCCTGTCTCCAGCCCAGTTCTGGCCCCTGGAGGCTCAAGGAGCACCTGCTAGTTTCCTTCTGGTCTCTCCACCTTACTTCCCACTCTGGGCGCAGAAGTGCTGTGTGGAAATTATGCACCAGGAAGCTCCGTACAAGCAGTAGAGAGTCTCAGCTAAGCTAAGGGAGATGAGAATACAAAGGTCTGGCAGGTCCTCTTGACTGTGGGCCTCATGTGCACTCAGCATTCGCTCAGTTCCACTGCATGCCTGTCACTGTACACTCCTTCATGTGCGGTGTGTGGCTACAATGCGGGAGGACGCACATTCCAGGCAGTGTTCTCTGCGGTTCCCTGAGACAGATGCCACAAAACTTGCTGGAGGTGGTCTCAGAGGCTGGGGCTGCTCGGCATCTCTCACTGAGAAAGAGCAGGTGACAGAGAAGAAAGCAATCCACGCAGAGCCCTTTCCCACACCAGGAGTTCCCCTGAGCTCTGCCCTTTGGGCTGCTCCTCCAGCTGCTCCTCCAGCTGCCCCTTCCTTGCTCATTCAGCACGGTATTTAGTGAGCACAGTAGATCTGGGCATTACAGAGCTACAGGTGACTTCAGGAGTGATTCGCTGCCTTCTGCTGGGCTCTTACTGGCAGCGACAGTGGGATGTGCTTGGGATATTGCTTTTGTCTACCTCACGCTAAAGTTGTTTCATTCAACATCAGCAGGAAGCAGATAACATTGTCAACACGTCGCTTATAGAGAAAATCCACTAAAATGGTCAGAGCAGACCGTCTTTCAGAAGAGATGCAGTCTGCCAGATGCAGACCCCAGGAAGTGTCAGCAGTGGGGCCGGGATGAGGGGTGGATAGAGGGGTGCCACGTGTGTGTTTGCATTCCACCCTGCGATGTTGTTCTGACCCCTGTGTGTCCCTGCCTCCAACCCCTGCGCATACTCCAGCAGCACCTGCAGAGTGCTTGGAGATTCCTCCTGGAGGCTTCCCGGGGCTTCCGATTCCATCCTGCTGCTGCCCTTGCAGGCAGGCTGCACATACCGCAGAAGGTATGGGAGCAGAGCAGGTGCCATGGAGGGGCAGGGCAGGGCCTCTTTGTACATCTCCGACCTGCCCTTGTGGATGCTTTTTCTCTGACCGTACAGTGGCTGGTGGTGTTCTCCAGGCAGGAAGCTACATGCCATGGCCGCAACCCACTGTTATGCAAGTATCGGAATGATTTCATGCTGTTAGCAGTCGGTGGACCCCAAATGCCCAGTAACCTAGCATGTTACTGAAGACAACTCCAACCTGGATGGCAGAATCACATTTCCTGTTGCTTGGTGATTCCACTAGGGGATGGTGCAGGAAGAAACTAAAAAACTACAGGGACCTTTGATAGACTGGTTGATTACGTATTTCCTAGGTTGCTCTGGTCGACGTGTATGTTGAGTAAGCTGCAGGAGAGCCAAAGCTTGGTTCAACGGGTGTGCGGTGTACGGTAGGGCCGCGGCATGCATGCCCGTGTGGATGGCTGATGGTGTGCTATGGAGGTGTTTTTGCTCAATTGCTTGCCGCTTGGCATGAACAACACAGGTAACATAATTGAGGGCACACATTATTATGGCAGTGCAGTTTTAATTTATAAATGTGAGGCTTTTGTGTCTTTATTGATTCTTTGTGTAATCAACAGACATTCTTTATTTCTCTCTTACAGTGGCTTGAAATTAAAAAAATAAAAAGTACCTGTTGTACTCTTCATGAGGGAACATTCACATTTAGTTTCCACTGCTGGGAGGTGCACATTTGAAAATTGAATATTCATAATTACCTTTTTGCACATTGGACTTGTGTGTAGCCACATTGATTTAATTCGCAAATTTGCATTGTAATATATGATATTGAAGATGTTCTGCTAGGATGCTCACAGGAGCACTTGGCCAGAAGTTAGGAGGGGAACAATTTGTGGGCAAGCAGAACGCTGCATCCATGCTCTGGGCGGAAGCTTGGAGCAGATAAGATGCACTTTTTTTTTTTATTATTATACTTTAAGTTTTAGGGTACATGTGCACATTGTGCAGGTTAGTTACATATGTATACATGTGCCATGCTGGTGTGCTGCACCCACTAACTCGTCATCTAGCATTAGGTATATCTCCCAATGCTATCCCTCCCCCCTCCCCCCACCCCACCACAGTCCCCAGAGTGTGATATTCCCCTTCCTGTGTCCATGTGATCTCATTGTTCAATTCCCACCTATGAGTGAGAATATGTGGTGTTTGGTTTTTTGCTCTTGCGATAGTTTACTGAGAATGATGATTTCCAATTTCATCCATGTCCCTACAAAGGACACGAACTCATCATTTTTTATGGCTGCATAGTACTCCATGGTGTATATGTGCCA